>NC_000007.14:100688597-100991627 GCF_000001405.40 Homo sapiens | reverse complement strand
ACATGGCCTGAGGTCGCGGAGCGGGCAGGTGGGGGTGTTGTTGCAGTTGCAACTGGGCTGCTGTGGACTGGTGTCGATTCCTCACTATGGCCCAAGGTTGTGGAGCTGGCAGAAAAGTGGGTTGTTGGAGTTGAGCTCGGGCTGCTGTGATAAGTTGTAGATAGTTTAACAAAGGCTGATGTGGTACCAGAAGGTGCAGGCGAAGTGTCCTTTGAGCTTGGCCAGCTCTGGAAGGTGGTAGGTTCTCCCTCATGGGTTGTAGAGCTGGAAGGGGACAGTGTTGTGTGTGGCGATCCAGTGCTGCTGTGGACGGGCGTAGATGCTTCAAGGAGGCCTGAGGTTGTGGTGTTGTCAGGTAAGCGTGTTGTTTTAGTGTAGCCTGGGCTGCTGTGGAAGGTAGTAGATTCTGGACCAAGGGATGATGGTGTGGTAGTGCCAGGGGACAGTGTTGTGTCTGTGGAGCCGGGGATGCTGTGGGAAGCTGTAGATTCCTGACTGACGCCTGGCATGGTGGTACTGTCAGGGAACGCTATTGTGTGCGTTGGGCCTGGTCGGCTGTGGGAGGTGGTTGATTTTTCACTGACGCCTGAGCTTGTCGTGCGGGCAGGTGAGAGTGTTCTGTCTGGTGATCTGGGGCTACTGTAGAAGGTGGTAGATTTCTCACTCAGGCCTGCTGTTGTGGTACTGCCAGGTAACGCTGTTGTTTCCATTGAGGCTGAAGTGATGGGTGAGGTTTTAGGTTCTCCAACAAAAACTGAGGTTGCAGAGTGGGAAGGGAAGAGTGTTGTTCCAGTTGCACCTGGGCCGCTGTGGGATACTGTTGATTCCTCACTGTGGCCTGAGTTTGTGGAGCTGTCAAGGAAGTGTTTTGTTGCAGTTGAGCCCGTGATAAATGTGACTGACACCCCATAGTCACTAAAGGTGGTAAAAGGGTCGCTTGAACTGGGTGTGGATGCAGAAGTTGTATTACCTCCAATACTGGTGTTTACTGTTGAGCCTGTGATTTGAGAGAAACCAGAGAAAGTGCTATGATTTATGACTGTCTCCTCATGTTTGGTGGCAGTCAATTCTGACACATCCGGGCTGGAAGACACCTGGTCAGCCCATGGTATTGAAACTCAAGTTTCCCTTTTGGGGGCATAGGAAGTGTCAGTTGAACCTGTAGATTTGAAGAAATTTTATTGATGGTGTAGACTAGCAGTCCCCAACCTTTTTGGCACCAGGCACCGATTTCATCTAAGACAATTTCCCAAGGACTTGAGCTGTTGGCTATTGGGGGAATGGTTTTGGGATGATTCAAGCACATTACATTTACCGTTAGATTCTCATAAGGGGGTGCAGCCTAAATCCCTTGCATGCACAGTTCACAGCAGGGTTAGTCCTCCTGGAAGAATCTCATGCCGCTCCTGATCCGACAAGAGGCAGAGCTCAGCTTCGCTGGCCCGCTACTCACTTCTTGCCGTGTGTCCTGGTTCCTGACAGGCCACGGACCAGTTCTGGTCTGGGGCCAGGGGGTTGGGGACCCCTGTTATAGACCCTTGTGCCTTCTGTGGAATATAACCATTTGGCTAGCGGGCAGGGTGTCACTAGATACTTTTCTGAGTCTTGACTGTAATTTGTAACTTGAATTTTTAGGGCCAGGTGAGGTGGCTCCCACCTATAATCCCAACACTTTGGGAGGCCGAGGTGGGTGGATCACTTGAGATCAGGAGTTTGAGACCAGTTTGGCCAACATAGTGAAACCCCATCTCTATTAAAAATACAAAAAAATTAGCCAGGTGTGGTGGTGTACACCTGTAATCCCATCTACTTGGGAGGCTAGGGCATGAGAATCGCTTGAACCCAGGAGGTGGAGGTTGCAGTGAGCTGAGATCATGACACTGCACTCCAGCCTGGTGAAAGAGTGAGACACCATCTAAAAAAAAAAAATGAACTTGAATTGTTAGTAGTATGGCTCTGGGTTTTCATATCTGTATGGTTGTGGAGAACTGTACTTATATGCCTCTGTCCAGTATTGCCTGCTCTTTCCACCCTAGCCACACTGGGACATGTTCATCTATCAAGGTGCTCAGGCATCAATTCCAGCAGAAGGTTGTACTCCCACAAATGCCCCCACACGCGTTCCTTTTGTTCCTCACATTCTGCATTTTGCAGACCTTATATTGTCTGGTTTACACATCATACTTGTCCATTTTCACACTGCTGATAAAAACATACCCAAGGCCAGGTGTGGTGGCTCATGCCTATAATCCTAGCACTTTGGGATGCCGAGGTGGCAGATCACTTGAGGTCAGGAGTTCGAGATGAGCCTAGGCATCATTGTGAAACTCATCTCTACTAAAAATACAAAAATTAGCCGGGTGTGGTGGCAGGCACCTGTAATCCCAGCTACTTGGGAGGCTGAGGCAGGAGAATCACTTGAACCCAGGAGGCAGAGGTTGCGAGGTTGCAGTGAGCTGAGATCGCACCACTGCACTCCAGCCTGGGTGACAGAGTGAGACTCTGTCTCAAAAAAAAAAAAAAAAAAAGAAGAAGAGGAAGAAGACATACCAGAGACTGGGTAATTTATACAGAAAAAATGGTTTAATGGACTCACAGTTCCACATGTCTGGGGAGGCCTCACAATCATGGTGGAAGGTGAAAGGCACATCTTACTTGGCAGCAGGCAAGAGAGAGAATGAGAGCCAAGTGAAAGGGGTTTCCCTTTATAAAACCATCAGATCTCGTGAGACTTACTTATTCATTACCACAAGAACAGTATGGGGGAAACTGCCCCCAATGATTCAATTATCTCCCACTGGGTCCCTCCCACAACACCACAACACATGGGAATTGTGGGAGCTACAATTCAAGATGAGATTTGAGTGGGGACACAGCCAAACCATATCTGGTCTGACAAGTCTCTCTTCCTCATCCTTGACATCTGAGAGACCCCTTTGACCTCTAACCCTGCAGCTGCCACCAACCCAGGAAAAACAGAAGAGCTAAGGCAGTCACCCGTTCCATGGACAATTATCTCTGTCCTTTCTCTCCAGATGCATTTACATACACAAGAGCTAGCCACCTCTATTAGGCCTTTCCTGCATTGCTATAAAGAAATACGTAAGCCTGGGTCATTTATAAAGCAAAGAGATTTAATTGGCTCACAGTTCTGCAGGCCGTACAGGAAGGATGGTGCTGGTGTTTGCTTCTAGGGAGGCCTCAGGAAGCTTCCAATCATGGCAGAAGGTGAAGGGAGAGCAGGCTGGTCACATGGCAAAAGCAGGAGCAAGAGAGGCAAAGAGGGTAGGGGAGGTGCCACACATTTCTTTCTTTCTTTTTTTTTTTTTTTTTTTTTTCTGGGACAGCCTGTCACCCAGGCTGGAGTGCATTGGCGCGATCTCGGCTCATTGCAACCTCCGCCTCCTGGGTTCAAGTGATTCTCCTGACAGCCTCCTGAGTAGCTGGGATTACAGGCACCCACCACTGCACCCGGCTAATTTTTGTATTTTTAGTAGAGACAGTTTCACCATGATGGCCAGGCAGATCTCGAACTCCTAACCTCAAATGATCTGCCTGCCTTGGCCTCTCAGAGTGCTGGGATTACAGGCGTGAGCCACCAAGCCCAGCCAATGCCACACACTTCTTTTTTTTCTTTTCTTTTCTTTTTTTTTTTTTAGACGTAGTTTCACTCTTGTTGCCCAGGCTGGAGTGCAGTGGCGTGATCTTGGCTCACCGCACCATCTGCCTCCCCAGTTCAAGTGATTCTCCTGCCTCAGCCTCCCAAGTAGCTGGGATTACAGGCATGCACCACTATGCCTGGCTAATTTTGTATTTTAGTAGAGGTGGGGTTTCTCCATGTTGGTCAGGCTGGTCTCAAACTCCTGACCTCAGGTGACCTGCTCACCTCGGCCTCCCAAAGTGCTGGGATTACAGGCGCGAGCCACCGCGCCTGGCCCACACACTTCTAAAAGACCAGATCTTGTGTGAACTCAGAATGAGAGCTCACTCATCACCAAGGGGATGGTCCAAGCCATTCAACAGGGATCTGCCCCCATTATCCAAACAACTCCCACAAGGCCCCTCCTGCAACACTGGGGATTACAACTCAACATGAGATTTGGGTGAGGACAAATATTCAAAGGCTAGCATCACCCTTCTTGGAACACTGCCCCCTCTACCTGGTCATCCTGCAGCCCTCGTAGCCTGCCCATGGAGTGCCTCCTGCACCCTGGTTCAGGCCCACTCAAAGGGCTACAACTGTAAAAAAAATCATTAGCTAGGCTGGGTGCAGTGACTCACACCCATAATCCCAGCACTTTGGGAGGCTGAGGCAGGCAGATCACTTGAGGTCAGGAGTCCAAGACCAGCCTGGCCAATATGGTGAAACCCCATCCCTACTAAAAATACAAAAATTAGCCAGGCATGGTAGCATGCGCCTGTAATCCCAGCTACTTGGGAGGCTGAGACAGGAGAGTCGCTTGAACCAGGGAGGCAGAGGTTGCGGTGAGCCGAGATTGCACCATTGCACTCCAGCCTGGGTGACAGAGCGAGACTCTGTCTCAAAAAAAAAAAAAAAAAAAAAAAACCATTATCTTGGCCCTGGACTGGAGGGGCTACTGTATTTTCTCTGTGCCACTTAGAACATGGGACAGTACGTGTAGGATTCCATTTTCCTATGTAAGACGGACATATAATCCCTGGCTTTCTTCATCCTGCCTATGAAATGAATCAGATTGTATATGCACAGAATCTGTGATGGAAGTGCCACCAGCCCAGGAGTTACTAGGAATTCTACAGGATGACATATAAGGGACTTCCTTGAGAGGACAGGGTGTGTGGCCTCTTGTCCCATCTGTCAATCTCCGAGATGCCAGGAGCTGCATTTTTCTCACTTGTCTCAGGAAGGCCAACCTTGGCCCCTGGCAGAGGAGACGGTTCAGTCCTCCAGAGCAGAGGCACCCTCTGCCATCCCAGATGGCCCCAGTTTTACCGAGTCATGAAAAAGACACACAGTCACAGGGAGAGGCTAGGAGCTGGACCAAGACGGAAGGCCGGGGTGCAGGGGTAGACAGAGCACTATCAAATCATTGATCAGTGCAGTTCAGGTGAAAGGCAATGATGCCTAAGATTTTTTGGAATTCTAACTTCATGAAAAAGATGGAAAAGATTGCTTGGTGTTTGGGGGAGATTTTGGGGTTTTGATGGCTTTTTTTTTCTTTTTTTTTTTTGAGACAGGGTCTCACTCTGTTACCTGGGCTGGGAATTACAGTTCAACATGAGATCTGGGAAGGGATAAATATTCAAACTATATCACCATCCTACTTCTAGGCTGGAGTAACTGCAGCCTCAAACTTCTAGGCTGGAGCGATCCTCCTGCCTCAGCCTCCCAAATCGTTGGGGCTACAGGGGTGTGCCACCATGCCCCACTAATTTTAAAATTTTGTTTTTTTTAGAGATGGGATCTTGCTATGTTGCCCAGGCCAGTCTCAAACTTCTGGCCTCAAGTGATTCTCACACCTCGGCCTCCCAAAGGGCTGGGATTACAGGCTTGAGGCACACACCGGCCACATGTTTGTTTTGAAGTCGGTGGACTTTTGTGGTTTTGCCCAATCCTCTCGTTTATGAGCTAAGTTTTGTCTAGTTCAACCTGATGGAAGTGGAGGGGCTGAGCTCCAGGGGCTGCCAAGGTGGAGGTGGGGCATCTCTGAGCCCTGAATACAAGGGTCAGAGAGGATGGCAGAGGATAGGCCGGCACCAAAGTGAGGGTGGCAGGGTTCAAAACAGGCTCACGCAGGCGTTCCTTCCCACAGGCTTCCTCCCTCACTTGAGTGAGGGACCCCTCTGGCCTCCTGGTCTCTGAGGTCACCTTCCCCAATCACCTCTCAAGAACCTCCTCTGTGTCTCGTCCAGAGGCCACCACAATCCTCAGCCACCCTGCCTTTCTGCACCCACAGGAAAACTCAGCCCTCCAGCTGAAACCGCCTTTGCAAAATTATGACTGAGACAGTGAAAGAGATCTCACATAACTGGCTCCACCTTGCTTCTAACCTCCAAGCTGTCCTTGTTCATTCTTGGGAGTAGGCTGAACTAACTTTGGAAGAAACAAAGATGGTAACAGCCCTTTCCCAAAGCAGACTTTCTTCTTGCCTGGGGACTAGATTGCCTTGGTAGGACTAACATTAGCCACAAGATTAGAAATGATGGTTTAGGAGCCATGCAGCTGGAGGCTATAAGATTTTTGACCCTCCCTAAACTGCTCCTAAAATCAGTGCTTGAGATATTTTGCAGACCCCGCACTTGATGGATCAGCTGGCACCACCCAGATGGACAAACTGGCTCAGCTGATCTTGTGGCCCCCACCCAGGAACTGACTCAGTGCAAGAAGACAGCTTCGACTCCCTGTGATTTCATCCCTTTGCAATCAGCACTCCTGACTCACTGGCTCCCCCAACCCACCAAGTTATCCTTTAAAACTCTGCTCCCCTTGGCCAGGTGCAGTGGCTCATGCTTGTAATCCCAGCACTTTGGAAGGCCCTCAATCACCTAAGGTCAGGAGTTTGAGACCAGCCTGGCCAACATGGTGAAACCCCATCTCTACTAAAAATACAAAAATTAGCCAGGCGTGGTGGCGGGTGCCTGTAATCCCAGCTACTCAGGAGGCTGAGGCAGGAGAATCTCTTGAACCCAAGAGGCAGAGGTTGCAGTGAGCCGAGATCGTGAGCCACTGCACTCCAGCCTGAGCAACAGAGTGAGACTCCATCCCAAAAAAATAAAAAGGAGATCCCACGGCCAGCAAGATCCAGACCAAACCAGTAAGGGGTAGCTCCTCAGTGCTAGGCATGTCCGTTAGAGAGAAAAAGTATCTTTAACATAACCCTGTATCATAATCAGCTCATTACAGCTCACCTACGTGGACTGCATATCATGCCTGGACTTAAGATTATGAGATGGAGGCGATGCGCAAGCACACAAAGGCCAAAGTAACTAAATGACACACCTATCAATCAAAAGGCAGATGCTGGCTAGAGATTAGACGGCCTTGGGAAGAGAAGTTAAAAAAAAACAAAAACACATAAAAAGATGAAAAGTGGTCGGGCATGGTGGCTCACAACTGTAATCCCAGCACTTTGGGAGGCCAAGGCAGGAGGATCACCTGAGGTCAGGAGTTCGAGGCCAGCCTGGCCAACGTGGTGAAACCTTGTTTCTACTAAAAATATAAAAATTAGCCGGGTATGGTGGTGGGCGCCTGTAATCCCAGCTCCTTGGGCGGCTGGGGCAGGAGAATCGCCTGAACCCAGGAGGCAGAGGTTGCAGTGATCCAAGATCATGCCACTGTACTCTAGCCTGGGTGACACAGCGAGACTCTGTCAAAAAAAAAAAAAAAAAGATGCAAAGTACACCAAACTGATGCTGATCTCACCTCACAGAGATCAGTCCGCTCTCCCCTCTTTGAGAGTGTAATACTATACGTAACAAACTTTTGCTGCTTGCTTTGCTATTTGTATGTGTCATATCCAATTCTTTGTTTGGGACACCAAGAGCATGGTGCCATCTGGTAACACTGAGATCAAAGGTAGATGTACCCCCCGCCCCTCATGGGGGCTCCTAGACCCTCAGTACAACGAGGAGACAGCAGAGGCCCACATGAAGGCAGGGCAGGGCTCAATGCAGCAGGGTGGACTTTCCTGCCTGTCATCAAGGGAGGCTTCCAGGAGGAGGTGATACTTGATTTGTCATTTTTTCCTTCTTCTTTTAAAAATGGGAGTCTCTTGGGTTTACTCATAAATTTTACTGGAATTTTTACGTTATAAAAGTAGAATGTGTCTATTGTCACAAGTCAAACAATGAAAAAGCATATAAAGGACGTTTATGGTTATCTCCATAACGACTCATGAGGTATGAACAGGGGTGGGGAGAGCTGGCATTTATTGGGTACAGAGCAGATTCCTGTACTCGCCCTATCACAGGACACATTAACTGGAACTCAGTGATTCTGTAACTGCCTAGGAATGTCTTTGCCCTTGTAGGCTGTGAACTCCGTGAGGGTAGAGAACATTTCTGCCCTGTTCAGTTGGCCCTGTAGAGGCTTAATTAGACTTTCTCAGTGAATGAGTCAGTGCATGCTGGGAAGTCTAAAGCCTGCTTTTTCTTAGTTACCAAATATAAACATCACAACATCACAACAAGTCTGCAAGGTGGACATGGCTATTTCTTTTTTTTTTTTTTTTAACGGAGTCTCGCTCTGTTGCCCAGGCTGGAGTGCACTGGCAGGATCTCGGCTCACTGCAACCTCCATCTCCCGGACTCAAGCAATTCTCCTGCCTCAGCCTCCCAAGTTGCTGGGATTACAGGTGCCCACCACTGTACCCGGCTACTTTTTGTATTTTTATTAGAGACGTGGTTTTGCCATGTTGGACAGGCTGGTCTTGAACTCCTGACCTCACATGATCCACCCGCCTTGGCCTCCTAAAGTGCTGGGATTACAGGTGTGAGCCACAGCACCCAGCCGCTATTTCTATTTTACATAGGAATCAAGGTTCTAAGGATAAATAATTTCCAAGGTCACTCAGATTATAACATAGAATTCAAGCACATTCTAAAGATGGCTTTTGACCAGGTGTGGTGGCTCATACCTGTAATCCCAGCATTTTGGGAGGCCAAGGTGGGAAGATTAGTTGAGGCCAGGAGTTCAAGACCAACCTGGGCAACATATCAAGATCCTGTCTTTACAAAAAAATTTTAAATATTAGCCCAGTGTGGTACATGCACCTGTAGTCAGTTCCAGGTACTCAGGAGGTTGAGGCAGGACAATTGCTTGAGCCCAGGAGCTCAAGGCTGCAGTGAGCTATGATTGCACCACTGCACTCCAGCTTGGGTAACAGAGAAAGACCCTATCTCAAAGAAAACAAAACAAAAAGGCCAGATGTGGCAGCTCATGCCTGTAATCCCAGCACTTTGGGAGGCCAAGGGGGGAGGACTACTTGAACCCAGGAGTTTGAGATCAGTCTGGGCAATATAATGAGACCCCATCTCAACAAAAAATTAGTCAGGCGTGGTGCTGTGTCCCTGTAGTCTCAGCTACTTGGGAGGCTGAGGTGGGAGGATCACTGGAGCCCAGGAATTCAGGGCTGTACTGAGCTATGATTAGGCCGCTGCACTCCAGCCTGGGCAACAGAGCAAGACCCTGTTTCTAAAAAAAAAAAAAGAAAAGAAAAGAAAAATGACTTTTACTTTTAGCCCCAATAAAGGGCTAGAGGAATAAAGAGGAGAAAGGGAAGGTTTTCAGGGCAGAAGAACACCATGTGTGGGGTCCCAGAGGTGAGTAAAAGTGCTCACTGTCTGTTTGGGGTGAGGGAAGACAGTAAGGCAGAGGGAAGCTAGGAAAATGGGTGTGAACCAGCCTAGAAATGGGGTTTGGACTTGACTAAGTTCAGTAAAAAGCCATGATCCCAACTGTGCCTTAGAAGCTGTGCCCTGGAGGCTGGGCACGGTGGCTCACGCCTGTAATCCCAGCATTTTGGGAGACCAAGGCAGGCAGATCACCTGAGGTCAGGAGTTCGAGACCAGCCTGGCCAACACGGTGAAACCTCATCTCTACTAAAAATATAAAAATTGGCCGGGCATGGTGGCGGGCACCTGTAGTCCCAGCTACTCCGGAGGCTGAGGCAGGAGAATCGCTTGAACCCGGGAGGCATAGGTTGCAGTGAGCTGAGATCGCACCACTGCACTCCAGTCTGGACAATAAAGTGAGACTCCGTCTCAAAAAAAAAAAAAAAAAAGCAGCAGCAGCTGTGCCCTGGAAGCCACAAGGAGAAGGGGCAATGGAGGGACAGAGGCTGGTGAGGCCAAGGCAGTGACATGGTGGGCCACTGAGGGACCCAAAGAAGGCAGGGACACTGTGGAATGCGGGGGACCATTCCGAACATACCTGCTCTCTTTTGCCTTTGTTCCTGGATTCATACCATTTTCTCTCCGATTTGTTACCATTCAGTTTGTCCTTAACCACTCACATCTCCACAACAGTTGCCCTCGCAGGTCACACCAAGCTTGAGCTCTAAGTGACCGAATCCCCATCCATCTTATCCAGCTGCCCTTCCTCTTTCTGAAATCTCACATTCAGTTCCTAGGACACCCTCACCTCCTGACGCTCCTTCTCTCTGGCTCCTGCAGCCCTTGCCTGCTCACTAAGTGGGAGCCCCAGGCTAAAGCCCTCGGCTCTGCCATCCCCGTCGTCCCCTGGGCTAGCAAACTCCACCAAGCCCAGGTTCTTCACTCGCTGCAGGAGGGACAAGGGAACCATGCTCTGGGTGAAGAGATTCAGACCCCTCCCAACCTGGGATTCTGGTGGCAACGGTGTCCCCAAAGGATGTCACAGAGCAAGTGCGGCGGTCCTTCTCCAGTTCAACCTCCAGGGTCAGGGTGCTCCACAAGGAAGCTAGGCAAAGGAAAACTGAGCTTCTTCTCCAAAGAAACTCAAATAGCCAACAAGCCCAAGAGAAGGAAAAAGCATATAAATTTCACCAGGAAGCAAAGAAATCCAAAACACAGCAAAATATGATTTCTTCTTTGTCAGTCAAAGATAGACGTCCATCATGATAGATGACTATAGTAGCTAGTGTTGGTTGGGGCCTTTTCATGTGATGTTGACTTGGCATCATAGTTCTAAAGGATAATTTGAAAATATGCATCAGGGACCATTGGAAGAGTCATACCATTTTTTTTTTCAGGAGTTGGGGGTCTCACTCTGTAACCCAGGCTGGAGTGCAGTGGCACAACCTTAGCTCACTGCAGCCTCAAACTCCTGGGCTCAAGTGATCCTCCCACCTCAGCCTCCAGAGTACCTGAGACCACAGGCCCCACCATACTCAGCTAATTTTTTACGTTTTGTAGAGATGGGGTCTCACTATCTTGCCCAGGCTAGTCTCAACTCCCAACCTCCAGTGATTGTCCCACCTCAGCCTCCCAAGGCACTGGAATTACAGGCATGAGCCACCACACCCAGCTGCTGATATCATTTTAACGATGACATTCCTAGTTATTCATCCTAAATTAATCTGATGCAGATATAAAATAAAATTTATACAAGAATGTTTATTGCCTCGTTACTTATTATAGTAAAAAACAGAGGTACACATGTCCAAGAATAGACAAATAGGGGACTGGTTATATGACTGTGGTGTTCCATAGAACAGAATAGTAATCAGCCATTAAAATATAAACCATCCATAGAATAAATCTAAATACATAGAAATAAAATGTTAACAATGTTTATCTGAATGTTAAGGTTAAGGGGGTATTTCTTCAGGCTGGGCATGGTGGCTCACGCCTGTAATCCCAGGACTTTGGGAGGCCAAGGCGGGCGGGATCACGAGGTCAAGAGATCAAGACCATCCTGGCCAACATGGTGAAACTCCATCTCTACTAAAAATACAAAAATTTAGCTGAGTGTGGTGGCACACCTATAGACCCAGCTACTCGGGAGGCTGAGGCAGGGGAATCACTTGAACTTGGGAGGTGGAGGTTGCAGTGAGCCGAGATGGCACCACTGCACTCCAGCCTGGGCAACAGAGCGAGACTCATCTAAAAAACAAAACAACAACAACGAAAAAAAAAAAAGAGAGAGAGGCGAGTTCTCAATGTGCCCCCAGACTGGAGCGCAGTGGTGAGATCCTAGCTCACTGCGCCTGGAACTCCTGGGCTCAAGTGATCCTCCCTCCCTCCTGAGTACTGGGGCTACAGACCTGCACCACCACCCCTCGTTTTATAATTTTTAAAACACAATAAATGTGTGTGAATATATAAATGTATGTGTGTACATGTATATATGTTATATATATATACATGTTATTTTACTTTATTTTTATTTTTTTGAGAAGGAGTCTTGCTCTGTTACCCAGGCTGGAGCGCAGTGGCGTGATCTTGGCTCACTGCAACCTCTGTCTCCCAGGTTCAAGCGATTCTCCTGCCTCAGCCTCCTGAGTAGCTGGGACTACAGGCCCCTGCCAGTAGGCTCAGCTAATGTATTTTTAGTAGAGATGGGGTTTCACCATGTTGGCCAGGATGGTCTCGATCTCTTGACCTCGCGATCTGCCTGCCTTGGTCTCCCAAAGTGCTGAGATTGCAGGCATGAGCCACCGTGCCCTGCCTATATACATTTTATTTTATTTTATTTTATTTTATTTTGCTTTATTTTATTCTGTTTTATTTTATTTTATTATAGGTATGCCTTATGTCACCCCTTGGAGAACCCATGGAAAATCATTCACTGGTAACAATTTCCAAGCTGGCACTCCCCAGACCTTTGTAGTCAAAATGCTTAACAAAAATTGCCTATTTGCCTACATTGCAGCCACTGGTCATTAAAGATGCCAGCTCCCTCTCCTGCTAAGCAGGTAAAGTTTGGTAGCTTTTTTCTCTGTGAGAGTAATGACATGGTATCTCATTAAATGAATTAAGTTGAGTCCTTTCTTGCCCATTTACAGTGTTTACTGCTTCTACATTCCACATGTATTTGGATTTTTCTTTAAAAAGATTAAGGTTAGGGACAATGGCTCACACCTGTAATCCCAGCACTTTGGGAGGCTGAGGCAGGAGGTTTGCTTGAGGCCAGGAGTTCAAGACCAGCCTGGAAAACATAGCGAGACCCCCATCTGTACAAACATTTAAAAATTAGCTGGGCATGGTGGTGCACATCTGTAGTCCCAGCTACTTGAGAGGCTGAGGCAGAAGGCTCACTTGAGCCCAGGAGGTCAAGGCTGCAGTGAGCTATGATTGTGCCACTGCACTCCAGCCTGGGCAACAGAGAAAGACGCTGTCTCTAAAATAAAATAGATTATTATTTAATTAAGGCAGCTGGTTTTTCAGGCAAACCTTTCACATCGTGGCATGCTTGGGGACACACATTAGAAGGTTCTTCAAGGACAAGTCTGAAGACCATCACCAAGCTTTGAAACTGTCTCCTCCTGCCACCTCCAGGACATATTTCTGCTTGTGACAAAATCAGTCAATGAAGTCCCCAGTGGCAGCTCCCCTGAAGAGGCAGTGGCAGTGTGGGGAGCCCCCACGGGGTGTGGAGGGAGGGTCCTTGCTATGTCTCCAAGACCAACCTGTACACCGCTGTGTGACCTTGTGCAATCCAGCGAACCTCTCTGAACTTCCATTTCTCCCTCGAAAATGAGAGTAAATGATGCCTGTTCTTGCCACCCTGATCACTCTAGAATATTCTACAATGTTATGGGAGGCACTGGGATGAGCTGGGGTCCCCCAGTTCTAGGTGCACATTCTGCTCTGCCACACAAGAGCTAGATAGCCTGGGTCTATTCCTTTAACATAAGCTCATTGGCTCCTGGCTGAGTTGTAGAGGTAGAGATAGAGCTGGGGCCACCCCAACCCCTGCACACACCAATGGCGGTGGATGGACTTCTTGGCTTTCTAGTGCCAGCAGGCACTGTCACTGCTTCTTAAAAGCAAGAGCCACCAGTTGAGGCTAAAGCATGGTATCGCGCATTGAATAGGATCACCCCAAAATATATCCTCGAAGTCCTAACTCCTGGTACCTGGGAACGCGACCTTCTTTGGAAACAGGGGCTTTCCAGATGTCATTAAGTCAAGGATCTCAAGATCAGATTTAGGATGGGCCCTAAATCTGCATACTTGTCAGAGAAAAGAGAGAGAGGTGTGACGTACAGGAAAGATGCCCAAAGACGATGAGGCAGAGATCGGAGTGATGTTATCACAAGCCAAGGAACACCAGGCGTCAACAGGAGCTAGAAAAGGCTGGCCAGGCACGGTGGCTCACGCTTGTAATCCCAGCACTTTGAGAGGCCGAGGCCAGTGGATTGCTTGAGCCCAGGAGTTTGAGATCAGCCTGGGCAACATAGCAAGACCCCGTCTCTACAAGAAAAAAAAATACAAAAATTAGCCAGTCTCATAATCCAGCCTCTAAATAACGAGATAAACATTTTTTTAAAAAGGAAGAAGCTGGCCAGGCACGGTGGCTTATGCCTGTAATCCCAGCACTTCGGGAGGCCAAGGTGGGTGGATCACGAGGTCAGGAGTTCGAGACCAGCCTGACCGACATGGTGAAACCCCGTCTCTACTAAAAATACAAAACTTAGCCGGGCGTGGTGGCGCGTGCCTGTAATCCCAGCTACTCAGAAGGCTGAGGCAGGAGAATTGCTTGAACCGGGAGGCAGAGGTTGCAGTGAGGCGAGATCGCACCACTGTACTCCAGCCTGGGCAACAGAAAGACACTCCGTCTCAAAAAAAAAAAAAAGCTAGAGAAGGCAAGGAGAGATCTTCCTCTAGAGAGTTTGAAGGGAATGTGGCACTCATGATGACCTTGACTTCAAGCTTCTGGCGTCCACAACTGTAAGAGAATAAATTTATGTTGCTTGAAGCCACCAATAGTGTTTGTTAATTTATTGTGGCAGACCTAGGGAACACATACACACAGGCATCCCCAATTATAGCAAGTGGTAAAAAATGGGGACCCTGGAGCTGGAAAGCTTAGGTTCAAATCCTGACTCCTCCAACTGATGAATGGGTGGTATTGAGCAATTTCTTTTTTTTTTTTTTTTTTTTTTTTTTTTTTTTGAGATGGAGTCTTGGTCTGTCACCAAGGCTGGAGCGCAGTGTCACGATCTCGGCTCACTGCAACCTCTGCCTCCAGGGTTCAAGTGATTCTCCTGCGTCAGTCTCCTGAGTAGCTGGGATTACAGGAACCTGCCACCATGCCCAGTTAATTTTTGTACTTTTAGTAGAGATGGGGTTTCACCATGTTGGCCAGGCTGGTCTCGAACTCCCGATGTCACGTGATCTGCCTGCCTTGACCTCCCAAAGTGTTGGGATTACAGGCGTGAGACACCACGCCCCACCGAGCAAATTATTTATCATCTCTGTGCCTGTTTCCCCACGTATAAAAACCCAAAATCAGTAACACATCCTTCTTCTTAGGAATGTTGTAAAAGTTAAATGAGATAATATTATAAAAGTGTCCAGCACATAGCAAACCCTCAATGAATATTTGCATTTTTTTTTTTTTATAAAGAGTCTCGCTCTGTCGCCCAGGCTGGAGTGCAGTGGCACTATCTCAGCTCACTGCAATCTCCACTTCCTGGGTTCACGCCATTCTTCTGCCTCAGCCTCCCAAGTAGCTGGGACTACAGGCACACACCACCATGCCCGGCTAATTTTTTTATTTTTAGTAGAGACGGGATTTCACTGTGTCAGCCAGGATGGTCTCGATCTCCTGACCTTGTCATCCATCCGCCTCGACCTCCCAAAGTGCTGGGATTACAGGCATGAGCCACCACGCCTGGCCGAATATTTGCAATTTTTAATACATATATATATTTTTTTATTTTTAAGAGGTAATGTCTTGCTCTGTCACCCAGGCTGGGTTGCAGTGGTGTGATCCTAGCTCACTGCAGCCTGGAATTGCTAGATTCAGGAGATCCTCTCCCCTCAGCCTCCTGAGCAGCTGGGACTACAGAGACACACCACCACACCCAGCTAACTTTTTTATTGAAAAAATATTTTTGCCCAGGCTAGTCTCAAACTCCTGCCCTCAAGCGATCCTCCCACCTCGGTCTCCCAAAGTGCTGGGATTACAGGCATGAGTGAGCCACCATGCCTGGCCCATTTTTAATATTAATATGATACTCAGACTATCGGGTCTCTATTGACTTCTCCAACTGTGGTGTGGGTGTCTCTTGGCCTTTCCACACCCCAAATAGTTATGGGTGACCCCAGCTCATCCCACTACCACCCCAAGATTTGATCTTCCCGAGGGAATCTGATTACCAATATCCCAATTCTCTCCCTAGCTCTGTGGAAGTTCAGACAATGCAGTTCTGAATTTGTCTAAGGCCTTTGAGCATCTGTTAATATAATACTTCCTTCCTGTCCTACTCAACTACCACCAAACTCAAATGCTGCCTCTCCCTGTACCCTCATCAGCCCAGGTGGAAGGGCCCCGGAGGCCCCCTCTCGTAGCTCCAGCAGCAGATTGGGCTGTGGCCTTTCTGCCCCAATCCCACCTCATTAACTCTACTATAAACTGTTTATTCACCCTGCCTTATCCAGAGCACCTGCTCAAGCAGAGCCAGCCTTTGGTGTTTGCTGAATAAGTTTATTACTCTTTGTATAAAACTGCATTCCTTGTAATTGCGTCAATTTTTACATCACTTGAGTTTCAAAGGTTGCCCCTTTGTCTATTGTGAAGCAATCTGTTCTCACCTCCACCACTCTCTTCCCAATTTTATAGGTGTTAACCATTTCCACCCCCAGCTTCACCTTTCTAAGCTAAAGAGCGCTGACCCCTTCAGACCCCTGGCCCCGCCCCTCCAGGGCAGACAGTTGGTCCCTCTCCCCTAGCCCATCCCCTCCTCGACCCTTATTAGGAACACTGTGCAACTTCATGTACATAAAACAGGATAGTGGTTCCAGTCATCGTGTGGATCCCTGGCATTTTTCTGGCATTTTCTGGCTTTTGTGTCCTCTGCAGCAGTTGGAAAAGGTAGAATTCTAGACTGTGTCCCCATTCCAGGAGCCTCAGGCCACCAGGACAGCTCCTCCCAGAAACCCCACAGTCATTCCACACTCAACAGGCCCAACTGGAGACCCTTGTCTTCCACCAAAGAGAGGCTCCTGTCCTCCCGGTCAATACAGCCTCCTGGACTGTCCATCTCCTATTCCAGGGTGGCTCTCGGTGCCTCTCAAGAGGCCTCTTTCAAACGAAGATGGTAGAAATAAAAACCATAATATCAGAGATAAAGAGTTCTTTTCTGATTTTTAAATTTATTATTATTATTATTATTTGAGACAAGGTCTCTCTCTGTTGCCCAGGCTGGAATGCAGTGGCACAATCACAGCTCACTGCAGTCTCGACCTCCTGGGCTCAAGCATTCCTCCTATCTCAGCCTCCCAAGTAGCTGGGACTACAGGCGCACACCACCACACACAGCTAATTTTTTTCTGGTATTTTTTGCAGAGACAGGGTCTCCCTATGTTGCTCAGTCTGGCCTCAAACTCCTGAGCTCAAACAATCCTCCCACCTCAGCCTCCCAAAGTGCTGGGATTACAGTTGTGACCCACTGCACCTGGCCAAAGACTTCTTTTCAACAGGATGATCAGCAGATAAGACACAGTAGAGGAAAGAATTAGTGAAGATAAGTCAATAAAAACTGAAAATAAGTCAGTTTTTATCTTCAGTCAATTGATAAGTCAATAGAAATTATCCAAACTGAAACACAGAAAGGGGTGGTGGGGATGTGTGCAGAACAGTATCCAAGAGCTGTAGTCCAATATGGAATGGCCTAACATACATCTCATTGTAGTCTCAGAAGGAGAAGAGAGAGAGAACAGGGCAGGAGAAATATTTGAAGACAATAATCACTAAGAATTTCCAAAAATAAACAAAGGGCCACAAACCACAGACATTATAGTCTGGGTCAAATTCCTGAAAACCAAAGATAAATAGAGAAAAGCTTTTTCTGAGACAGGGCCTCACTCTGTCACCCAGGCTGAAGCGTAATGGTGCAATCACAGCTCACTGCAGTCTCGAATTCCTGGACTCAAGAGATCCTCTCCCCTCAGCCTTCCAAGTAGCTAAGACTATAGGCATGCACCACTATGACTGGCTAATTTTTTTTTTTAAGAGATGGGGTCTCCCTATGTTGCCCGAGCTGGTCTCGAACTCCTGGGCTTAAGGGATCCTCCTGCCTTGGCCTCCCAAGGTGCTGGGATTACAGGCATGAGCACCACACCCAGCCTAATTTTTTTTTTTTTTTAGAGATGGGGTGTCACTACATTGCCCAGGCTGGGGCCTCCCAAAGCACTGGGATTATAGGCATGAACCACTACACCCAGCTGATGAAGAGAAAATCTTGAAGGCAGCCTGTCTTAGTCATCTTGGGCTGCCATAGCAAATACCATTGACTGGGTTGCTTAAACAATAGAAATTGGCCAGGTGTGGTGGCTCCTGCCTGTAGTTCCTGCACTTTAGGAAGTTGAGGTGGGAGGATGGTTTGAGCCCAGGAGTTCAAGACCAGCCTGGGCAACAAAGCAAGACCCCCATCTCTTAAAATAAATTTAAAAAAATAGATTTATTTCTCACAGTTCTGGAGGCTGCAAAGTTCAAGACCAAGGTGCCGGCTGATTTAGTTCGTGGTGAGCACTCACATTTTCATACCTCCTCAGCCTGTAGTAGGGGCTGGGGCAATGGCACTGGACCCATCCTAGAAGCCCAGGACAGCTCCACTCAGAAATTTCACCATCACCCCAAACTCCACAGCCTCAACTGGAGACCTTTGTCATCCAGCAAAAAGAGGCTCCTCTCCCAGTTAACACAGCCTCCTAGACCATCTATCTCCACGTCCCCCAGCCAACCATCAAGTGGAGCCCCCATTTCCAGGGGAGTTGGGTTCTCAGCTGGGCCTTCATGTCCTCCTCCCAGGATAGCTTTGGGTGCCTCTCAATGGCCTCTCTGATGCTGGTCTGCCCTACAGAGGCATCCCCAGCCCTACTCAGCCCACAGAGGTTCCTGTGATGTCTAAATATCTTAGCTTGGTCTTACTGCTCCTGTCATCCACAAATGCACCAGCACCACCACACTCTCCCCAGCAAACATCACGCTCCATCCAGCAGATGCCCCCTCATCTTTCAGGGCATTCCTGCACCGTAGCTCCCCTGCAGACCTGTGGAAATGATTTTTCTGCCTTCTCAGAGTGCTCTTCCCTTGCTCGACTGTCTGCTTCTCCAAAACCTCACCAGTCCACAATGTGCCCTGGAGTACCCAGAAAAGCGTGCAGAGAGTAGGAAGAAAAGCTACAGATGCTGGGCCAGATGCGGTGGCTCGCACCTGTCATTCCAGCACTTTGGGAGTTCGAGCTGAGCAGATTACTTGAGGCCAGGAGCTCAAGACCAGCCTGGCCAACATAGTGAAACCCTGTTCTACCAAAAACACACAAAAAAATTAGCTGAGCATGTTGGCGCACACCTGTAGTCCCAGCTACTCCAAAGGCTGAGGCAGGAGAATCTCTTGAACCCTGGAGACAGAGGTTGCAGTGAGTGGAGATCATGTCACTGCACTCCAGCCTGGGTGACAGAGGAGACTGTCTCAAAAAAAAAAAAAAGCTACAGATGCCACTGATCGTCTCTGATCTGACATCTGAACTGCTCCCCAAGGACCCAGAATCCATTCCCAGAGCAGGGGATGATTTGCAGAGAACTGGGTTCCTCTAGAGGGGTGGAGGAGCGCTGGTGGAGAGAACTGGGATCCTCTAGGGAAGGAGAGGCGCGGGTGCAGAGAACTGGGGTCCTCTAGAGGGGAGGAGGGGCGCAGGACACAAATCCACTGTCAAGTGGTGGCCGTGTTCATTATTTGCTGTGTGGACCCAGGCAAATCACTCATCCTCTCTCTGAGTCTCTACATATCCTCATCTGCCCCGACTTCCTTACACAGATCTCCTCATGAGAATTATATGAGCTACCTGCTGGGAAATGGCTTTGTGAACAGCAGAGCCCTCTGCAAGAGGAGGGCAGGGGGTCTCTGGATCTAATCAGATCTTCCGGAGCCCTCCGGAGTGGCCCTACTTGCCTGGCCTCACTCCCTTCTGCTCTCTGCACTGGCCATAGATAGATGTTTTTCTGACTGTTTTGCACACTAAGGGATTCACCTGTGTTATCTTTGACACACAATTATAAGCACCTGAGGAACGGGGGTTTTTGGTTGCTTGGGGGCCGTCTCTAACACACGGCTGGGTACACAGAGGCAATGCCACCTGCTGACTCCTGGGGCCTTCATCATCGCTGTCATCACCTCCATCACCCTCTCCTTGAATAATCTGACTACAGAGATCTGCTAGGCCAGGCCTTGGGAGCAGGGATGGGGAGGACCCCTCCTAAGACCCATCCAGGCCCACAGTTTCCCACTTCTGTAGGTGAACTTAAAGGGAATCTATGTCTTATTAATAAACTCTCATAATGTCCCCAAATCCACAGAGTTCGTCACTCCAGCCCTTGAAACTCTCCCATCAGCTCCTCCCTGCCTGTACCTCTCTCCCAACATGTCCGGGTGGGGGTAAAGGAGGTCTCATCTGTCAAGGCTTGGCGGGCAGAGGCAGCCTCGGAGGGCCTGAGTCCCTGGCTGGGAGGATGGTGGAACTTCCCTGGTGGGTTACCTCGAAGGTGTCCTGCAGGGCTCCAGAGACCCCCACCCCAGCTCCCCTGCCCCCTCACCACCCCTTCTGCCCACCCCACAGCCTTCAACTCAAGGTCTCCCTCTCTCGCCTCTCCTCATCCCTGTCCACCCCTGCCAGAAAGGAATCAGAAAGTCTGTTCTGTATGAGGGAAATCAGCGGGTCAGAGTCATCTCTCAGACACAGCCACGACCAGGCTGAGCAAGGACCCCTGAGCCTCTGTCTCCTCCTACAGCCCCTCAGCCACGGTTTGTTTTTTTTTTGTTTGTTTCTTTTTTGTTTGTTTTTTTTTGAGAGAGTCTCGCTCTGTTGCCAGGCTGGAGTGCAGCAGTGCAATCTCGGCTCACTGCAACCTCTGCCTCCAGGGTTCAAGTGATTCTCCTGCCTCAGCCTCCTGAGTAGCTGAGACTACAGGCGTGTGCCACCATGCCCAGCTAATTTTTTTTTTTTGAGACGGAGTCTCGCTGTCGCCCAGGTTGGAGTGCAGTGGCGCGATCTCGGCTCACTGCAGGCTCCGCCTCCCGGGTTCACGCCATTCTCCTGCCTCAGCCTTTTGAGTAGCTGGGACTACAGGTGCCCGCCACCTCGCCCGGCTAATTTTTTGTATTTTTAGTAGAGATGGGGTTTCACCGTGTTAGCCAGGATGGTCTCGATCTCCTGACCTCGTGATCCGCCCACCTCGGCCTCCCAAAGTGCTGGGATTACAGGCCATGCCCAGCTAATTTTTATATTTTTGGTGGAGTTGGGGTTTCACCATGTTGGCTAGGATGGTCTCAATTTCCTGACCTCGTGATCTGCCTGCCTCGGCATCCCAAAGTGCTAGGATTGCAGGCGAGACCCTGCAACTGGCAGCCATTTTTTCTTTTTTCCTTTTCTTTCTTTCTTTCTTCCTTTCTTTTTTTTCTTTCCTTCCTTCTTTCTTTATTTCTCTCTTTCTTTCTCTCTCTCTTTTTTTTTTTGGCAGTGTTTTGCTCTTATCGCCCAGGCTGGAGTGCAGTGCCACAATCTTGCCTCACTGCAAACTCCACCTACCAGGTTCCAGTGATTCTCCTGCCTCAGCCTCCCAAGTAGCTGGGATTAGAGGTGTGCGCCACCATGCCTGGTTAATTTTTGTATTTTTAGTAGAGACGGGGTTTCACCATGTTAGCCAGGCTGGACTTGAACTCCCAACCTCAGGTGATCCACCCACCTTGGCCTCCCAAAGTGCTGGGATTACAAGCATGAGCCACCACGCCTGGCCCCGTCAGCCATTTAACTGGTGGGGATTCCCCGGGTGCACCTGAGGCTACTCCAAGTCAAGAGATGATACTGTCACACACCCCTCTGGACTCCCTCTCTCCCGACCAGGGCTAGCAGCATGTGCAGTGCCTCCGTGAGGTTTGGAAAGACCCATCCCTCCAGCAGATAAAGCCCCCAGGATGAGGGCAGGCAGAGATGACTGTCTATGTGACAAAAGCCCCTTCATCCTCCCGGGGGGAGCCTGGAGAGCAGAAGCTGTGGATTTCAGCCGCCCCTCAGCCAGGAGCTGTGTGCAGACCATCCCCTGCACAACCACAGGCACCCACAGGTCTCCACAGTGACCTCTTCAGCACCCCCAAAGCAAGATGAGGTCACAGCACGGGTCTCCAGCCCTGTGGCAGCCCCTTGCCATGCAAAGGGGAGGAGGCCACCTGCAGCCCTGCTGCCTGAGGCAGGGGCATGTACTATTACCACCCAGGAGCACTGGACCTGGAGCATCAGCCCAGGAGCACTCACCTGGTGTCACTGTAGTAACGGACGCGCAGAGCCGGAGAGCCAGCGTCAGAATCCAGATCACCAGCATCTCCCGGGGAACGGGCCCCTGGCTGCCCATCTTCTCTCATCAGGAGGGACCAAGAAATGAAGGCCTCCCAGGAAGGGATCAGCTATAAAAAGGACCCCAGAGAACTTTGCCTTGAAGAAGAGCAGTGCCTGTCCCAGGGTAGAGGTGAGGTGATGGCATTGAGCAGGTAGCGCGTGGTGACCACGGGGAGTTAAACGAAGGGCAGCCTGTCCACCCTTCTTCCTTATAAGTCCTGGAGTAGTCACTGCCCTGAGCCGGGGTCCCTCTCTGTCAGCGGAAGTCAGAGGCACTTTGGGTGGGGCAGCGCAGGAGGGAGGGAGGGAGGCTAGAGGTGTGAGCACACCACTGGTGACAAGAGGTGGGGGCCAAGAAGCACCAGGAAGCGGGTGACCACGGAAGAAGTTCAGAACCGTGGAAGGGGCAGCTGGCAACAGGCCAGACCAAGTGAAGGACCCTCCACTCCCACCCCCGAGAAGCCCCTCTCTCTTCCAGCCAACCTTCCCCATCCCCTGCCTCAACATGGTCCTTGCCAAATGTCCAGGGCTTTCCCTGGGGTCCCCAGTTTCCAGCCCTTCTCCTGGGCAGAGGGCCCACTCACACCTGAGACTTTATGGTCCTTGTCCCCACCCCTGGCCAGACACAGAGGTGACAAAAGGCCATGGCCCATCCCTGCCCAGAGAAAGCATCAAAGGGGCCTCTGCCAAGCCAGCACCCAAAGACCCAAGGGGACACGTTATTTCTGATCACTCTCGACTCCTCAGGCAGGCCTGACTGCCCACAACAGCAGGAACAGAAGGGCCCGGTGCCAGCATAGACAGGCTCTGCTGTGTGAGTTTGCTATCAGGGTTTGGGGGCCTTGTGGGGGATCAAGATCTTTGGGGAGGCTCAGCTTTACCCATCCTTGCAAAAGGTGGCTGGACCAGGCAGCCCTAGCCCCTGGACCACCCAACTCCCTGAACCAACACCAGGGGTCTAATTGCTCCCTAAGCCCCCAGTATCAAGGTCAGGGCAGTGGTGGGGGTGGGGAGAGCACAGATGACAAAGCCCAAGGGGCCCCTGCCCAGAGTCACTCCCCAATAAAATGGGTCCCCCCAACCTCTGTGTTTTCTGTGAGGAACCTCATGGCCCCCAAGGGCTGCCCACAGACCCCCTCCTTTGTCCCCAGGAGACACAGGTGCTCCCAGGATCCTCCTACAGTGCCACCTCTGGAAATCCCTGTTCTCTGATCAAACAGAGACCACTGAGGGGGTGAAAAGGAGACAGACAGAGAGCTGCTGCTTTTTACAATAAACTCTGTATTGTGCACATGAAGACCTGGAGATGTGCCGACTTCCTGTCCCCAAAGCCAATCTTCCCCGCCAAGGCGACTGAGGATTTCAAGGGCTCAGAGTTACTGCAGGAATCCAGGTGACACCAGGAAGAGAAGGGGGAGGAGGGGAATCGGAGGGGATGGGTTTAAAAGGCAGAGGGGAGGCAAGAAGGGAGGGGGATCGAAGGAAATGAGGAGGAGGGAGACTGAGGGGGCTGCCTTTCCTTGGGGACTGGGGAACTCATGCCCTGCCCCCACCCGCAGGGCTCCAGGGGTGAGAGAAAGGGGTGGAGAATAAAGAATTGGGCAGCAGGGTGATGGGGGGAACAGCAGCTGGGGTATTTAGGTCAGGGGGAGTCGGGGGCAGAACCGATGAATGGACGGGCTCAGAAGGGAGAAGATACAAGGAATGAGAGCAAGAGAAACGGGGAACTGGGCAACGGGGTGACGGGGAGAACAGCACCTGGGTATCCTAAGACACAGAGGCTATCTATACCTTGCTAGGGACCAGGATGTGAGGAGAGGAGGGAGGATTTAGGGCTGGGGGACTGGGGTGCAGGATGGATGAAGGAACGGGGTCAAAAGGGGAGGACGTCTAAGGAATGAGAGCAAGAGATGCAGCAGGGAGTTAGATCAGGAGAGGGCAGGAGATGGGATGGGGCTGCAGGCTGCCTCCAGGTTCAAAGTAAGAAACAGGCAGTAGGGAATTGAGAGAAAATAAGAACCAGGGCCAGAGACCAGGTGAAGGACGTGAGGATTGGAGGATCCGAGAGAGGCAATGGCAACACGAGGGCTGAGACGGGAGGGCAGAGTAGGACCGAGAATTGACCAAGTCTATGTGGTTTTCACAACAACGGCGTGAGCTATCATACAGGAATGCTGTACCCGTTTTGCAGGTGAGGAAACTGAGGCTCGTTACTGACTTGCCCAAGATTCCACAGTGGAAGAGCCTGGACGTGAACTGCGTCTCCAGGTGGGTTTCAGCCAAGTTGGAAGGAGAAGGATGGGATTTGGGGGAACAGTCTCATCTTGCCCAAGAACAGCAGGAGCCTGGGCTGCCCGCGTCCTGGGGCCACCTCTTGAAATGGACGCAATGCAGACCCTTGTGTCCGGGGCAGGGCGGAGGGGGTGGTGAAGGGGCCCCGCAGGGCTCACACTGAGGACGAGGTCATCTCGGGTCTCTTGATGTGCACCTGTCAGAGTCACAGTGAGGGACGGGAACGCGGAGCCACTGGTTTGGGCTGACAGGGAGGTCACTGCTGATCCGAGCCCAGCCCCCTCCCTGCCCTGGTGGGGGTCGGGGAGGGATTCTGGAATGGAGGCTGGGAGAGTTCCTTGGGGTCCCCCTCTTTAGCCCCTCACCTTCATAGTGGTGTCCACGTTCTCCAAGGCCACATAGAAATTTGTATCCTTGTCTAGAGAGAGAGAGGAGCGGAGAAAGAGAAGGGGAGAGGGAGGGGACGGAAGGGAGAGGGGGACGGAGTAAATGCGAGGAAGGCAGGGAGGGCGTCTGTCCTCGCAGTGGTGCCCAGGAAAGCCTCTGCCTGCTTCCCCAGGAGGCAGGACTCACCTGTTCCGTCGTCCTCGAAACCCCAGTTTGAAAAAGTGCCCACGACTTCCTCATCCCAGGTCTCGAACCATTTCCTGTCCTGGTCCCAGGACCTAGGTGGGGCCGCCGCGCGGTCAGACAGAGCCGGCCCGCCTGGGACCCCTTGGCTGCCCTCGCCCCCCGGCCCCGCCCCCCGCACGCTCACCGGCCTCGGCGCTGGCCGCCCCACCATCCGGAGCGCACCGCCCGGACGCCCAGCGCCAGCAGCAGCAGCACCAGCAGCGCGGCGCCGGCCGTCAGGCCCCCGACCAGCGCCCTCCAGTGGACGGCCACCTCGCAGCGCGGGCCAGAGAACCAGTGCGTGTCGGTGGAGTAGCAGCTGCGGGAGATCGCAGGGTCAGACCCTCTTCACCTCCGGGCTCGGGGTCCACCCGTGCACCTGGGCCCCGCGGGGGCGGGTGAGGGGGCGGGGCTCCAGCCTAGGGCAGCGGGGGGTTCCACCCTAGACAAGGGGCTGGGAATCCACCCTAGAACGAGGGGCCGGGGCTCTACCCTAGGTGAGGGGGCGGGATTCCACCTTAGATCAAGTGGGCAGGGCTCCACCCTAGAAGGAGGGGGCGGGGTTCAACCCTAGAACGAGGAGGCGGGGCCCCACCCTAGAATGAGTGGGCGGGGTTCTCTCCCAGAATTAGGGGACAGGACTCAACCCCATCAAAGGAGCAGAGCTCCAGGGCAGGGCTCCACTGTAGGGCAACGGGGATGGGCTTGGAGCGGCACTCTGGGGACGAGGCTCCACTGTAGGCCCAGGGCGCGGAGCCGGGGCGGAGCATGGGGCAGGGCTTCATCCTAGAATGAGTGGGAGGGGCTCGGCTGATGCCGATGGTGAGCGGGGCCTTACCGACACGTGGGACCGCTCGTCTCCAGAACGCACTGGCCCTGGTGACAGTCGATGGCGTTGTCCACCCCCGACGTGCATTTGGTGACACAGCGGAGCCGGGTGGCCTCCACCAAGGGGAAGTAGAACTCTTCATAGCCCGTGGGAGCGGCGCGGCGGCAGATGGCTGGGGGTTGGGGAGGGGGATGCACAGAGACAAGGACCTCATCCATTCTATTCAGGGGCCTGATAACGGTGCCTCTGAATATGCGCGAGGAGGATTCCATTTCCGAGGTGGGATGCTGTGGGGTAGACCCTGGGATTCGATGAGGGGAGGCCACCCGCAGCACCCTCACCCTCTCCTCGTGGCCCCTGCTGTCCTCAGGTGGAAGCCACTAACCAGCGCCAGGAAGGGCCGCCCTGGGCCACATGACTTGCCTCCCCCAAAGGTCTCTCCCTGCCCACAGGCTTCAATGGGCAAATGTCCCTGGTAGCCCGGATCATAGCCGCGGGAGACCACTCAGCCCTTTACCCCACCCTTACCTGCCGGGGTCAGCTCTGTCTTGCTGTTGTTGTTCACCTTGATGGAGTCAGGCTTAAAACACAGGGCTGCGGAAACACAGGCACAGATGGAATGGGCGGGGCAGATCAAGGGGTTAAGGTCAAGGGGTTAGCGCCAGGAGGCAGGATAGGCACAGGGAGGGCAGTGAGGGCTCTCTCCGTCTGGGAGAGCCCTCTCCCAGACGGAGAGAGCCACAGGCGAAGACTCCTGTTGCCTGCCTCATCTCCCCTGAATAATCCGAGGTCTTCAGCCATCCGGGAAATGCTGACCATGACAATCAGGGGGTCTCTTTCCCAGTACCGAGGTCACGGGGAGACCCTCCCTAGCCCCACCCTTGACACCGTTGTGTGTGGACTTATTCCCCTTCTCCCAACCTGCCAGAGGTACCACAGGGCTGGCACCTGAGCCCAGTGGCCCCCTGGCTGAGCTGGAGTGGGCTGGGGTGACACCTCAGGCCCTGGCCCCTCCCTCCAGCCTGGGCTCACTCTGGGAGTCCTGGCAGCTGTTCACATCCTGGCTGGCGTTCTGCAGCCCCTCCTTCAGCGTGGTCTTCACCTGCTCATACTCGCTCTCCAGCTGGGGGCTGAAGGGCATCTCCAGCAGGACCAGGTAGTCCACCACGATGCTGCCATTCCTGAGGGGTCCACAGCCTTAGAGAGTGCCCCAGCCAGGAACATATGGGTCCTTGGAGGGGCACCTCCAGAAGCAACCCAAAGTGCACCAGAAGGGGGAAGGGAGCAGAGGTCATGAGTTGGGATGCCACGTGCATCCTTTTCAGAAGGGGCTGCCAGCATTCCTGACTTGGTCTGCCTGGGAAGGCAGGACAAGGAATGACTGACATGATTGACTTCCTCTCTCTGTGTGTTTTATAGAGACAAAGTCTTGCTGTCACCCAGGCTGGAGTGCAGTGGTATCATTGTAGCTCACTGCAGCCTCCAACTCCTGGGCTAAAGTGATCCTTTCTCCTCAGCCTCCCAAGTATCAGGGACTACAGGTGTGCACTACCATGCCTGGCTAATCATTTTATTATTATTATTATTATTACTATTTTTACTGTTGTAGGGATGGGTTCTCACTATGTTGCCCAGGCTGGTCTTGAACTGCTTTCAGGTGATCCACCCGCCTAGCCTACCCAAAGTGCTAGGATTGCAAGTGTGAGCCACCACATCTGGCCTGACGTTCTCTTCTTGTTGCATCAAGCCATCATCCACCGGGCGCCCCTAGACGTGCGTTCTCTCCCTCTCTCTCTTTCTCTCTCTCTCTTTCTAATGCTGACCCACTCAGTAGAGCAGGGGCCAGCCAGAGGGGGACAAAGTCATCAATCCAGGCACCACCTTCCCACATGTCCCTGCAACTTCTCTCCTTCCAGTGTGCTGAAGAAGAGAGGTGCCACCCCTCCTCCAGATAAATGGCCCCAGAAAACGATCCGAAAAAATACCCAGGGAGTGATTCCTTATGTACCCCCTCCACCCCTCTTTATAAAATCTGATGATTACAAAAGAAAGGAATGGGTTTTTTGTGTGCGCACATTTCCCCCACCCAACACCGCCTCCGCATCCCCAGATGGGTCTCCTACCTCAGGGACAGGATCTCCACACCCTTGAAGGTGAAGCCCTGCATGTCTGCAAAAATCTTCTGCATCTGAAACACCAAGGATCCCTGGGCTCACGTCCGAACCTGCAGACCTGAGGGGACCCAGACGCCCAACCCCAGCTCCAGGGAAGACCCTTCAATTCCCCTCCCCGGCCGGGTGCCGTGGCTCACGCCTGTAATCCCAACACTTTGGGAGGACGAGGCAGGTGGATCACAAAGTCAGTAGTTCGAGACCAGTCTGGCCAACATAGTGAAAACCCGTCTCTACTAAAAATACAAAACATTAGCCAGGTGTCATGGTGTGCACCTGTAATCCCAGCTACTTGGGAGGCTGAGGCAAGAGAATCATGTGAACCCGGGAGGCGGAGGTTGCAGTGACCCAAGATCGCACCATTGCACTCCAGCCAGGGTGAGAGTGCGAGACTACACCTCAAAAAAAAAAAAAAAATCCCCTCTCTTTGCCCTTTACCTGATTCCAGAAGGTCTTGTTGAAATCCCTGTAGGCCTGGGAAGTGTTGTCATTGAGGTCCGGCGAGAACTGCTGATCCACAGACACTTCCATGCCCACCTCGGTCTCCACTACATCTACACAGAGCATGCATGTCCCCAGTCACTTCTCTGTCTGCTTTTGTCTGAAGCCACCAACACCACCACCCCAACCCACAGGCTCCTCCTGCTGCTCCCCTCCAAGATCCCTGAGGACTGATGCCCAGAGGCAGGAACAGATGTAGGAATTCCAGGATGCATTATGCCTCAGGAGGCTGAGGCAGGAGAATCACTTGAACTCAGGAGGCGGAGGTTGTAGTGAGCCGAGATTGCATCACTGCACTCCAGCCTGGGCCACAGAGTGAGACTGTCTCTCAAGAAAATGAAAAAGAAAGATAGAGAGAGAGAGAGAAAAAGAAAGAAAGAAAGAAAGAAAGAGAGAGAGAGAGAGAAAGAAAGAAAGAGAAAGAAAGAAGGAAAGAAAGAAAGGGAGAAAGCATTGTGTGAAGATGAGGGAAAGAAGAAAAGAAAGGAAAGAAAAGAAAGAGAAAGAAAGAAAGAAAAAGAGAAAGAAAAAAAGAAAAGAGAAAGAGACAAAAGAAAAGAAGAAAAGAAAGAAGAGAGCGAGAGGAAGGAAGGAATTGTGTGGAGATGAGTGAAAGCAGGCAGAAAGATAGCGGTCAGCCTGTGGTCCCTCCTGGCTGCCCCCATAGTGGGAAGATGTCCATGTCCTAATCCCCAGAACTGTGACTATGCTATACTACATGGCAAGGGAGGATCAAGGGTGCAGATTGAATTAGATTGCTAATCAGCCTAACTTTTTTTTATTGTTGAGATAGGGTCTCATTCTGTCATCCAGGCTGAAGTGCAATAGGGGGATCATAGCTCACTGCAGCCTTGAACTCCCAGGCTCAAGTGATTCTCCCACCTCAGCCTTCCAAATAACTGGGACCACAGGCATGAGCCACCATGCCCAGGTAAGTTTTTTTTTTTTTTTTTTTTTTTTTTTTTTTTTTTTGAGACGGAGTCTCGCTCTGTCGCCCAGGCTGGAGTGCAGTGGCGGGATCTCGGCTCACTGCAAGCTCCGCCTCCCGGGTTCACGCCATTCTCCCGCCTCAGCCTCCCAAGTAGCTGGGACTACAGGCGCCCGCCACTACGCCCGGCTAATTTTTTGTATTTTTAGTAGAGACGGGGTTTCACCGTTTTAGCTGGGATGGTCTCGATCTCCTGACCTCGTGATCCGCCCGCCTCGGCCTCCCAAAGTGCTGGGATTACAGGCGTGAGGTAAGTTTTTAAAATTTTTTGTGGAGATGAGGGTCTCGCTGTGTTGCCCAGGCTGGTCCTGAACTCCTCGCCTCAAGCGATACTCCCTCCTCGGCCTTCCAAAGTGCAGGGATTATAAGACAATCAGCTGATTTTTTTTTTTCTTTTAAGACAGAGTCTCACTCTCCCTCTGTCATCTACGCTAGTGTGCAGTGGCGAAATCTCGCTTTACTGCAATATCCACCTCCTGGATTCAAGCGATTTTCCTGCCTCAGCCTCCTGAATAGTGAGGATTTAGGCATCTGCCACCATGCCCAACTAATAGTAGAGACAGTTTCACCATGTTGGCCAGGCTAGTCTCCAACTCCTGACCTCAGGTGATCCTACCCCCTCAGCCTCCCAAACTGCTGGGATTACAGGTGTGAGCCACCCCGCCCGGCGTAATCAGCTGATCTTGAGAAAATTAACATAGACTATTTGGGGAGGAGGCAAAGTTATCACAAGGGTCCTTAACAGTGGGAGAAGCAATTGAGGAGGCCAGAGTTCATTAGAGGGAGATGAGGCTATGGGAGAAAGACACAGAGAGATGCAGGCTTGCTGTGGGAGGCTCCAGAAGCTGCAAAGGGCAAAAAAATGGATTCTTCCCTGGAGCCGCTGAAAGACAACACAGCCCTGGTGACGCCTTGATTTCAGCCCAGTGACACCCACATCAGACTTCTAATCTACAGAATTCTAACATGATAATGTCGTGTTGTTCCAGCAGCCAGATTTGTGTTTGTTGGCCCGGCAGCAGTTGGAAACTGATACAGCTCCAAGCAGCCCAAGTCAGGAGATGGGCCCAGGAGGGAGGGTAGTCCCAGCCACCTCCTAAGGGTGAGGACGGAGAGGAGCATGACACAGGGCAGCGGAGGGCATGGGAGAGATGGCAGGGAGGGAAGGACCGGGCAAAAAGGCATGGGTGCCTCCAGGCCCCACAGAGGGATAAGTCTGGGGAGAGTCAGTGACACCCTGTGGGAGGAAGTGCAGAAGGCATAGCTCTGGCAACTCACCTAGATCCACCTGTTCCACAGCAAACTCACAACTGGAACCATAGAAGGTGCTGGGGCACTGGCATTTGAGGCCATCCCACTGACCCCCATTCTGGCATCTGGTCTGGAGCTGACAGCGGTCCCCAGAAAACCCCGGAAGGCAAGCACACTGGCCCTGTTCCCAGGTGCCACCATTGTCACAGGTGCCTGGAAAACACAGAAAGAAAGGGAAGCTCAGGATAAAGCCTGACCTCAGTGACACAGGAATTTTGCAGGGGAGGAAGGAGGGGAACAGAGAGGCAGAAGGTCCAACCTGCAGTGGTGGTCAACGTGGACTGTGTGGTCATCTGAGAAGTGATGCGAGTTGTCCTGCGTGATGTAAGGGTGGTAGGAGTCTGGGTAGTGGCCACTGGTGTCTCTGAAGTCCTAGTGGTGGGTGGGGAGGGGTGTGTTGACTTGCTTGAAGTCCTCAGGATGGTCGGGAGGCTACTGCTTGGTTTCATGGTGAGCGGGATGGTAGAGACGCCAGGAAGAGGTAGGGGGATCACAGAACTGTTGCTCAGCCAGGTCTCACTGGTGGGCAGTCGAGTACTTGTGAAAACTGTGTTTGTGGGTACAGTCCCAGTGCCAGTGGAACTGGAAGCATTGGGTGAGATGCTGGACTCACTTTCTGGCATCATGGAAGAAGTGTCCATATATGTAGTAAGAGTAGTTTGGATACTGATGGAGGTAGGACAGGTGACCATTTCGGTAGTAAAGGGAAAGACTGTTAATGGGGTGGTGGGAGGAGAAGTAGCTTCAGTGCTGGGATCCATTTCAACACATGGATCAGTGGGGGAGGCAGGGACTATGGTAATTGTTATAGTTCCTGGACAGGGTGTGGTGGAGGGAAGGGAAATATAAGAAAAGGGGGTTATTTCAGTGAGAGCTGTGGTCAGAGAGGAGCTGGTTGAAGAAGTGCTGGTAGTTGCAGAGGAAGAGAGACTAGGAAAGCCTGTGATAGAAGCGGAGCCCACATTTTCTGTACTGAAAATGTATGGTGAAGAAGGAACAGAATGAATGGTAGTGGAAAACACTGGAGTTATGCTGGCAGAAGATGGAGAAGAGGACATGATAATAGTGGGTGTTGAGGACCAGATGATGGTACTAAAAGAAGTCAAGATTGCATTTGTAGACGTACTTCCCCTAGTGAAAGATTCTGTAGTGAACTCACTTGTAGATGTGAGTGAAGTTTGCAATGAGGGAGTAGAAGGAGTTGTTTGAAGGGTGGAGGAATGTGTGCTAGGAATAGGAACCTGTGATGTTGACACGATCGTGCTCAAGGCTGTTGATGGAGTAAGAGTATGAAGAGTGGACGTGGAGGAATCCGTACTTCCAAAGGTGACAGTAGTAGGTGCAGGAGATGTTTGGGTCCCAGTGGCTGACGTCAGTACAGGAGGGGTCTGTGTTGGGGTTTCAGGTATAACAACAATACTTGTGCTAAAGGAACTGATTGGGGTGTTCTCAGTAATTCTGAGGGTCATTCTCACAGTGGACATGGTGGGAGAGGTGGTGCCCACAAGGGATGAGGTTTCTGTACTTTGGATGGAGGGAGAAGATGAAATGATGTGTGTTCGAGTTGGTAAGGTACTGATATCAGTGGGTATAGAGGGAAAGTCTGTGGTTGTAGTCAATGAAGTGCTGGTGCCCACAGACGAAGGGGTGAGAGTTCGTAGGCTTGTGGTCGGGATGTCTGTACTCAGAGAAGATGGGGTTACAGGTGTGGGAGTCACCGCAGTCTCTGAGGTAGTAAAATGTGAGGTGATGGCAGTTGTGGATGTGCTGACTGTGGAGTAGATGGTTGAAGAACTGAGGCTGGGAGTACTCTCTGAGGTGGTCTCAGTGGTGGTGATTGAAGAAGTGAAGCCAGGAGTACTGTGTGAGGTAGTCTCAGTGGTGGTGATTGAAGAAGTGAGGCCAGGAGTAATGTGTGAGGTGGTCTTGGTGGTGGTGACCCACGAAGTGAGGCCAGGAGTACTGTGTAAGGGGGTCTCAGTGGTGGTGATTGAAGAACTGAAGCTGGGAGTACTGTGTGAGGTGGTCTCGGTGGTGGTGATCGAAGAAGTGAAGCTGGTAGTACTGTGAGAGTTGGTCTCGGTGGTGGTGATCGAAGAAGTGAAGCTGCGAGTATTGTGTGAGGTGGTCTCGGTGGTGGTGATCGAAGAAGTGAAGCTGTGAGCACTGTGTGAGGTGGTCTCCGTGGTGGTGATCGAAGAAGTGAAGCTGGGAGTACTGTGTGAGGTGGTCTTGGTGGTGGTGATTAAAGAAGTGGAGCTGGGAGTACTGTGTGAGGGGGTCTCACTGGTGGTGATTGAAGAAGTGAAGCTGGGAGTATCATGTGAGGTGGTCTCAGTGGTGGTGATCGAAGAAGTGAAGCTGGGAGTACTGTGGGATGTAGTCTCAGTGGTGGTGATTGAAGAAGTGAAGCCGGGAGTACTGTGGGATGTGGTCTCAGTGGTGGTGATCGAAGAACTGAAGCTGGGAGTACTGCTTGAGGGGGTCTCGGTGGTGGTGATTGAGGTAATGTAGCTGGGAGTACTGTGTGAGGTGGTCTCAGTGATGGTATTTGAAGAAGTGAAGCTGGGAGTACTGTAGGATGTGGTCTCGGTGGTCCCCCACCTGTGTGAGGTGGTCTCCGTGGTGGTGATCAAAGAAGTGAAGCTGGGAGTACTGTGGGATGTGGTCTCGGTGGTGGTGATTGAAGAAGTGAAGTTGGGAGTACTGTGTGTGGCGTTCTCAGTGGTGGTGATCGAAGAAGTGAAGCTGGGAGTACTGTGTGAGGGCATCTCAGAGGTGGTGATTGAGGAAGTGAAGCTGGGAGTACTGTGTGAGGTGGTCTCAGTGGTGGTGATTGAAGAAGTGAAGCTGAGAGTACTGTGTGAGGGGGTCTCGGTGGTGGTGATTGAGGTAGTGTAGCTGAGAGTACTGTGTGAGGTGATCTCGGTGATGGTGATCAATGAAGTGAAGCTGGGAGTACTGTGGGATGTGGTCTCGGTGGTGATCGAAGAAGTGAAGCTGGGAGTACTATGGGATGTGGTCTCGGTGGTTGTGATCGAAGAAGTCAAGCTGGGAGTATTGTGGGATGTGGTCTCAGTGGTGGTGATGGAAGAAGTGAAGCTGGGAGTACTGTGTGAGGTGGTGGTGGTTGTGGTGATCAAAGAAGTGTAGCTGGGAGTACTGTGTGAGGTGGTCTTGGTGGTGGTGATTGAAGAAGTGAGGCTGGGAGTATTGTGGGATGTGGTCTCGGTGGTGGTGATCGAAGAAGTGAAGCTGGGAGAGCTGTGTGAGGTGGTCTTGGTATTGGTGATTGAAGAAGTGAATCTGGGAGTACTGTGTGAGGGGGTCTCGGTAGTGGTGATTGAAGAAGTGAATCTGGGAGTACTGTGTGAGGGGGTCTCGGTGGTTGCGATTGAAGAAGTGAAGCTAGGAGTACTGTGTGAGGTGATCTTGGTGGTCGTGGTTACCAAGTTTGTTGTTGGAACTGTGGCTGTTACTGTGGTGAGGAGAGAGGAAGAGGTGGGTCGAAGAGAGGTCACAGTGGACAATGTACCTGTCATATTGGTGGAATAGGTGGTTCTGGTCGTGGAATCTGTGAGAGCACTAGTAAGAGAAGTAGGGTAGGTGGTCTCAGATGTAGGTGTAGAACTGGTGTCGGAATTGGAGAATGTGGTCACCAATGTAGATAGAGGGGTGGTGTTTGTGGTACCACTGGTGATCGCTTCTGTACTTGGGACAGGCGTAGAAGATGAAACGCTACTGGTAAATGATGGTAACGTATTAGTGGCTGTGGGCCCTAGAGGGGTGGTAGTTGTCATCGAAGTCACCGTATATGTGGAGGTGATTGAAGAAGTGATGGGGGGAGTAGAACTCACGGCTGTTTTGAAAGATCCTGTGGAAATGTCAGAGGTAGGAGTCAGTGTGGTGGTCTTAGGGGATGTGGCTGTTGAACTGGTGAATGTAGTCTGACCTGTGCCTGTAGTTGCTACAGTGGATGAAGGTGTTTCCATCTTTGTAAATGTTGTGAATGACATGGTGGTTGTAGGTGATGGGGTGGATTCAGCTGTTGTGTGGAGTGTACTGGTGATGGCTGGGGGTGAGGAGATACTCTGGGTGTGAGTGGTCCCTACACTGCTGGCAGACATGGAAGAGGAAAATGAATGTGTCACTGGAAAGCTTGTCAGGAGGGACCTTGTTGGAGTGTTCTCAGTACTTGTGAAAGTTGGTCCTCCACTGGGAGTGGTAGCAGACATCATGCTAACAAAGATTGAGGTTTCTGTATTCTGGACAGTGGGAGATGAAGGAATGACACTTGTTGGCCTTGCAGACATGCTGGAGACTGTGTACACTGAGGTGAGGTCTGTCATCATAGGTAATGAACCACTGATGCCCACGGATGAGGGAGTAATAGTTGTTGGTTGTGAGGTAGGGATACCTGTACTCACAGTAGATGGGATCATGGATGTAGAAGTCACCATGGTACCCAAGGTAGTGGGAACTGAGGTGATGGCAGTGGTGGGTGTGCTGGCTGTGGAGTAGATGGTTGAAGAAGTGAAGCTGGTGGTACTATGTGAGGTGGTCTTGGTGGTGGTGGTTACCAAGTTTGTGGTAGGAGTTTTGGCTGTTTCTGCGGTTGAGACCAAGGAAGAGGTGGGTGGAAGAGAGGTGGCAGTAGATGATGTCTCTGTCATAGTGGTGGGATAGGTGATTTCAGTTGTGGACTCTGTGACAGTGCTTGTGGGAGAACTAGGGTAGGCGGTCTCAGATGTAAGTGTAGACCTGGTGATGGTAATGGGGAGTGTAGTCACCAACGTGGATACAGGATTGGTGTTTGTGGTATGACTGGTGGTCACCTCTGTGCTTGGGACAGGTGTAGAAGATAAAATGCTACTGGTGAGTGGTGATAACGTATTAGTGGCTGTGGGCCAAGAGGTCGTAGTTCTCATAGAAGTCATTGTATCGGTGGGAGTGATTGAAGAAGTGATGGGGGGAGTAGAAGTCATGGCTGTTGTGAGAGATTCTGTAGAAAAGTCAGTTGTAGGAGTCAGTGTGGTGGTCTCAAGGAATGTGGCTGTAGAGCTGGGGAAGGTGGTCTGACCTGTGCCTGTAGTCGCTACAGTGGTTGAAGGTGGTTCCATCGTTGGGGATGTGGTGAATGAGGTGGTGGTAGTGGGTGCCAGGGCGGATTCAGCTGTTGTGTGGATTGTATTGGTGCTGGCTGGAAGTGAGGAAATAGTCTCTGTGTGAGTGGTCCCTGCACTGCTGGCAGACATGGAAGATGAAAATGAATATGTACTTGGGAAGGTCGTCAGGAGGGAACTTGTTAGAGTGCTGTCAGTACTTGTGATAGTTGGTCTCAAACTGGGAGTGGTGGCAGAGGTCATGCTGACAAGGGATGAGGTTTCTGTATTCTGGATGCTGGGGGAAGATGGAATGACACTTGTGGACATTGCTGAGGAACTGGAAACAGTGAATGTTGATGTGAGGTCTGTTGCTGTAGTCAGGAAACCGGTAGAGCCCACAGAAGGGTAGGTGATAGTTGTTGGTGTTGTGGAAGGGGTGTCTGTACTCAGAGAAGATGGGGTCATGGTTGTGGAAGTTACCATGGTACCTGAGGTAGGGGAAGCTGAGGAGATGGCAGTTGTGGATGTGCTGACTGTGGAGTAGATGGTTGAAGAAGTGAAGCTGGGGGTACTAAGGGAGGTGGTATTAGGGGTGGTGGTTATCAAGGTTGTGGTAGGAGTCATCGTGGCTGTTTCTGTGGTTGGGAGAGAGGAAGAGGTGGGTGGGAGAGTAGTGGCAGTGGACAATGTACCTGTTATACTTGTGGAATAGGTGATTTCAGTCGTGGAGTCTGAGACAATGCTGGTGGGAGAAGTAGGGTAGGTGGTCTCAGATGTAGGTGTAGATCTGGTGATGGTAGTGAGGAGTGTAGTCACCAAGGTGGATAGAGGGGTGGTGTTTGTGGTATGACTGGTGATCATTTCTGTGCTTGGGACAGGTGTAGAAGATAAAATGCTACTGGTGAGTGGTGATAATGTATTAGTGGCTGTGGGCCAATAGGTTGTAGTTCTCATAGAAGTCATTGTATTGGTGGGAGTGATTGAAGAACTGACGGGGGGAGGAGAAGTCATGGCTGTTGTGAGAGATACTGTAGAAATGTCAGTTGTAGGAGTCAGTGTAGTGGTCTCAGGGAATGTGGCTGTAGAGCTGGGAAAGGTGGTCTGACCTCTGCCTGTAGTTGATACAGTGGATGAAGGTGGTTCCATCATTGTGGATGTGGTAAATGAGGTGGTGGTAGTGGGTGATGGGGTGGATTCAACTGTTGTGTGGAGTGTACTGGTGGTGCCTCGAGGTGAGGAGATACTCTCTGTGTGAGTGGTCCCAGCACTACTTTCAGACATAGAAGAAGAGAATGAATGTGTCATTGGAAAGCTTGTCAGGAGGGACCTTGTTGGAGTGTTCTCAGTACTTGTGAAAGTTGGTCCTCCACTGGGAGTGGTAGCAGACGTCATGCTAACAGAGATTGAGATTTCTGTATTCTGGACAGTGGGAGATGAGGGAATGACAGTTGTTGGCCTTGCAGACATGTTAGAGACTGTGTACACTGAGGTGAGGTCTGTCATCATAGGTAATGAACCACTGATGCCCACGGATGAGGGAGTGATGGTTGTTGGTTGTGAGGTAGGGATACCTGTACTCACAGTAGATGAGATCATGGATGTAGAAGTTACCATGGTACCCAACGTAGTGGGAACTGAGGTGATGGCAGTTGTGTATGTGCTGGCTGTGGAGTAGACGGTTGAAGAAGTGAAGCTGGTGGTACTATGTGAGGTGGTCTTGGTGGTGGTGGTTACCAAGTTTGTGGTAGGAGTTTTGGCTGTTTTTGCAGTTGAGACCAAGGGAGAGGTGGGTGGAAGAGAGGTGGCAGTGGATGATGTCTCTGTCATAGTGGTGGGATAGGTGATTTCCGTCGTGGAGTTTGTACCAGGACCAGTCGGAGAATTAGGATAGGTGGTCTCAGATGTAGTCATAGATGAAGCATTTGGAGTGGGGAGTGTGGTCACCAAGATAGATGGAGGGATTGTGTTTATGGTGCCACTGGTGACTACTTCTGTGCTTGGGACAGGTGTAGAAGACAGAGGCATACTGGTCAGTGATGTAAAAGAATTGGTGGTTGTGGGAGGAGAGGTCGTAGTTGTCATAGAAGTCACTGTATTTGTGGAAGTGACTGATGAAGTGATGGGAGGAGAAGTCATGGCTGTTGTGAGAGATTCTGTGGACATGTCAGTTGTAGGAGTCGGTGTGGTGGTCTCAGGAAATGTGGCTGTAGAGCTGGTGAAGGTGGTCTGACCTGTTCCTGTAGTTGCTGCAGTGGTTGAAGGTGGTTCCATAGTTGTGGAAGTTGTGAATGAGGTGGTGGTAGTGGGTGCCAGGGTGGATTCAGCTGTTGTGTGGAGTGTACTGGTGCTGGCTGGAGGTGAGGAGATACTCTCTGTGTGAGTGGTCCCAGCACTGCTGGCAGACATGGAAGATGAAAATGAATATGTTGCTGGGAAGGTCGTCAGGAGGGAACTTGTAGGAGTGCTGAGTGTACTTACAAAAGTTGGTCTCACATTGGGAGTAGTGGCAGAGGTCATGCTGACAAGGGATGAGGTTTCTGTATTCTGAATGCTGGGGGAAGATGGAATGACACTCGTGGACATTGCTGAGGAACTGGAAACCGTGAATGTTGATGTGAGGTCTGTTGCTGTAGTCAGGAAACCGGTAGAGCCCACAGAATGGTGGGTGATAGTTGTTGGTGTTGTGAAAGGGATGTCTGTACTCAGAGAAGATGGGGTCATGGTTGTGGAAGTCACCATAGTACCTGAGGTAGGGGGAAGTGAGGAGATGGCAGTTGTGGATGTGCTGACTGTGGAGTAGATGGTTGATGAAGAGAAGCTGGGAGTACTGTGGGAGGAGATCTCAGTGGTGGTGGTTACCAAGTTTGTCATAGGAGTCGTGGCTGTTTCTGTGGTTGGGAGAGAGGAAGAGGTGGGTGGGAGAGAAGTCTCTGTGGACAATGTACCTGTCATACTTGTGGAGTAGGCGATTTTGGTAGTGGAGTCTGTGACAGTGCTGGTGGGAGAAGTAGTGTAGGTGGTCTCAGATGTAGGTGTAGACCTGCTGATGGTAGTGGGGAGTGTGGTCACCAAGGTGGATAGGGGGGTGGTGTTTGTGATACCACTGGTGATTGTTTCTGTGCTCAGGACAGGTGTGGAAGATAAAATGGTCCTAGTGGGTGATGACAATGTATTAGTGGCTGTGGGCTGGGAGGCGGTCGTTGTCATAGAAGTCACTGTATTTGTGGAAGTGATTGAAGAAGTGATGGGGGAAGTGGAAGTCACTGCTGTTTTGAGAGTAGTAAATACTGGGGTTGGGGACGTGGTTGTATGGATGCTTCCAGTGGGCAGGGGAGTCCTTTCTGTGGTTCTAGTTGTAGACGAGATTGTAGTGTGGAAGGTTGTGTCTGTGGCTGACACAGAGGAGGGTGTCACTGTCACTATGGGAGTTTCCCTTGCAGTGGTGGTAGAGGGAGAAGATGTCATGGCTGACGTTCCTTTCTCAGTAGTGGTCATAGAGTAAGTACTGGTGACGGTGGTCACTGGCTTCTGTGTCACGGGAGTCGAGGTGTAAGAGCTGGTGAAGGCCACCTGCGTCGTGGTCACACAGATGGAGGTGGGGTGGGAGATGGTGATTATAAAGCTCGTTGGATACACGCACTCAGTGGTGGCTGAATAGACCAACACGGTGGGTGGAGTGGTTTCAACCTTGAAGGCAAACTTGGACGTCGGGGTGGTTGAGGTGTTGGAACTGACTGGAGAGTTGAGCAATGTTTCAGAGATGAGTGTGTCATGGGGGGAGGTAGTGAGTGTCATAGGTGCATTTTCCCTGTGGCCAGGAGCAGGAGAGGCGAGCTGGGGGACACCAAGTGGCCACCCAGCCAGGTCTCTGGAGTGTGGAGAATTGCTGAGCACAGCGCTGGCTGCTTCTGCTCTGGGGAAAGGCACTTGAGAGATGGATGTGGCCGTGGATAAAGTTCCTGCATTGGCGGCAGAGCAGAGGAATCCACTGGTAAATCCGTGGGTCATTTTGTTACATCACTCATGTAAGCTACTCACTCACCCATTTTCCAGGCAGCATCACAGAGGGCAGGGCATATTACAGCTGACTCCTGCATCAGAGGCAGCTTGGAGCTGGGTGCTTTGTGGTGCTGGAGACGACTGCCTGTCTGCTCCTAGGGGAGCAGTGGGGCATGGGAGCCCTCATTCCTCACCGGGCCTTGGCCTTGTCATGGCAGGTCCTCCTGTCCTGATATAGCCGAGCTGGGCAGAGCCTCCCTCCCCTCCCTTCCCTCCTCTGGTCACACCCAGGCTCCTCCTCCCTCTGCCCCTTCCTCTCCTCCCCCTGCTACTGCCTGGAGTGCTCCCATCCCCCCATTAACCTTCTGCTCCCACCACTGCTTCTCCCGGCACCCTGCTGCTGTCTGGGCTGACTCCGCTTTCAAAGAGAAAAAGAGAGAACCCAGCCATGTCCTGGCAGGGGGCGCATCACAAAAACCAGGAGACAGGGAAAGCTGAACAAAGAGGGCCAGGCACGGTGGCTCATGCCTGTAATCCCAGCACTTTGAAAGGCCAAGGCAGGAGATCACTTGAGGTCAGGAGTTCGAGACCAGTCTGACCAACATGGTGAAACCCTTTCTCTACTAAAACAAAATACAAAAATTAGCCAGGCGTAGTGGCGTGTACCTGTAGCTGAGGCAGGAGAATCGCTTGAACCCAGGAAGCAGAGGCTGCAGTGAGCTGAGATGGTGCCACTGCACTCCAGCCTGGGTGACAGAGCAAGACTCCATCAAAAACAAAAACAAAAACAAAAACAAAAAACTGCCCAGAGAACACCAAAGAGAAACAGGCTAAGCTCACACACTAATGACTTCAAAGGGCATGGAGTGAGGACTAGGTGAAGAGGCAGAGAGACAGCATAGAAAAGGAAACTTCCAGAAGGAGCTACCTCAGCAGTCAGGCGTGATGAGTTCTGGAGACCTTAAGGCTTAGCAGTGAGTGTTCATCACACAAATAGACATATTTTTCTATACTATTCCCTTTTGGCCGTGGGATTCATTAGTTTACAAGCATGAACCCCAGCATGTGGATTTCAACCCATTTCACAATTTGTCAGAGTTAGGATCAGAGATCCGGCTGTCGGGGGTGTCAGGGACAAGGAAGACAGGCAGCCACAGCAGATGGGAAGTGGGAGGTACCCGACCTGCTACCCCTCACCTCGGGCACAGCCCATCTTGTGGCTGAGAGCTGGGGTGTCACGTCTCAACCTAGCTCGTGGGTGCCAGGGAAGTGGGGTCAGGGATTATGAGAATCCCCAGGCTACAGCCCTTGGCTCCAGGATGTGGCCCTGGAGGTGACTGAGAAGGGGACTCATGGGCCTGTAGGCTGGGTGGCCTGGGATCGGGGATCAGAAGCAGACACTGAAGTACAGAGAAAAGAGAAGTATAGAGGAATTGCGAGGTGTTCCTGCAGGGCAGAAGAGAGAAGCCTGGGACCCCACGACGGGTAGTCTCAGACGCACCCTTGGAAGCGAAGTGGACATCAGGAGCTCCCTGCCCCGGCCCTGGTACCAACAGCTGTACCCAGACACATGGGCCCTGGCCGGGGTAAGAGAGTGACGGCAGAGCTGGGGAGGAGCCGCCGGGGGACAAAAGGCAGAGAGGCTGAAACCAGAGGACCGAGACCAGGGGTAGAAGTTAGAGGGCTGTCAGGGAGGGAGAGGCCAGTGTGAAGGGGACACTCAAGCTGGGGGCGTGAGGCAGGTGACAGAAGGAGTCAAGACAGGAAGGGCACTGCTCTGGGAAGACGTAAATCCCACCCTCTACCCTCCAGCTGCAGATACAGATTGGGGCTCAGCCGCTGCAACCTGCTCAGTGCTTGGTGGAGAGTGGCAGAGACCCAGCTCCCTCACTCTTTCCCAACCTCGGTTTTCCCTGCACCTGGAGCTCTGGAAGAAACCTCTCCTCACCGCCCCCTCCCCCAGTCAGGCCGTGCCTCGGTTCTCCCTGCACCCAGAGCCCCAAGCGGTGCCTTCTTATCCCCCCTCCCCAGGCCTTACAGCCACTTTTCCCTCCCCTTTCCTGGAACATCACATCAGGAGCTTTTCTCCAACCCCCTTCCGCCTCTCCCCCTTACCTGTGGCCCACGGGGAGGCCTTGAGCATCCAGAGGAGGCCGAGGAGCCCCAACAGCTGCATGGGCCCAGCGGGCAGGGGGCTGGGGCAGAACAGGCTTCAGGACCAAGACAGCGGCAGGGACGTGGCCCTGGGGCGTGCACGTAATGAAAGTGCTGGTTATCGGTTTTGCTGAGCGTCAGGGCTGAGCACAGCCTCACCTTTGCACCGCCCCACCTCTCCCCTCTTCCTCCCTTCTCCCTGCACCCGGACAGACAGACGTCAGCGCTGTGGGAAGCGGGACACGGGGGAAAAAGATAGGACAAGTCCAGGAAGTGTCAGGCAGGAAGAGCTGCTATTGGCTCAGCCCCACAGCCTGCCTGGCCCACATGGAACTGCCTGGAAGCTGCCCTTCCTCCCCGACACCCGTGGAGGGTACCCTTGACCGAGGGCTTGGACTCTGGAGTCTGGTCCTACTCCTGCAGCCTCTCCTGAGTTTCAATTCCTCCTGCTGGGGAGACAGTGGCACCTCGCTCTCCTTCAAGCCCCTTCTGTCCCTCAGTCTGCCCCTGCTCCATCCTGTCCCCCGCAGGACCCCATAGGCCAGAAAAAACCGTGGGAGTAATTAACACAGAATTCCATCTGAAGTCATTTTATTATCTGAAGAGTTGGGGCTAGGTCCCAGAAAAGGAAACATGGATGACCAAAGGAAACACTCAAAAATACTAGTCTGGGCCCGGCGCGGTGGCTCACGCCTGTATTCCCAGCACTTTGCAAGGCTGAGGGGTGTGGATCACTTGAGGTCACGAGTTCGAGACCAGCCTGGGCAAAATGGCAAAACCCCATCTCTACTAATAGGCTGAGGCAGAAAAATCGCTTGAAACCAGAAGGTGGAGGGTGCAGTGAGCCAAGAGCACACCACTACACTCCAGCCTGAGCAACAGAGCGAGACTCCATCTCAAAAAAAAAAAAAAAAAAAAAAAACTGGTTTGGACCCAGCACATTGTTTGACCTATCCAGTTTGGGCAAAGGTGTGAAGAATAAACGTTCTTACCCAGCTGGTGGATGTGTAGGTGGGTTGGGTTGTTTTAAAAGAGTAATTTGAGGATCACTTGAGGTCAGGGGTTCGAGACTAGACTGGCCAACATAGTGAAACCCCATCTCTACTAAAAATACAAAAATTAGCCTGGCGTGGGGTGGGCACCTGTAATCCCACCTACTTGGGAGGCTGAGGCAGGAGAATTGCTTGAACCCCAGAGGCAGAGGTTGCAATGAGCTGAGATCGTGCCTCTGCACTCCAGCCTGGGCAACAGAGCGACACTTCATTTCAAAAACAAGATAAAGTAAAACAAATGTTCTTATCCAGCTGGTGGGTGTGTAGGTGGGTTGGGTTGCTTTAAAGGGGTAATTTGGTGGCATCTATTAAAATTTTAAATGAGTGCCTTAGGACCCAGCAATTTCACCCTCCATCTCTGTGTCCAAGAAACCCTTCAAGGCAGCATTCATGAGGATGTTTATTGACTCTCGATTATGGCAATTTTGATGGAAATTGGAAACAGCCCAAACGATTGTTTCAACCCAGAAAGAAGATGGAATAGTCACCCTACAGAACACTGTGCTCAGGCCAGATTCAGTGGCTTACGCCTGTAATTCCAGCACTTTGGGAGGCCGGGGCAGGAGGATCTCTTGAGCCCAAATGTTCCAGGCCAGCCTGGGCAACATGCCAAGACCCCATCTCTACCAAAAAAAAAAAAAAAACACAAAAAAAATTAGCCAGGCATAGTGGTGTGCCCCTGTGGTCTCAGCTACTTGGTAGGCCAAGATGGGAGGATCACCTGAGCCCAGGAGGTCAAGGCTCCAAAGAGTCATGATCGAGCCACTGCACTCCAGCCTAGGTGACAAAGCAAAAACCTGTCTCAAAAAAAAAAAATTATGAATATAAAATTAGGTCAGGGCCAGGCACAGTGGCTCACATCTGTCATCCCAGCACTTTGGGAGGCCGAGGTGGGCGGATCACTTGATGTCAGGAGTTTGAGACAAGCCTGACCAACATGGCGAAACCCCGTCTCTACTAAAAATACAAAGATTAGCCGGGCATGATAGTGCACTCCTGTAATCCCAGCTACTCAGGAGGCTGAGGCAGGAGAATTGCTTGAACCCAGGGGGTGAGGGTTGTAGTAAGCCAAGATCCCGCCACTGCACTCTGGCCTAGGTGACAGAGTGAGACTCCGTCTCAAAAAAAAATTATAAAATAAAATTAGGTCAGACCAGGCACAGTAGCTCACACCTGTAATCCCAACACTTTGGGAGATCAAGGCGGGATAATCACTTGAGGCTAGGAGCTCAAGACCACCCTGGGCAATATAGCGAGACCCATCTCTACAAAAAAAAAAAAAAGATAAAAAGAAAAATAGATCTAAATAGGTCTGACCATCCCTAAGGGAAGAAGCTTTGCGGAGAGAAACTGCAGCTCTTCCTCTTCCCAGCAGGCCCAAGGGACAGGATTGCAAAGGCAGCCAGCGAACTCTCTGAGGCCAGGCCCGCTGGGAGATCTTCGTGAGGGGCTGTGCCTCTCATGTCTCCTGGGGGACCTTGTCCTTATCGAGAGTCACTGAAGGGACCCTAAATAAGAGGCGCTGTGCATACCCACCAAGTGACACTGCCTGCGCATCGGTTGTGCAAATGGCTGCACCAAAATCCAGGGGACACATTGTATAGCCCTGGCCTCAGTGTGTGTGGTCAAGTTGAGGAAGTGAGCAAAGAAATGAAAAGCTAAAGAGTCCAAATGAGGTGGAGCTCAGAGCCCGACAATGACACCACTGGGGGTAACTCAGGGGAGGGGCCAACAGGGAGCAGGGCTACTCTTGGGGTCTTCCACTTCAATTTCTTAATACATTTGATCAAGTTGCCCAGCATGAAGATACTCGTTTGCAAAAAGTTTTGTTGTTGTTTTTCAGAGCAGTCTCTGTGGAAACTGCTGAGCCACATGGTCAAGCACCACAGCCAGCCAAGACGCTGCAAACCAAGCTGGAGGTTTCGGGGGTTTCCAGTCTTTTTTTTTTTTTTTTTTAAGTATCAAACACCATAAAATTCCCATCACTGTTCTGGAGACACAGACGTAAATGGAAAATGGATTCCTGTTGTAAGTAAAGATCACCAGGCTCCTGGGGAGATGGATCCCAGATCTACCCCCATCCACCACCCCTTCTGTCCATCACCTCTCTAATACCCACACCCCCTTCTGCTCCAGCCACCAGACCCCCAACCTCAGCCTCTGCTCCACTCCAGGCCCTTGCCTGAGCCATTCCTACACCTGCAGTGCCCTCCTGCTCCTCCGCTTTCTCTCACCTGTGAAAATCCCACCTTTCCTTTACAGTTCTACACCTTCCTCACCTCCTCCAGGAAGTCATGTGCAATCAGGAAGTGACCTTTTCCAGTCCTGGAATTTTTTTTGTTTTTTGTTTTTTTTGAGGTGGAGTCTCACTCCGTCGTCCAGGCTGAAGTGCAATGGAGTGATCCCGGCTCACTGCAACCTCTGCCTATGGGTTCAGGAGAGTCTCCTGCCTCAACCTCCCAAGTAGCAGGGGTTACAGGCATATGTGCCACCATACCTGGCTAATTTTTTTGTGTATTTTTAGTAAAGATGGGGTTTCACCATATTGGCCAGGCTGGTCTCAAACTCCTGCCCTCCAGTAATCCTCCCACCTTGGCCTCCCAAAGTGCTGTGATTACAGGTGTGAGCCACCACATCTGGCCCACTCCTGAAATTAATGGTGCTCATTACTGAAATCTCTCCCATGATGCAAACTTACTATCTCCTAGCTGGGAGCACAGTCATTTGAACGCCTGCCCAGAAGGGAGAGGGAAAGGTGACATCTTTGCATTCTGAATGGGGACAAGTGGCCACTTTCCCTGCAGAGCCTGGGTAGGAGCCCCGCCCCACTCAGGGAGGTGATGGATGAGCTAAGACTGCAGGAATCCTCTGTCTGCGGTTTGAGAATGCCCCATGCCCACATTGGGGTCCAGCTTTCGTGGGGAAGCTGGAGAAGATGGAAGAGAAAAGAGTGTTCTATTGGGGTTGGGAGACATGGCTGTAATGTCAGATGCTGCTGACTGTAGGCTGCCCACACACAACTGAGACTGGGAGCTGGCTCCAGAAATTAATCAGATTCCAGCCAGAGCTCAAGACAGGCAAGAGGATTGCTGGGGAGAAGGAAGGAGCAGAGCTGTGGGAAGACTATGCTGACGATGGCAGTGTCGGCCCAATCATCAGTGACACTTGCCATCGGGTCCCTTCCTAGTGACACTGAAATGGAATGCACAGGAAGTCAGTGGGGGGCACTGGTCTCCCTCCAAGGTCACTTTTGTCACAGGTACCTGGGGGAAGACGTGAATCCAGAAACGTACAGGCCGGGACCAGCCCCCAAATATCAAGGATTAGGGAGGGACATGTTGAAACTAGGGCTATGGGCTGGACACAGTAGCTCACGCCTGTAATTCCAGTACTTTGGGAGGTCTAGCTGGACAGATCACCTGAGGTCAGGAGTGTGAGACCAGCCTGGCCAACATAGAGAAACCCCGTCTCTACTAAAAATACAAAAATTAGCTGAACAGGGTGACGCACCTGTGTAGTCCCAGTTACTAGGGAGGCTCTGGGACAAGAATCGCTTGAACCCAGGAGGTGGAGGCTGCAGTGAGCCAAGATCATGCCACTGCACTCCAGCCTGGGCAACAGAATGAGACTGTCTCAAAAAAAAAAAAAAGGAAACTAGGGCTGGGGAATAGGTCAGTCTTTCTCCCAGGAGGAGTGAGTGAGGCAGGAGGAGGTTGGGAAGGTTGGCCACTGTGTGATTATGTGAATTGCAGCTACAGTTGTCCCGATAATATCAGCTGATGGGAGTCCAGGGACCCACAAGAGTTGTCTCTGAAGTCATGGTGGCTAGGGTAGGGGGAATCAGCTTGCTTGATGGGTAGATGACAAGCTGATACTTGGCTTTAAGAGTAAAGTTCCTCGGCTGGGAGAAGTGGCTTACGCCTATAATCCCAGCACTTTGGGAGGCCGAGGTGGGTAGATCACCTGAGGTCAGGAGTTCGAGACCAGCCTGACCAACATGGTGAACCCTATCTCTACTAAAATATAAAAATTAGCCAGGCGTGGTGGCAGGCGCCTGTAATCTCAGCTACTCAGGAGGCTGAGGCAGGAGAATCACTTGAACCCAGGAGGTAGAGGTTGCATTGAGCCAAGATCATGCCACTGTGCTCCAACCTGTACAAGACGGAGCAAAACTCCATCTCAAAAAAAAAAAAAGCAAAAAAGGGTAAAGTCTCTCAAAGCCAGCGAGTTTGGTGTAGCAGTCAGAAAGTGTCAGGTTATGCTGCAGTAACAAACAGTCCTAAAGGCTATATGGCTTACAACAGCAAAGGTGTATTTCTTGCTCATGCCGCTTGCCCATTTCAATGTCTGTGCTCTCATCCATGCCATGTTCACTCTGGGACCTGGGCTGGCCAAACCACCCCCGTCTGGGACATTGCCAGTCTCATGGTGGTAGAGGGTGACAGATGGCAAAACCACCAGCTGGCTCTTGAAGCTTCTTTCCAGAGACGATGTGCGTCCCTTCCACCCAAATTTTATTGGCCAAAGCAAGTCACAAGGTCGCCCTGGATATAAAATACTATCAGAGAGAGGCACTGCCAGTCAGACATCAAGCGTGATATCAGCGAGACAGGGAGGTATGATCTACCCAAGGGAGAGAAAGCAAATATTTTCAACAATAACACAATCTACCACAGCTGGGATCCCAGCAGGGGTATGGTTTATGCAAATCAAGATCCCATCAAGCAGGATCAGACCCCTGGTGGGGCCTTGTGTGCCACACAAAGAGATCTCGCCACTGCACTCCAGCCCAGGTGGGCGACAGAGTGAGACTGTGTCTCAAAAAATAAAAATAAATAAAATTTAAAAACCACCTAAAAATTCCAAAGGAAAATTTAGGAGACTATATGTATAATTTGGGAGCTGAGGAGACTATTTTAATCAAAACAAGAAAGCTGAAAGCTGTAAAAATAAAATTACACATATCCTACTACATTAAAAAGTAACATTTTGTGGGGGAAAGTTATCAAAACAATACAAAGTAGTGGCAGAATTGTTTGCAATCTGAATGACAGACAAAGGGTTAATATATGTAATATACAAACAGCATTTACAAATGTATATTTTAAAAACACACTGTTCAACCTGATATTCATGGACATTGTATATTAAATGCCTCTTAAGATACTTTCAGGATCACAGTATAATTTTATTGGGTTTTGGAGTCCTATAGTATGTTTATGATACTGGAATCATAGGCAAAATGTTTTTCAATAAATTTTTTCAAACTTCTGTTTTCGGCCAAGCATGGTGGCTCACGTCTGTAATTCCAGCACTTTGGGAGGCCGAGATGGGTGGATCACTTGAAGTCAGGAGTTCAAGACCAGCCTGGTCAATATGGCGAAACCCCCGTCTCTACTAAAAATACAAGAATTAGCCAGGTATGGGGGGTGCACGCCTGTAATCCCAGCTACTTGGTAGGCTAAGGCAGGATAATCCCTTGAACCCTAGAGGCAGAAGCTGCAGTGAGCCCAGATCGTGCCACTGCACTCCAGCCTGGGCAACAGAGTGAGACTCCATCCCAAAAAAAGAAAAAATCTCATGTTTTCATGTGAAGTTTGTTCCATGTGAAGTTTATTTTTCTTCAATCAGTTTCTCTCTTTCCTTCTCTTTCTGTCCTTCCTTGCCTGTTTCATGCGAGCATCATTATTCCTAAGATAAAATCAAATGCTTAATTCACACTTGCACAAAATCTCCAGAAACCTAAGGTCACACAGGGACATTTCAGAAAGCAGCCAGTACTATTTTTCACGTTCTTTTTGGCAGTTTCATTTATGGCCGCTGCTTTAATGCAGTTTTGAAGAATTCATCACACCCTTTATGATTGAATGCAAACACCCAAGCTTGAGAAGAGAAGGAAGAGAGGGAGAGAGCAAGAGCCTGCCAGTTTCTGTTTGCAATATGCTATCGTTTCTGATTCTAAGGAGGAAAAATAACCTCATAAATTTAAATATGGAACATATCCTCTTAGAAAGAATGCTCACATTAAGAGTAATAAATGTCAACATTTATGGATTTATGGGGTTTTAAAAACAACTCAAAGCTTGTGCAAACATTTCTCATATGGTCATTGTTTTCCGAGGATTGCGTAAACGGAAGCCCAGGTCAGCTTGAGGATTTTTCTGGAGGTTCAGCGAAGTCATATCAAATCAGGGAAATGGGATCTTGCCTTTCTCTGATTAATTTAATTTCTTCTGTCTCCTCTTGTCTTCTTCCTAGAGTCTGGTGCATCTGAAAGTTCTGTGAACACTAGCCTGCCACATTCAGTGGATCTGGAGGCAACTATCGCCCTCCTATAAATACCAAGGGTGCCACTGGCCTGCTCCTTACACCAGACAGTAAACAGTCACCAAGAGCCTGATTGAAGCTTTGGGACAAAACAATGAAACCAAAAGATGGATTTGCTGAGTAGCGGAGACCGTAAACTGCTACTCTCAGTTTATTTATTTATTTATTTTTAATTTTTTTTTTTTTTTGAGATGGAGTCTCACTCTGCCGCCCAGGCTGGAGTGCAGTGGTGTAATCTCAGCTCACTGCAGCCTCCGCTTCCCAGGTTCCATCAATTCTCCTGCCTCAGCCTCCCGAGTAGCTGAGATTACAGGCCCATGCCACCACGACCTGCTAATTTTTGTATTTTAAACCATGTTGGCCTGGCTGGTCTTGAACTCCTGACCTCAGGTGACCCAACTGCCTCAGCCTCCCAAAGTGCTGGGATTACAGGAGTGAGCCACTGCACCCAGCCGTCTCTGTGTTTTAAAAAATAAAATAATAATAAATACATTATTTTTAGGCCAGGTGCAGTGACTCATGCCTGTAATCCCAGCACTTTAGGAGGCCAAGGTGAGTGGATCACTTGAAGTCAGGAGTTCAAGACCAGCCTGGCCAACATGGCGAAACGCGGTCTCTACTAAAAATACAAAAAAAAAATTAGCTAGGTGTAGTGGCTCACACCTGTAATCCCAGCTACTTGGGAGGCTGAGGCAGAAGAATTGCTTGAACCCAGGAGGCAGAGGTTGCAGTGAGCTGAGATTGTGCCATTGCACTTCAGCCTGGGAAACGGAGGAAGACTCTATCTCAAAAAATAAATAAATAAAATAAAAAATAAATATATTATTGTTAAAACTGGTTTTCCACCATTGGTGATCTTAAAGTGTGTGCTTAAAACTTTTATTTTAATGATATTATTCTTGAATTGCAAGCCCAGATATCTATAGCATGATTGGTCTTAGTGAATTTATTGAGGTGTACGTTTTATTTAAAAGTATGTGGTGGCTCACGCCTGTCATCCCAGCACTTTGGGAAGCTGAAGAGGGTGGATCACAAGGTCAGGAGATCAAGAACATCCTGGCTAACGTGGTGAAACCCCATCTCTACTAAAAATACAAAAAATTAGCCAGACGTGATGGCAGGCGCCTGTAGTCCCAGCTACTCAGGAGGCTGAGGCAGGAGAATGGCATGAGCCCGGGAGGCAGAGCTGGCAGTGAGCCGAGATTGCACCACTGCACTCTAGCCTGGGTGACAGAGCAAGACTCCATCTCAAAAAAAGAAAATGAATAAAAAGACAAGAAAATGTGGCACATATATACCATGGAATACTATGCAGCCATAAAAAAGGATGAGTTCATGTCCTTTGCAGGGACATGGATGAAGCTGGAAACCATCATTCTTAGCAAACTATCGCAAGGACAGAAAGCCAAACACTGCATGTTCCCACTCATAGGTGGGAATTGAACAATGAGAACACTTGGTCACAGGGCAGGAACATCGCACACTGGACTTTGTTGGGGGCTGGCGGGCTGGGGGAGGGATGGCATTAGGAGAAATACCTAATGTAAATGACGAGTTGATGGGTGCAGCAAACCAGCATGGCACATGTATACCTATGTAACAAACCTTCATGTTGTGCACATGTATCCTAGAATTTAAAGTATAATAAAAAAAATCATACCACGGTCTTTCCTATAGAAAGATCTAAGCTTGCTAATATGACTGAATTGCTTTACTATTGAATTCCAGCAAACACTTAAGGAAGAAATCATACCAACTGTACACAAACTCTTTCAGAAAATGGAACACTTCCCAACTTTGTTTATGAGCCCAGCATTATTCTGATACCAAACCAAGACAAATACATTACAAGAAAACTAGACCGATAGCCCTAATGAATATAGACACAAAAATCCTCAAGGAAATATTATGAAATAAAACATAGCAATACATAAAAATAATGCATCATGACCAAGTGGGGTTAATCCCAGGGATACAAAGCTGGTTAAACATTTGAAAATGAATCAATGTAATTTCTTATGTCAACAGTCTAAAGATGAGAAACCACATGATCATTTCCATAGATGCAGGAAAAGCATTTGACAAAATCTGACGTCCATTACTGATAAAAGCTCTCCGAAAACTAGTAAATAGAAGGAACTTCCTCAACCTATTAAAGGACAGCTACAAAAAAGAAAAAAAAAATCAGCAAAGTATCTTAGTCTGTTCAGGCTGCTGCAACAAAATACTGTAAACTGGGTAGTTTATAAACAACAGACATTTATTCTCATAGTTCTAGAGGCTGGGAAGTCCAAGATCAAGGCAGATTTTGTGTCTAGTGAGATCCTGCTTTCTGGCTTATAGACAGTTCCTTCTTTCTGTGTCTTCACATGGTAGAAGGGCAAGGGTCTTTCTAGGTCTCCTTTTTTTTTTTTTTTTTTTTTTTTTCCTGAGACAGAGTCTCACTGTGTCACCCAGGCAGGCTTGGGGCTCACTGCGACCTCTTCCTCCCAGGATCAATGATTCTCCTGCCTCAGCCTCCCAAGTAGCTGGGACTACAGTCATGTGCCACCATGCCCTGCTAGTTTTTGTACTTTTAGTAGAGATGTATTTCACCATGTTGGCCAGGCTGGTCTCGAACTCCTGACCTCAAGTGATCCACCTACCTCAGCCTCCCGAAGTGCTGGGATTATGGGTATGACCTTATCTGGCCTCTGGGTCTCTTTCATAAGGGCACTAATCCCATTCATGAGGGCTCCACCACCATGGCCTAATCACCTCCTGATATGGTTTGGGTCTGTGTCCCCACCCAAATCTCATGTTAAAATGTAATCCCCAGTGCTGGAGGTGGGGCCTGGTGAGAGGTGATTGGATCATGGAGGTGAATCCTTCATAAATGGTTTAACACCATCCCCTTGGTGCTATTCTTGTGGTAGAGTTTTCATGAGCTCTGGTTGTTTAAAAGTGTGTGGCACCTCCCCACTCTCTCTCTTCCTCCTGCTCTGGCTGTGTGAAGACACCTGCTCAGGCTTTGCCTTCTGCCATGAGTAAAAGCTCCCTGAGGCCTCCCCAGCCATGCTTCCTGCATGGCCTGCAGAACCCTAAGCCAATTAAACATATATATGACCCAGTCTCAGTTCCTTCTTTTTTTTTTTTTTTTTTTTTGAGACAGAGTCTTGCTCTGTCATCCAGGCTGGAGTGCAGTGGTGCGATCTTGGCTCACTGCAACCTCCACCTCCCGGGTTCAAGTGATTCTCCTGCCTCAGCCTCCCGAGTAGCTGGGATTACAGGTGTGTGTCACCACTGCCAGCTAATTTTTGCATTTTTTAGTAGAGAGGGGTTTCACCATGTTTGCCAGGCTGGTCTCGAACTTCTGGCCTCAAGTGATTCACCCACCTCGGACTCCCGAAGTGTCAGTTATTTCTTTATAACAATGTGAGAACAGACTAAAACACCTCCTAAAGGCCCCACCTCCTGATATCATCACCTTGGGGGTTAAGATGGCAACATATATGGATTTCGGGGAGCCACAAACATTCAGACCATGGCACTAAGTACATCTATAAAGCTAAGGTCATTAATAGGTTTTTTTTATATGTTTATTTGTTTATTTTGAAACGGAGTCTCGCTCTGTCACCAGCCTGCAGTGCAGTGGCACAATCTCACCTCACTGCAACCTCTGCCTCCCAGATTCAAGTGATTCTCCTTCCTCAGCCTCCCAAGTAGCTGGGATTACAGGTACATGCCACCACACCCAGCTAATTTTGGTATTTTTAGTAGAGATGGGGTTTCACCATGTTGTCCAGGATGGTCTCGATCTCCTGACCTGGTGATCTGCCCACCTCGGCCTCCAAAAGTGCTGGGATTACAGGTGTGAGCCACCATACCCGGCCAATCATTAATAGGTTTTGGAGGGCGATTCTTTGTTATGTCAAGACGAATCTTTCAGCTGGGCACAGTGGCTCACACTTGTAATCCTAACACTTTGGGAGACGGGAGGATCACTTGAGCCCAGGAGTTCAAGACCAGCCTGGGCAACATAGTGAGACACTGTTTTAAAAAAAAAAAATCACTGTGATTAAATGCAGCAGTGCAGAATTGCTTTTGGTTTACTATTTTGACAAGAGCCATCCACTGGTCTCATCCTAACATTTCTTATTCTATAGGTTAGGAAGTCAGTGTGGGAATTCTGCAGGGTGGTGAGGATATTAATCTCAATTTTACACTTAGATATTAGGAAAGTGACCATAGGAAGTTTGTGGGCACAGGGGCCTATAGTGAGGCAAAGTCAGGGTATAACTACATTTATCAGGGCTTTTGTTAAAAAGTCAAGAAAGGTCGGGCATGGTGGCTGACACCCATAATCCCAGCACTTTGGGAGGCTGACGCTGGCAGATCACTCGAGGTCAGGAGTTTGAGACCAGCCTGGCCCCCGTCTCTACTAAAAACACAAAAAAATTAGTCGGGCATGGTGGCACACACCTGTAATCCTGGCTACCCGGAAGGCTGAGTCAGGAGAATCACTTGAACCCGGGAAGCAGAGGTTGCAGTGAGCTGAGATGGCCCCACTGCACTCCAGCCTGGGCGACAGAGTGCGACTCCACCTCAAAAAAAAAAAAAAAAAAAAAAGTCAAAAAAAAAGACCAGGTATAGTGGCTCATGCCTGAAATCTCAGCACTTTGGGAGGCAGAGGCTAGAGGATCCCTTGAGGTCAGAAGTTGGAGACCGGCCTGGGCAACATAGTGAGACCTCATCTCTACCAAAAAAAAAAAAATTTTAAATTATCTGTGTGTGTTGGTGTAGTGTGTGCCTATAGTCACAGCTACTAAGGAAGCTGAGGCAGGAGGATTGCTTGAGCCCAGGAGTCTGAGACTGCAGTGAGCCATGATCATGCCACTCCACTCCAGCCTGGGTGGCAGAGCAAGACTTTCCTCATATATTTAAAAAAAAAAAAACAGATGGCAGCAAGGCTGTGGAGAAAAGGGAACACTCATTCACTGTTGGTCAGAATGTAAATTGTTCAGCCATTACGAAGAGCAGTTCGGATATTTCTCAAAGAACTATGAGTCGAAGTACCAACCAACCCAGCAACCCCACTACTGGGTAACTATCCCCCCAAAAAATAAATTGTTCTACCAAAAGGACACCTGCACCCATGGCACAACAGTATTCACAATAGAAAAGACATGGAATCAACCTAGATGCCCATCTATGGTGAAAAATACAGTATACATACACCATGGATTACTACACAGCCATAAAAAAGAACAAAATCATGTCCATTGCAGCAACGGGGATACAGCTGGAAACCACTAGTCTGAGCTAACTAACGCAGAAACAAAAAACCAAATAACGCTTATTCTCACTTATAAGTGGGAGCTAAATATTGGGTGCACATGGACATAAAAATAAAAACAATAGACACAGGGACTATTAGAGGTAGAAGAGAAGGAGCAGGGCAAGGGCTGAAAAAATGATCTACTGGATACTATGCTCACTACCTTGGTGACATATTCATTCATACCCCAAAACTCAGCATCACATCATATACCTTTGTAACAAACCTGCACTTGCATCCCCTTTTTCTAAAATATTAATAGAAGTTGGCTGGCCAGGCGTGGTGGCTCACGCCTGTAATCCCAGCACTTTGGGAGGCCGAGGCGGGCGGAGGTCAGGAGTTCGAGACCAGCCTGGCCACTGTGGTGAAACCCTGTCTCTGCTAAAAATACAAAAATTAGCCTGGTGTGGTGGCAGGCGCCTGTAATCCCAGCTGCTCGGGAGGCTGAGGCAGGAGAATCACTTGAACCCGGGAGGTGGAGGTTGCAGTAAGCCCGGATCGTGCCACTGCACTTTAGCCTGGGTGACAGAGTGAGACCCTGTCTTGAAAGAAAGAAAAAAAGAGAGAAAGAGAGAAAGAGAGAGAGAAAGAAAGAGAGAAAGAACAGAAAAAAAGAAAGAAAGAAAGAAAGAAGAAAGAGAAAAAGAAAATTAGTTCTTCAGTTGCATTATCCATATTTTAAGAGTACAATGCCACATATGGCTGCTGTCTGCCATATTGGATCATTAGAGATAGAACATTGTCTTCATCGGAACAGGGTCTATGGCCGGAGCTGGGTTATAGCATGTCACACACATTTCTAAACACCTTCTTTGGCTCTCTGGTAAACAACCTCTGAAGTTTACAAGCACCTCTCGGCCTGTTACAGTAACAGCCTACAAACAAATTAAAAATTGTGAAGCCCAGGTTGTCCAGACCAGCAGTCCCCAAACTTTTTGGCACCAAGGACTGGTTTCATGGAAGACAATTGTTCCATGGACCAGGAGGGTCGAGGGGGACGGGTTTGGGATGGTTCAAGCACATTACATTCATTGTGCACTTTATTTCTATTATTATTATTATTGTTATTTGAGATGGAGTGTCACTCTGTCACCCAGGCTAGAGTGCAGTGGCACGATCTCGGCTCACTGCAACCTCCATCTCCCGGGTTCAAGAGATTCTCCTGCCTCAACCTCCCAAGTAGCTGGAATTGTAGGTGCCCACCACCACCCCCAGCTAATTTTTGTATTTTTTGTAGAGACAGTGTTTCACCATGTTGGCCAGGGCAGTCTCAAACTCCTGACCTCAGGTGATCTGCCCACCTCCACCTCCCAAAGTGCTGGGATTACAGTCGTGAGCCACCACACCCAGCCTATTTCTATTATTATGTCGTAATATATAATGAAATAATTATGCAACTTACCATAATGTAGAATCAGTGGGAGCCCTGAGTTTGCCTTCCTGTAATTAGATGGTCACAACAGGGGAGTGATGAGAGACAGTGACAGATCATCAGGCATTAGATTTTTCATAAGGAGCACACAACCTAGGTCACTCATGCACAGTTCACAATAGAGTTGGCACTCCTATGAGAATCTAATGCCACAGCTGATCTGACAGGAGGCGGAGCTCAGGCAGTAATAATAGTGTTGAGGAGCCACTGTAAATATAGATGAAGCTTCACTCGCTCACCCATCGTTCACCTCCTGCTCTGAAACCTGGTTTCTAACAGACCACAGACCCGGTCTCCTGAATATTCTTCCATTCTGAGAGAACAAGTAGCTTCTCAATCAGCAACCCAAAGCGATCACTTCACCAATGCTGACAGCCTACACTCAAGGGAAACATGCTAGACACCCCCATAGTTCTCATGTAAAATTCTATTATTGTCAAGTTTTAAACAACCTATTTCTTTTTTTTTCTTTTTTCTGAGATGGAGTTTCGCTATGTCTCCCAAGCCGGCATGCAGTGGCGTGACCTTGGCTCACTGCAACATCCACCTCCTAGGTTCAAGCAATTTCCCTGCCTCAGCCTCCCGAGTAGCTGGGAATACACGCGTGCACCACCATGCCCAGCTAATTTTTATGTTTTCAGTAGAGACAGGGTTTTGCCATGTTGGCCAGGCTGGTCTCAAACTGCTGACCTCAAGTGATCCACCTGCCTCAGCCTCCCAAAGTGCTGGGATTACAGGGGTGTGCCACCACACCTAGCAACCCATTTCTTTGGACTCCAAATTTGCTGATTTAATTTCTAGAAACTGAAAAATCCAGCGTGAGGTCACGGGACTGCATGTGTTTCCATGGGCGTTCTGGTGCAAAAAATAGAATAGTAAAATAAAATAAAATAAACGATCAAACAAGAAAAACCTCAGATTGTGAAAATGCAGAGAGAGAGAGGGGTACAGTATTCTAAACTAAAGCATCATTTGGGAGAAACTTTCTAGATAATGTTGAAGATTGGACAATTCCTAGGTGCCATCCTGTTTGAATCTAATCATCATGAAATTGCCTTTGGAGATTGTCTATAAAAAGAAACCCTGTTTGTTTTGTTTTTGTTTTTGTGAGACAGAGTCTCACTCTGTCACCCAGGCTGGAGTGCAGTGGCTTCATCTTGGCTCACTGCAACCTCAGTCTCCCAGGTTCAAGCCATTCTCCTGCCTCAGCCTCCTGAGTAGCTGGGATCAGAGGCCCATGCCACCATGCCAAGCTAATTTTGTATTTTTAGTAGAGGTGGGGTTTCACCATGTTGGTCAGGCTGGTCTAGAACTCCCGAGGTTTCCCCATGTTGGCCAGGTTAGTCTTATTCTCCTGACCTCAAATGATCCACCCGCCTCAGCCTCCCAAAGTGCTGGGATTACAGGAGTAAGCCCCCCAGCCAGGAAACCCTGTTTTGACAGCAAGGTTAATGGAGTTCTGTGGACTGGCTCCTGATGGGCAGGCCGAATAGCAGCAGGGCTGTGAATACCTCGGCAGTGGCTTTCATGGGTGAGTGGGACCATCTGATGGGCTGGGCAGGGCTCCCTGGATGGGTGGGGTTTCTTGGATGGCTGTGGCTTGCTGGCAGGTGGGGCTTCTTGGGTGGGCAGGGCTTCTTGAGTGGGTGTGGTTTCCTGGATGGGGCGTGGCTTCACGGGTGGGTGCAGTCTTACCACAGGGCCAGACCCCTAGGTAGGGGGAGGTAGAAATCCTCCTAGCCAGGTAGCTGGTACAGAAGCAGATGGTTGGTGGGGAAAGGAGTGGGGAAGGGACAGTTAATCTGGTAACTAAGAGCCTCTGGCCACAGTAACTCCAGAGTTGGACCACAGACACTATATTTGCTGCAAGGAGGGAGGATGGTACCAGAAGACACTGGAGTTGGGAGGACCAACCCCCAGGACCCTAACCCACTGTGCCCAGGTGGGAAACTGGTAACCTGGCCAAGGAGAGTGGTTTGGAGACCCCACTGAAACCGCCTTTGCAAAAATTATGACAGAGGCCGGGTGCAGTGGCTCACACCTGTAATCCCAGCACTTTGGGAGGCCAAGGTAGGTGGAGTGCTTGAGGTCAGGAGTTCGAGACCAGCCTGGCCAACATGGCAAAACCCGTCTCTACTAAAACTTAGCCGGACATGGTGGCAGGTGCCTGTAATCCCAGCTACTCAGGAGGCTGAGACAGGAGAATCACTCGAATCTGGGAGGTAGAGGTTGCAGTGAGCCGAGATCACCCCACTGTACTCCAGCCTGGGTGACAGAGTAGGACTCTGTCTTTAAAAAAAAAGAAAAAAGAAATTATGACAGTGAGTAAGACCCGACACAGGAAAATGATGGCAGTAAAATAATGTAATCTAGCTGACTTCTTCTTGCTTCTAGCCTCTAAACTGTCCTTGTTCATTCCTGGGCATAGGCTAGGTTAACTTGGGGAGGAATTTAATTTATGGTTTAAACTTAAAGCAAGGATGATAATAGCCCTTCCCAAAACTACCACCTGTTTGTTCTGGGACCAAACTGCCTTTGTAAAACTAATGACAACTCACAAGATTAGGATTATGGGGGTGTCTGAACTCTGCTAAAATGAAGCTAAAAGTTCAGCCATTGAGCTGGGTGCGGTGGCTCACGCCTGTAATCCCAGCACTTTCGAAGGCCGCGGGGGGAGGGGGGATGCGGATCATGAGGTCAGGAGTTCGAGACCAGCCTGGCCAACGTGGTGAAACCCCGTCTCTACTAAAAATACAAAAAAATTAGCCGGGTAGATGGTGAGCCTCTACCTCCCAGATTCAAGTGATTCTCCTGCCTCAGCCTCCCAAGTAGCTGGGACTACAGGCATGCACCACCAACCCCGGCTAATTTTTTTGTATTTTAGTAGAGACGGGGTTTCACCACGTTGGCCAGGCTGGTCTCAAACTCCTGACCTCATGATCTGCCTGCCTCGGCCTCCCAAAGTGCTGGGATTACAGGTGTGAATCACCGCACCCGGCCTCTTGAAAGTATTTTTACTAGGTATAGAATTCTAAGTTGACAGTTTTTTTTTTTTTCAGCACATGAATAAGATTCCATTGTCTTCCGGCTTCAAGGTTGCTATACAGAAGACTGAGCTTAATCTGTCAGGCCTTTAATTTTTTTTCTCTTGCTGCTTTAAGACTTTCTGTTTCGTTAATATTCTGAAGCTTCACCAGGATGTTTCTGGGCATGGATTTCTTTGTATTTATCATGCTTGGGATTCCTTGGCTTCTCAAAGCTGATAAGGTCTCTTCTCAGTTTGGGAAACTTGCCAGCCATTCTCTCTTCACATATTTTCTCTTCCCCCGTTAACTCTTTTCTCCAGGAACTGCAATTAAATAGAGGTTAACCCTTCCCTTTCTATTCTTCATGTGTTTTTAACTACTCTTCCGTATTTTCTGTCTCATAGCTGCTCATGAAGCATGTGGTGAGTTTCTTCTGTTCTCTCAGTTTACAGATTCTCTCTTCAGCTCTGTCTAATCTGCCACTAAAACCTCCTAATAAGTTTGTTTGTTTTTTTTTTTTTTTTTTTGAGATGGAGTCTCTCTCTGTCACCCAGGCTGGAGTGCAGTGGCACGATCTCGGCTCACTGCAACCTCCGCCTCCCGGGTTCACACCATTCTCCTGCCTCAGGCTCCTGAGTAGCTCGGACTACAGGCGCCTACCACTGCCACCACACCCAGCTAATTTTCCTTCGTACTTTCTTAGCAGAGATGGGGTTTCACTGTGTCAACCAGGATGGTCTTGATCTCCTGACCTCATGCTAATAAGTTTTTCAATAAACAAATCTACATTTTAATAAGTTATTGGATACACACATGTATTTATTACTGAAAATGGAAATAACATATCAAAATATCCTCCTTTCGCTATTCAAGTTTGTTGGGTTCTTTTGTTTGTTTTTTGAGACTGAGTCTCATTCTTTTGCCCAGGCTGGAGTGCAGTGGTGCCATCTCAGCTAACTGCAACCTCCACCTCCCAGGTTTAAGTGATTGTCCTGCCTCATCCTCCTGAGTAGCTGGGATTACAGGCATGCACCACCATGCCTGGCCAATTTTTGTATTTTTAGTAGAGACTAAAAATAGTTTCACCATGTTGGCCAGGCTGGTCTCAAACTCCTGACCTCAAGTGATCCGCCCGTCTTGGCCTCCAAAAGTGCTAAGATTGCAGGCATGAGCCACTGCACCCAGCCTCAATATTCAAGTTTTTTTAAAGGTAAAGACACATCTAGCTACATGTACCCTTCTCTAATGTTATGCTTTATCCAAACTACCCAATGTAAACTCATTTTATATATTCCTTCCACATAAATTTCTTTACTTCAAGTGTTTGATGTTAGGTCTGCTCTCATCTCATTGACTTCAGGATTCTAAACCATACATGTAATCCATGAGAACTTGTACTACCTGGAGCCAAATCAAAAACTAGAACTGAGATACCAAAGCATCAAATTACAAAGAGGGACAAAGGGAAAAAAAAAAATTTACGTAGTCAAAATCATATTTTGAGTTATTAAAAATTATTGGATTTTTGCTGGGCACAATGGCTCACGCCTGTAATCCCAGCACTTTGGGAGGCCGAGGTGGGCAGATCCTGAGGTCGGGAGTTTGAGACTAGCCTGGCTAACATGGTGAAACTCCATCTCTACTAAAAATACAAAATTAGCCAGGCGTGGTGGCATGTGCCTGTAATCCCAGCTGGTCAGGAGGCTGAGGCAGAAGAATCACTTGAACCTGGAAGGCAGAGGTTGCAGTGAGCCGGGATTGTACCACTGCACTCCAGCCTGCGTGGCAGAGTGAGACTCATCTCCAAACAATAACAATAAAAATAAAAATTATTGGATTTATGCTTTCACTTAGAGTAAAAAAGCCACAAGAGGCTGGGCATGGTGACTGACACCTGTAATCCCAGCATTTTGAGAAGCCAAGGCAGGAGGATCGTTTGAGGCCAGGAGCTCAAGACCAGCCTGGGCAGCCTAGCAAGGCCCCCATCTCTACAAAAAGTGCAATAAAATTAATACATAAAATAAATCCACAAGAGACTATCACTCCTACCATAAAAAGAAGAAAAAGCTGGGTAATCTATAGGTTTTGGCATTTCTTGAGCCCATCAGAAATTTAGGCTTCAAGGCAACCAGGTGAACTGAGGTCCAAAGAGTGACCGCACCCTCTCAGGAGAGACAGGACACATGAAAAGTTCCACCTTTGTCAGAGCACAGGAGGAAGAAGTGGCCACCAAAAAAGCAGGTGATAGGAAAACAACATTTTAATGAATTCTCAGAGGCCAGGAGTGGGCCAGCATGACAACTTAGAATCCCCCTGGGTGCATCAGGATCTAGCAGACCCCAAGTTCACTCGCAATCTCTTTTCCACCTCTTGGTGCTCATGAGAAAGATTGGAGGTACAATGAGACAAGAAAGAGGCTCCCTCAGTGGTTCTCAGGCATGAACCCCCTCCTACCTCCCAGAACCTTGTCTCACAAGAAGCAGAAGGACTTAAGCCTCAGGGGAAGGGGCAGGAATCCTTCCCATCCCCTGAGGACAGGCAAAGGTTCACTCCTGGTGGAAGTAAGGGTACAAGTAAGGCCATGTATTTCTGGGGGAGGGATAGGACCAGCCCCTCATTACATGGTGAGGGAGGGTTGAAGCAAAATCTGCCCCCTTGGGAGGGGCAGGAAATCTCCTGGCTAAATCACAAGCTTTGCACCTGTAAACCAAAAAGAAAATTCTAAGCCCCCCAACCTACTGAGCGGACTCCTTCTCGCCAAGGGCATTCCAAAGTAAACCTGCAAAACTAGTTCAGGCCATGATGGGAAGGAGTGTTGGACATGCCTCATTCTGCCCTCATCTCTTTGGAATTCAGGCACAACTGACCAGCATTAACATCAACACAGAGATCTTAAGGCTGACAAAACAGACTCTTTGTAGCAATAAGATACCAAATTCCAACCTGACTGAAGTACAGCATCACATGACAGATAGCAGGTCCTGAAAGAAACAGAAGTATTTTACCCCAAAATAAATTTTTCTTTGACATATTTTGAAACAGCCCTGCAAATCTGTCTCTTGTAGGGAAAATCTACACTGTGTAGAGAGTCCCCTTCCCTTTCCAGGTCTTCTCCTGATTCAGGAGAGATATAACTAAGAGTCTGGCACCTTTTTAAGTCTGATGAGAAACACTTACCATCTATTCTCTCTGAAGCCTGCTACCTGGAGGCTTCATCTGCATAACAAGAACCTTGGTCTTGGCTCATGCCTGTAATCCCAGCACTTTGGGAGGCCGAGGTGGGCAGATCACAAGGTCAGGAGATCCAGACCATCCTGGCTAACATGGAAAAACCCTGTCTCTACTAAAAATACAAAAAATTAGCCAGGTGTGGTGGTGTGCACCTGTAGTCCCAGCTACTCGGGAGGCTGAAGCAGGAGAATCACTTGAACCCGGGAGGTGGAGGTTGCGGTGAACCAAGATTGCGCCACTGTACTCCAGCCTGGGCAACAGAGCGAGACTCTGTCAAAAAAAAACAGGTGGTCTCCACAACCCCTTATCTTTTTAAAAAATGTTTATTTTATGTGCAAAGAGCTATCATGGTTTTTTGGGGTTTTTTTTGTTTGTTTGTTTGTTTTTGACGGAGTCTTGCTCTGTTGCCAGGCTGGAGTGCAGTGGCGCTATCTCAGCTCACTGCAAACTCCACCTCCCGGGTTCAAGTGATTCTCGTGCCTCAGCCTCCTGAGTAGCTGGGATTACAGGCATATGCCACCACGCCCAGCTAATTTTTGTATTTTTAGTAGAGACGAGGTTTCACCATGTTGGCCAGGATGGTCTCGATCTGCTGACCTTGTGATCTGCCCACCTTGGCCTCCCAAAGTGCTGGGATTTCAGGCGTGAGCCACCGTGCCCGGCCACTATCATGGTTTTTCACTGGGTACATGCGTTGGATAAACCTTTCAAGGAAGGTCAGTTAGTGCAACTTAATGAAACCGATATCTTTCCTGTACTGACGGAAACACTGGCAGTACATATTGAGGGCATATTTACAGATCAGACCATGCCGATTTGGGCCGATGTGACAAGAATGAAAACCCTGGCCGAATATTCACTGGTGGCTCTAGTACAGCTGCTGGTGACCCATCTTGCTCTCAGAAGTGCAACAAGGTAAAAGGCCACAACCTCTTATTTTTAAACCAGACACGCCTTTCTGTTGATTCCAGGTCTTTAGATCATAACTTTACTCTTTCGACCAATTTCCAATCAGAAAATCTTGGAATTTACCTATGATCTGGAAGTCCCCCTGCCCCACACCCCAAATTGTTCCATGATTCCTGAGTGAACAAATGTACACTTTACACGTATTGATTGACGTATGCCTGTAACTTCCATCCCTCTAAAACGTATAAAATTGGCCGCAGGGGCGCACACCTGTAATTCCAGCAATTTGGGAGGCTGAGGTGGGCGGATCACTTGAGGTCAGTTTCACTTGAGTCCGTGTGAAGAGACCACCAGGTTTTGTGTGAGCAATAACGCTTTTAATCACCTGGGTGCAGGCGGGCTGAGTCCGAAAAGAGAGTCAGTGAAGGGAGAGAGGGGTGGTCAGTGAAGAGAGAGTCAGTGAAGGGAGAGCGGGGTTTTATAAGATTTGGGTAGGTAAAGGAAAATTACAGTCCAAGGGGGGTTGTTCTCTGGTGGGCAGGGGTGGGGGTCACAAGGTGCTCAGTGGGGGAGCTTTTGAGCCAGGATGAGCCAGGAAAAGGAATTTCAGAAGGTAATGTTATTAGTTAAGGCAGGAACAGGCCATTTTCACTTCTTTTGTCATTCTTCAGTTACCTCAGGCCATCTGGATTTATACGTGCAGGTCACAGGGGATATGATGGCTTAGCTTGGGCTCAGAGGCCTGATTTTCCTGTCTTCTTATATTAATAAGAAAAATAAAATGAAATGGGGTAAAGTGTTGGGGCGGCGAAAATTTTGGGGGGTGGTATGGAGAGATAATGGGTGATGTTTCTCAGGGCTGCTTCGAGCGGGATTAGGGGCGGCGTGGGAACCTAGAGTGGGAGAGATTAAGCTGAAGGAAGATTTTGTGGTAAGGGGTGATATCGTGGGGTTGCTAGAAGAAACATTTGTCGTGTAGAATTACTGGTGATGGCCTGGATATGGTTTTGTATGAATTGAAAAACTAAATGGAATAAGAGAAGGAGAAAAACAGGTATCAAAGGACTAAGAATTGGGAGGACCTAGGACATCTAATTAGAGTGCCTAAGGAGGTTCAGCACAGCCTTGCCAGCAAAGATTATTTATTTACTTTAAGAGTTAAGAGAGGCGGTTTGGGGATAGCACCAGGAGATACCAGCTGTGATGGCTTGGAGAAACAGTGTAAACTGGCAGTGTAAACAAGAGCAGGGCATTTATGAGTAGTTGAGAACAGTGAATAGGAGTATCACTAGACAGAAGATAGTAGGAATGACAAGTTTTTGGGGGCACAGTCTAAGTTGGTCTGGTGTCTGGAATAAGACTGGGGCCTAATAAAAAGGAGTGTCTATACAGGAGCTTAACTGGGCTGTACCTTGTAGCATTGTGAGGACAGGCCTGAATTCTGAGAAGGGCAAGTGGTAAAAGTATTGTCCAGTCCTTTTTAAGTTGGTGGCTGAGCTTGGTAAGGTGTGTTTTTAAAAGACCATTAGTTCACTGAATACTAAGAGCCTGAGAAACTGCTTGGGTGATTTGACTAATAAAGGCCAGTCCATTATAGGACTAGAGGTGGGAAGGCCAAACCGAGGAATTTTGTCTAAGAGAAGGGAAGAAATGACCGTGGTGGCCTTCTTAGACCCTGTGGGAAAGGCCTTTACCTATCCAGTGAAAGTGTCTACCTAGACCAAGAGGTATTTTAGTTTCCTGACTCGGGGCATGTTGAATAAAGCCAATTTGCCAGTCCTGGGTGGGGGCAAATCCCTGAGCTTGATGTGTAGGGAAGGGAGGGGGCCTGAATAATCCCTGAGTAGTAGAATAGCAGATGGAACACCGAGAAGTTATTTCCTTGAGGATAGATTTCCATGATGGAAAGGAAAGGAGAGGTTCTAAGAGGTGGGATAGTGGCTTGTTCTATAGCATAGCCTGCCTTTACTGGTGTGTGGTGATTAGGCCTGGTGGAACTGCCATCAATAAACCAAGTGTGATCAGGGTGAGGAACAGGAAAGAAGGAAATATGGGGAAATAGGGTGAATGTCAGGTGGATCAGAGAGACACAGTCATGGAGGTCAGGTGTGGTATCAGGAATAAGGTGGGAGGCCAGATTGAAGTCCGGGCCAGGAACAATGGTAATTGTGGGAGACTCAACAAAGAGTACAGCTGAAGGAGCCAGGGAGTAAAAAGTATATGTGTCAGGTGTGAGGAAGAAAATAGATTTTGGAAGTTATGAGAACTGTAGAGAGTGAGTTGAGCATAGTTTGTGATTTTAAGGGCCTCTAAAAGTATTAGGGTGGTGGCGGCCGCCGCACGCAGACTTGAGGGCTAGGCAAAACAGTAAGGTCAAGTTGTTTGGATAAAAAGGCTACAGGGCGCAGTGTGGGTTCTCGTGTAAGAATTCCAACTGCACAGCCCTGCACTTCGGCTGTGGGTAATGAAAAGGGTTGGGATGAGTCAGGGAGAGCTAGGGTGGGGGCAGTCTCTAAAGCTGTCTTCAAGGAATGGAAAGAGGAGTGGGGAAAGGATTTAGGATCTATGGGGTCAGCTAGGTTTCCTTTTGTGAGTTTATATAATGGTTTTGTTAGGATGGCAAAATCAGGTACCTAAAGTCAAAAGTATCTAACCATGACTAGGAAGGAAAGGGGTTGTTGTTTTGTAGAAGGTGCTGGGGTTTGAGAGATCAGTTGGAAACGATCAGCAGGGAGAGCATGTGTGTTTTTATGAGAATTATGCTGAGATAGGTAACAGATGAAGAAGAAATTTGGGTTCAACTGAAGGAATGGGGGCTGTCTGTGAAGCCTTGAGGCAGTACAGCCCGGGTAATTTGCTGAGCCTGATGGGTGTCAGTCAGGCCAAGTGAAAGCGAAGAGAGGCTGGGATGAAGGGTGCAAAGGAATAGTAAAGAAGGCATGTTTGAGATCCAGAACAGAATATTGGGTTGTGGAGGGAGGTATTGAGGATAGGAGAATATATGGGTTTGGCACCGTGGGGTGGATAGGCAAAATAATTTGGTTGACAAGGCGCAGATCCCAAACTAACCTGTAAGTTTTGTCTGGTTTTAGAACAGGTAAAATGGGGGAATTGTAAGGGAAGTTTATAGGCTTTAAAAGGCCATGCTGTAGCAGGCGAGTGATAACAGACTTTAATCCTTTTAAAGCGTGCTGTGGGATGGGATATTGGCATTGAGCGGGGTAAGGGTGATTAGGTTTTAATGGGATGGTAAGGGGTGCATGATCGGTCACCAAGGAGGGAGTAGAGGTATCTTATACTTGTGGGTTAAGGTGGGGGGATATGAGAGGAGGATGCAAAGGAGGCTTTGAACTGGGGAAAAGGGCAGCAATGAGGTGTGGCTGTAGTCCAGGAACAGTCAGGGAAGCAGATAATTTAGTTAAAATGTCTCAGCCTAATAAGGGAACTGGGCAGGTGGGGATAACTAAAAAAGAGTGCATAAAAGAATGTTGTATAAGTCGGCACCAGAGTTGGAGAGTTTTAAGAGGTTTAGAAGCCTGGCTGTCAATACTCACAACAGTTATGGAGGCAAGGGAAACAGGCCCTTGAAAAGAAGGTGATGTGGAGTGGGTAGCCTCCGAATTGAGTAAGGGGACGGACTTACCCTCCACTGTGAGACTTACCTAGAGCGTCTGTGATGGTCCTGTAGGCTTCCAAGGCGATCGGGCAGTGTCAGTCTTCAGCCACTAAGCTGAGAAGATCTGGGAAGGAGTCAGAGAGCCTTGGGCCAGAGTTCCAGGGGCTCTGGAAGTGGCTGCCAGGTGAGTTGAACAGTCCAATTTTCAGTGGGGTTCCACACAGATGGGACACAGCTTAGGAGGAATCCTGGACTGTGGGCATTCCTTGGCTCAGTGGCCAGATTTCTGGCACTTGTAGCAAGCTCCTGGGGGAGGAGGTTCTGGAGGAATCCCTGGCAGCTGCGGTTCAGGCATTTGGAGTTTTCATGTGCTGGAGATGTGGCTGGGGTTTGTCTCACAATGGAGGCAAGGAATTGCAACTCAGAAATACATTGCTACTTGGCTGCCTCTACTCTATTATTGTACACCTTGAAGGTGAGGTTAATTAAGTCCTGTTGTGGGGTTTGAGGGCCAGAATTTAATTTTTGGAGTTTTATTTAATGTCAGGAGTGGATTGGATAATAAAATGTATATTGAGAATAAGATGACCTTTTGACCTTTTAGGGTCTAGGGCTGTAAAGTGTCTCGGTTGCTGCCGAACAAGCCATGAACTGGGTTGGGTTTTTCATATTTGATGAAAGAGCCTAAATGCTAACTGATTTGGGAGAGTTCAGATAAAGAAAAAGGAGCATTAACCTTGACTATGCCTTTAGCTCCAGCCACCTTTTTAAGAGGAAATTGCTGGGCAGGTTGGGGAGGGCTAGTCGTGGAATAAAACTATAAGCCAGACTGGGTGTGAGGAGGGGAGGTGATAAAAGGATTATAGGGTGGGGGAGCAGAGGCTGAGGAAGAATTAGGACCTGGCTCAGCCTGGCGAGGAGCAGCCTGGGGAAGAGGGGAGAAGTCAGATGGGTCTGTAGAAAAGGAAGATTAGAAAGACTCAGCAACGCCTGGGGTTGGGACTGAGAGGACAGGCAGGAGGGAAAGAAGGAGGATTTGGGACAAGTCACATTGGGAACAGACAGTAGGAAGGGAACAATGTGTAAAAGAATGCCTGGATGTCAGGCACCTCAGACCGTTTGCCTATTTTATGACAAGAATTATCTAGATCTTGTAGGATGGAAAAATCAAAAGTGCTGTTTTCTGGCTATTTGGAACCACTGTCGAGTTTGTATTGGGGTCAAGCAGCATTGTAGAAGAAGATAAGGCATTTAGGTTTAGGTCAGGTGTAAGTTGAAGAGGTTTTAAGTTCTTGAGAACACAGGCTAAGGGAGAAGAAGGAGGAATGGAGGGTGGAAGGCTGCCCATAGTGAAGGAGGCAAGCCCAGAGAAAAGAGAGAGTAGAGACATAGAGAGAAGGCGTCAGGGGTGCTTGCCCCCTAGGAAAGTGGAGAAGGGGTAGAGACATGGAGAGAAGGGTTCAGGGGGTTCTTGCCCCTCAGAAAAGTGGAGAAGAGGTGGAGACACGGAGAGAAGGGGTTGGGGGATTCTTGCCCCCTAGAAAAGCAGAAAAGGGGTAGAGACACAGAGAGAAGGGGTCAGGGGGTTCTTGCCCCCCAGAAAAGCGGTACTTTCCACTAAGGGTGAAGGACCAAGGCAGGCATCCCCACATGGTCAGACACCTCTGAAATGTGGGTGAATAATCAGGCAGGCATCCCCGTGTGATTAAACACCAAGGGAGACTCTCTTCCTGAGTCTGTGACCAGTGCCGGAGTTTTGGGTTCATGGATAAAATGCATCTCCTTTGTGTCTACCGGAAAAGGAAAGGAACTGAAATTAAGAGAAGGGAGAGACTGAAGTGTGGCACCAAGATTGAAAGGAGAAAGAGGTTGAGGGATACTAAGAGAGGTTGGAGAAGGGAGTGAAAAAAGGCCACTTACCCGATTTAAAATTGGTGAGATGTTCCTTGGGTGGTCAATCTGAGGACCCAAGGTCGTAGGTGGATCTTTCTCATGGAGCAAAGAGCAGGAGGACAGGGGATTGATCTCCCAAGGGAGGTCCCCCGATCTGAGTCACGGTACCAAATTTCACTCACGTCCGTGTGAAGAGACCACCAAACAGGCTTTGTGTGAGCAATAAAGCTTTTTAACCACCTGGGTACAGGCAGGCTGAGTCCGAAAAGAGAGTCAACGAAGGGAGATGGGGTGGGGCCATTTTTTAAGATTTGGGTAGGTAAAGGAAAATTACAGTCAAAGGGGGGTTCTCTGGTGGGCAGGGGTGGGGATCACAAGGTGCTCAGTGGGGGAGCTTTTGAGCCAGGATGAGCCAGGAAAAGGAATTTCAGAAGGTAATGTCATCAGTTAAGGCAGGAAAAGGCCATTTTCACTTCTTTTGTCATTCTTCAGTTACTTCAGGCCATCTGGATGTATACGTGCAGGTCACAGGGGATATGATGGCTTAGCTTTGGCTCAGAGGCCTGACAGTCAGGAGTTTGAAACCAGCCTGGCCAACATGGTGCAACCTCATCTCTACTAAGAATACAAAAATTAACGGGTATAGTGGTGGGCACCTGTAATCCCAGCTACTCAGGAGGCTGAGGCAGGAGATCACTTGAGCCCAGGAGGCAGAGGTTACAGTGAGCTGAGATTGTGCCACTGCACTCCAGCCTGGGCAACAGAGAAAGACTCCCTCTCAAAAAAAAAAATTGGCCAGGGGTGCTGGCTCATGCCTGTAATCCCAGCGCTTTGGGAGGCCAAGGCAGGAGGATCAGTTGAAGCCAGGAGTTCGAGACCAGCCTAGCCAACATAGTGAAATTTCATCTCCAATAAAAATACAAAAATTAGCCAGACATGGTAATGCACACCTGTAATCCCAGCTACTTGGGTGGCTGAGGCACAAAAATTGCTTGAGCCTGAGAGGCAGAGGTTGCAGTGAGTGCCACTGCACCCCAGCCTGGGCAACAGAGTGAGACTCTGCCTAAAATAAAATAAAATAAAATGTATAAAAGCTGTAAACCAACCACCTTGGGCACCTGTTCTTAGGACTTTTAGGGGCTATGTCATGGGCCTTGGTCACTCATATTTGGCTCAGCATAAATCTCTTTAAATATTTTAGAGTTTAACTCTTTTTGTCAACACATCAGTTGACAGTGATCAGTAGTCTACCTAAAACTGCCTTTGTGAAAATTTTATCACTGAGAAAAATTATAATAGTAAGCAGAGTTAACACCCTCCACCTGCACCACCTTGCCTTTCCCTTGATTATTTGGGGGCTATTGGGCCAAGCTAACTTTGGAAGACATTTTAGGTTATCATTTAAATGATAACAGGCCTTGCCCTGAAACTCCTCTCCTCCCCAAAGCCTTTTGTAAAGCCAATGGGAGACCATCAGGCTTGGAGGAGAGGAGCTTGAGTCCTAAGATTGGCCTTTTGAGATGTCTTTTCAGGATTTTTGCATGTCAGACATCCATGGCTCCACCTGAACCCACCTGAATCCCCCACCAAACCCACCCCTGTGGCCCTGCCCAGAAGCAATTCTGCCTGCAGGAGGCAGAATTTCATCTCCACCCCAACCAATCAGCAGCAAGCACCTATTACCTGGCCACCCTCATCCCTTTGTGGAGTCCTAATTAGGGAAAGGGAACCAGGCTGGTGGAACCAAGAGAAAGCAAAAAGAGAAAGCAGATAAGCAACAAGTCTGTCTTTCTTCATGATCCAGGACACACAGCCCTCCTGCACAAGTAACTTACAACCTTTCCTGCACCCAGCTATCACCAGACACCTGTAAGTTAGCTCACTGCAACTTTGATGTTATCAGTACTACATAAAGCCCTCTTCAACAGAGAGCATAAACACTACCCTATAAAATCTCCAGCGAGTCTTTGTTTTTTGCAGTCAGTTTCTCTTCTGCTGGTAGCCCGTTATCTCTCTGGCAGTGTATTTTCCTACTTTGTCTAATAAATTTGGCTTCCTTTACTTACAACTGTCTTCACAAATTCTTTTACCCCACACCACCAGCTGTCGTTTTCCCATGACACCCCTAACATACAAGCTTTGGACAAGATGATTTGAATGCTAACTCCATCTCCCATGTGGCATGGCGAGCCTTGTGTCTATTAAACTCTTTCTCTACTACAATGCCATGGTGTTTCTTTACGCAGCAGGCAAGAAGAACCTCTCAGGTGGTTACACATCCTCCTGCTCTCCTTTCCAAGCTAGCTGCTGCTGAAGAAGAACTAGAGGCAAAGCTGAGTGCCCTGGTGGAGGGGAGGACAGCTGCTTGCACTCAGAAGCCTGCACAGATACAGAGAGGTCAGCCACCATGGGAGTAGGGATGAGAAATTCTGTCCTGCCAAAACCCCCACCAACCCAAAGACAAAAGGAAAAGTTTGGCTGCCACGAGGAAGGACAGATATGCTGAGAAATTCCATCCCCAAGACCCAGGAGCAAAAAACTTGCCTGAGACAGAGACTAGCCCTGAAGAAATGGAATACCATGCCTCTGTCAGAGGCAGGTGAACCAGAGCAACTCCATCTTGAATAGGAACTGGGTAAAATGAGGCTGAGACCTACTGGGTGCATTCTCAGATGGTTAAGGCATTCTAAGTCACAGGATGAAATAGAAGGTCGGCACAAGATACAGGTCATAAAGACCTTGCTGATGAAACAGGTTTTGTAGCAGGACAAGCCGCAGACACAACCCCTCAGACACTGAGTTAAAGAAGAAAGGGCTTTATTCAGCCAGGAGCTTCAGCAAGACTCACGTCTCCAACAACCGAGCTCTCTGAGTCAGCAATTCCTGTCCCTTTTAAGAGCTCACAATTCTAAGCGGGTCTGCATGAGAGGGTCGTGATTGATTGAGCAAGCAGAGGGTACGTGACTGGGGGCTGCATGCACCGGTAATTAGAATGGAACAGGACAGGGATTTTCACAGTGCTTTTCTATACAATAGCTGTAATCTATAGATAACATAACCAATTAGGTCAGGGGTCAATCTTTAACAACCAGGCCCAGTGTGTGGCACTGGGCTGTCTTTTAGAAATGAAATGTGGATTTCATTTCTGCCTTTTAGTTTTTACTTCTTCTTTCTTTGGAGGCAGAAATTGGGCATAAGACAATATGAAGGGTGGTCTCCTCCCTTAGTTTCAGTAAAGAAGCCGGCCAAAACCCACCAAAACCAAGATGGTGAAGAGAGTGACCTCTGGTCGTCCTCACTGCTACACTCCCACCAGCGCCATGACAGTTTACAAATGCCATGGCAACGTCAGGAAATTACGCTATATGGTCTAAAAAGAGGAGGCATGAATAATCCACCCCTTGTTTAGCATGTCATCAAGAAACAACCATAAAAATGGTCAACCAGCCACCCTCAGGGCTGCTTTGTCTATGGAAAGGCCATTATTTTATTTCTTTATTTTCCTAATAAACTTGCTTTCACTTTACGGACTCACCCTGAATTCTTATGCAAAATCCAAGAACCCTCTCTTGAAGGGTCTGGATTGGGACTCCTTTCCTGTAACACCTCTACCATGAGCCTCACACCAAGTAACCCACAAGAACAGTCCCAAGCTGTTGGCAGGGTGAGGAAAGCAAGAACATGGGAAGAGATCTTGCTTTGAAAGCCCCCAACTAAATGGGGGTTTCCGTAGCAGAGCAGCTAGTAACCCTGCTTTAATGGGAAATGAAGGACATGGTGTTTGCAGTGTCCCTTTCATGGGTTGCTTCTTTTGTTAGCAGCAGCGAATCCACACGGGTCTGCAGCAATTCAATTCTTGCCTCCTCGAAGGAAATAATTCCTCTGAGGGGCATAAGGCAGAGTGAGAGACTGAGGCAAGTTTTTGAGCAGGAGTCAGAGTTTATTAAAAAGTTTTAGAACAGGAACGAGGCCGGGCACGGGACAGCTCATGCCTATAATCCCAGCACTTTGGGAGGCTGAGATGGGCGGATTGCTTGAGGCCAGGAGTTCAAGACCAGCCTGGCCAACATGGCGAAACCCCGTCTCTACTAAAAATACGAAAATTTGCCAGGCGTGGTGTCGGGCGCCTGTAATCTTAGCTACTGGGGAGGCTAAGGCAGGAGAATCACTTGAACCCAGGAGGCAGAGGTTGCAGTGAGCTGAGATCACACCACTGCACTCCAGCCTGGATGACACAGCAAGACTCTGTCTCAAAAATAATTAATTAATATAAATTTTTAAAAAAAGTTTTAGAGGAAAGAAAGGAAGTAAAGTACACTTGGAAGAGGGCCAAGCAGGCAACTTGAGAGATTCAAGTGCACTGTTGAGCCCCTGACTTGGGGTTTTATACATTGGCATGGTTCCGGGGGTTGCGTCTCTTCTCCCTTGATTTTCCCTTGGGGTGGGAACAGTATATTTACTGAAGTTGTGCACATGCTCGTTTGAGGCGTTCTTCCCCTACCAGCTGAGGGTTCCTGGGAAGACATAGATCTGTTGGCCAAGTGCAGTGGCTCACGCCTGTAATCCCAACACTTTGGGAGGCCAAGGCAGGAGGATTGCTTGAGGTCAGGAGTTCAAGACCAGCCTGGCTAACATGGTGAAACCCCCCTCTACTAAAAATATAAAAACTAGCTGGGGCCGGGCGCGGTGGCTCGCACCTGTAATCCCAACACTTGGGAGGCTGAGGCAGGCAGATCATGAGGTCAAGAGATCAAGACCATCCTGGCCAACATGGTGAAACTCCGTCTCTACTAAAAATAAAAAAAAAAAATTAGCTGGGCGTTGTGGTGTGTACCTGTAATCCCAGCTACTTGGGAGGCTGAGGCAGGAGAATCCCTTGAACCTGGGAGTTGGAGATTGCAGTGAGCCGAGATCACTCCACTGCACTCCAGCCTGGGCGACAGAGCAAGACTCCATCAAAAACAAAACAAAAAAGAAATACCACTTAAACTCTGCCATGTTGCCTCTTAGTGCACATGCTTGAGCCCACTCACCCAACTCCTGAGATCTTATCAGGAAGCTGCTTATCACCAGCCTCAGGTGTTTTCTGTCTATTGGGAAACCACCTTTCCCTGGCGCCAGCTACAACCAATTATTATTTCAGAAAGACAGTTTAACAACCACTTGACCACCACCTATTTGTCACTTGACATTACTGGGGAAGGGAATGGGGCATCCTCTCCTACCCTCCTCATGTCTGCCTAGATACCTACTCTAACATAACCAGCCACGGCAGGCCCAAGCTACTGGGGAGCGGGGCGAGCAAGAACATGGAAAGACACCCTGCTTTGAGAGCTACATGAGGGTCTCAGTAGCAGAGCGGCTAGCAAACCTGCTTTAAGGAGAAATGAAGGGAAGCTGGGTGTAGTGTTCACAGCGGGCTTTTCACAGGATACTTATTTACCTAATGGATGGCCTAATGCTTAGGGATCCCTAAAGGTCCCTTACTTGGGAAACTTGCTTATACTGGCAGACACCTCGTGGCTTTTGTGTGACCCACCACGTCCAGTTTATGCCTGCTGGATGGTCTCTCTGGCTCTGGGAGCCCAATCTTATGTTCCCCCAGGCGCCCCAGGGAAAACCCAGCCTCAGATTTCCCCTAGTTCTTCAGATGGAAGTTGAAAATTCAGGAAAGCACTTTTACCGGAAACAGGTCCTAATTCAGTCCGCAAGAGAGGGTTCTTGGATCTTGTGCAAGAAAGAATTTGGAAGGGCCAGGCGCAGTGGCTCACGCCTGTAATCCCAGCACATTGGGAGGCTGAGGCGGGCGGATCACGAGGTCAGGAGATCGAGACCATCCTGGCTAACACGGTGAAACCCCGTCTCTACTAAATACAAAAAATTAGCCGGGCGTGGTGACAGGCATGCCTGTAGACCCAGCTACTCGGGAGGCTGAGGCAGGAGAATGGCATGAACCCAGGAGGCGGAGCTTGCAGTGAGCTGAGATCATGCCACTGCACTCCAGCCTGGGTGACAGAGCGAGACTCCGTCAAAAAATAAAAAAAATAAAAAAATAAAAAAATTGGAGTGAGTCCACAGAGTGAAGTGAAAGCAAGTTTATTACAGAAGTGAAAAAACGTGAGAATGGCTGCTTCATAGACAGAGCAGCCCCGATGGCTGCTGGTTGGCCATTTTTGTTTCGTTTTGTTTTTTATTGTTTGTTCTTCTTTTTTTATTAGTTTGTTTGTTTTGTTGGTTGGCTATTTTCTAATGGTTATTTATTGATCGTATGCTAAAGAAGGGGTGGATTATTCATGAGTTTTCCAGAAGAGGGGTAGGAATTTCCCAGAACTGAGAATTCCTCCCCCTTTTAGACCATATAGGGTAACTTCTGGGCATTGCTATGGCATTTGCAAACAGTCACAGCACTGGTGGGAGTGCCATTTAGCAAGCTAATGTATTATAATTAGCATATTATGAGCAGTGAGGACAGCCAGAGGTCACTCTTGTTGCCATCTTGGTTTTGGCGAGTTTTGGCCGGCTTTTGTTGAGACGGAGTTGCTCTTTCGCCCAGGCTGGAGTGCAATGGCACAATCTCAGCTCACTGCAGCCTCCACCTCCCGGGTTCAAGTGATTCTCCTGCCTCAGCCTCCTGAGTAGCTGGGATTACAGGGGCCCGCCACCACGCCCGGCTAATTTTTTGTACTTTTAGTAGAGATAGGGTTTCACTATGTTGGCCAGGCTGGTCTCGAACTCCTGATCTTGTGATTCGCCCGCCTCAGCCTCCCAAAGTGCTGGGATTACAGATGTGAGCCAAAGCACGTGGCCATGGCTGGCATTTTTTTTATTGCATCCTGTTTTATCAGGGTCTTTGTAACCTACATCCTATCTCATCCTGTGACTAAGAACGCCTAACCTCTTGGGATGCAGCCCAGCAGGTCTCAGCCCATTCTACCCAGTCCCTACTCAAGATGGGGTCGCTCTGGTTCAAATGCTTCTGACACCATCACAATAGGAAACAAGTTCAAAGATTTCTTTTTATTATTATTATTTTATAGAGATGGAGTCTCACCGGCCGGGTGCAGTGGCTCACGCCTGTAATCCCAGCACTTTGGGAGGCCGAGGCGGGCGGATCACGAGGTCAGGAGATCGAGACCATTCTGGCCAACACAGTGAAACCCCGTCTCTACTGAAAATACAAAAAAATTAGCCAGGTGTGGTGGCGGGCGCCTGTGGTCCCAGCTACTCGGGAGGCTGAGGCAGGAGAATGGTGTGAACCCAGGAGGTGGAGCTTGCAGTGAGCTGAGGTCGTGCCACTGCACGCCAGCCTGGGCGACAGAGTGAGACTCCATCTCAAAAAAAAAAAAAAAAAGAGATGGAGTCTCACCATGTTGCCCAGGCTGGTCTTGAACTCCAGGGCTCAAGTGATCCTCCTGCCTTGGCCTCCCAAAGTGCTGGGATTAAAGAAATGAGCCACTGTGCCTGGCCCCAGAGATTTTTTACAGACAATAAATAAGGGCCTCCTAGGCAGGAAGGGCACCATGAGTCAGGAGGGCACCATGAGTTGGGAAAACACCATGAGTCAGGAGGGCACCATGAGTTAGGAGAACAGTCCTCCATCCCCAGGTCAAGTAGAGAAAGAGAGAATAGGAGTAGAGTCGAGTGGAGAGAGCATGTGGCAACTAGCAGTACATATATAGAGAGGGGAATACAGTGCCAGTCACTTGAAGTTCAAGGGCAGATGTCTAAATGCTCCACTTAAAGAAAGTGGTGGGGGCTGGGCGCGGTGGTTCATGCCCATAATCCCAGCAATTTGGGAGGCCAAGAGGCCGAGACGGGTGGATCACTTGAAGAGAAGAGTTTGAGACTTGAGGTCAGGAGTTCGAGGCCTGGGCAACAGGGCAAGACTCTCTCAAAGAAAGAAAGAAAGAAAGAACCTCGTGGAGGTAGAGAGTTCGAGACCTGGCCAGCCTGGTGAAACCCCATCTCTACTAAAAATATAAAAATTAGCCAGGCCTGGTCACTTGCGCCCATAGTCCCAGCTACTCAGGAGACTGAGGCAGGAGAATCGCTTGAACCTGGGAGGCAGAGGTTGTAGTGAGCTGAGATCGCACCATTGCACCCCAGCCTGGGCAACAGAGCGAGACTCGATCTCAAAATAAATAAATAAATAAATAAATAAATAAATAAATAAATAAAAATAAAGGAAGTGGCGGGAATGCAGGGAGCCCAGCCTGCTGGGTGAGAGAGGCGCCTTTAAGTTCATATTCTGGCTACCAGCTTGGCCCATGTGGATGTGGTGATCTACTTCTAAAGTCTAGCCAGCAACCTTTGGTCTGTTGTTCCTAATACCACTGACCTAGGCGTGAGACCTTGTGCATATTCCAACGGGTACCGTTCGAATGGTGTGGATATTAAAGGCTATCAGAGAAGTCTGGGCTACGTGCCATGCTGAGTAAGGCCTTGGATGAGCGTAAACAGTTGAAGCATATGAAGGCACCCAGTTGACCTGAAATCCCATGCACAGCCACCCACTCCACCGCCTAGGGTGGCGCCAAGGGAACAGATCAACTCTGGACCTAGAGCAGAGTGTAATGATGCTGTCACACACTGGCATGGCTTCCAGATTGGCTTGCACATGGCCAGAGTTTCTTTTAGGGATGGATGTGAGCAGAGAGCAAGCAGCGTACTAAGATCATAGCCTATGCAGGCAGGGAGTTCAGAAAGAAAAGTAAAAATGTCCTATGTCCATTTGTGTCTTAGGAGAGGTGAATCCATGGGCGTGACCTAGGTTTACCACCCAAGGAGTGAAGGTTTAGCGTAAGGGGTGAAGTCATCTCTAGTGTCAAGGCCCTGGGTTGGGGTGATGTCGTCTGAGATGATGGCATCTACAGCAGTGAGATTTTGGGGTGATGTTGTCTGGCATCTGGTATGTAGGATGGGGCTCCTTCTTTTTTTTTTTTTTTTTTTTGGAGGCAGGGTCTCCCTCTGTCACCCAGGCTGAAGTGCAGTGGCACTATCATGGTTCACTGTAGCCTCAACCTCCAGGGGTCAAGCAATCCTCCTGCCTCAGTCTCCAGAGTAGCTGGGACAACAGCCATTCGCCACCATGCCTGGCTAACTTTTTTTTTAATTTTTTTTGTAGAGGCAGGGGTCTCATTATGTTGCCCAGGCTGGTCTCAAACTCCTGGCCTAAAGCAATCCTCCCACCTTGGCCTCCCACAGTGCTGGTATTACAGGCGTGAGCCACCACGCCTGGCCTAGTGCATTTTTTGAAAGGTTAAAGTTAGAACCTACATTGTAGAGGCACAAAACCCAGTGTCCTTTTTTATATTTTTGTTATATGAATTTTGAATTTCCAGTTGAATCAAACTATGGAAAATATATTGTATACTAAATTTATCTGTTTATATTTATATTAAAATATTATATATGTATCATATGTATATTATATATGTATAATACATATAATGTATTACATATAATATACATATGTACATATAAGGTATACATATCTACATATATATTGTTACATATAATATACATATGTACATATAAGGTATACATATCTACATATATAATATATTGTATATAATATATACAATATATTTAACCATATATATTGTACCTCTAGGTACAAGGAGAAAATAAAAGGTGACTAGATAAATTATATATACATATATAATGTGTATAGAATATACATGTAGTATACCTATATGGTACATATAATAATATATAATGTATTATATATTAATATATATACACACATATGTGTACATATGTATATATTATACAGTAATATATGTATTATATCACATATATTATGTATGTATATTTTATATGTATATATAATTTAGTTAGTCACCTTTTATTTTCTCCCTGTACCTACAGGTTTGCTCATTAATCAATAAGTAATCTAGAGATAACATTATGTTTGCTAGACCTGGTGTTTGCTCAATACTTAAAGTTTAAAGTTCTCCTTTTTTTCTTGGACTTCTAACTTCCTGAAGCAGCAGTCTCTCTCTCTCTCTCTTTTTTTTTTTTTTTCTTGAGACAGAGTTTCACTCTTGCTGCCCAGCCTGGTGTGCAATGGCGATTACCTTCCACCACCATGCCCAGCTAATTTTTGTATTTTTAGTAGAGACGGGGTTTCACCATGTTGGTCAGGCTGGTCTCGAACTCCTGACCTCATGATCTGCCCACCTCAGCCTCCCAATGCTGGGATTACAGGCGTGAGCCACTGTGCCCGGCTTCTTTTTTTTCTTTTTTTTTCTTCCTTTACGTTTTGAGCCACCTGAAGCCTGAGTTCTTTGTCTCTGGCTGACAAGAGGGAAAGTGGGAAGAGGAAAGGCGCCCTGTGTCTCCAACCAGCAGCCTCTCTGGGGACGCCCCCCACCGCGAGATAATCAGTACCTTTTTTCCTTCTTTTTTTAAGTAAAATGTGTAGAACTACTTGTAATTCTAGGTGGCTAAAATATTTTTTTTCTTTCCTCCCTCTCTCTTTGGACGTTTACCTGACAAGCTCATGGTGGCACTGAGTAGCGTCTGTTGAGAGCAGCGAACAGTCTTTGTTCCCATGTCTTGGTCCTACTGATTATCTTTTTTTTTTTCCTTTTGGAAACAGTCTCGCTCTGTCGCCCAGGCTGGAGTGCAGTGGCACAATCTCAGCTCACTGCAACCTCCGCCTCCCGGGTTCAAGCAATTCTCCTGCCTCAGCCTCCCAAGTAGCTGGGATTACAGGCACCCACCACCACACCCAGCTAATTTTTTGTATTTTCAGTAGAGACCAGGGTTCACCATGTTGGCCAGGCTGGTCTCAAACTTCTGACCTCAGGTGATCCACCTGCCTCAGCCTCCCAAAGTGCTGGGATTACAGGCATGAGCCACCGTGCCCCGCCATCTCTTTTTTTTTTTTTTTTTTTTTTGAGACAGGGTCTCATTTTGTTACCCAGGTTGGAATGCAGTTGTGTGATCACATCTCACTGCAGCCTCAATCTTCCGGGTTCAAGCAATCCTCCTGTCTCAGCCTCCTGGGTAGCTGGGATTACAAGCATGCACCACCACACCCGGCTAATTTTTTTTATTTTTCTGTACAGAGTTTCACCATGTTGCCCAAACTGGTCTCACACTCCTGGGCTCAAGCAATCCTCCAGCCTCAGCTTCCCAGAGGGCTGGGATTACAGGCATGAGCTGCCTCGCCCAGCCTGATTATCTTGATCTAGGTATTTACTTAAGAGAAATGAACATGTATACACACACAAGTTTTGAGTGTACTAATTATAATAGCTAAAAATTAAGAAGGGAGGTTATCAGATAGTGAAGGGATAAATTTTGGTATATCCATACAATGGAATCCTCTTTGGCAATAAGAAGGAATGAAATATATGTGAACTGACTTGGAAGAATTGCAACAACATTAGGATAGTGAAAAAAGTCAAATAGTAGACAATATGACTATTCCATTTATATAAAATTCTAGAAGAGGCCAGCTGGGCGCGGGTGGGAGAGGTGCTTCTAAATTCTCACGCCAGTGAGACTCATGCCTGTAATCCCAGCACTTTGGGGACCGAGGGGGGCAGATCATTTGAGGTCAGGAGTTTGAGACCATCCTGGCCAACATGGTGAAACCCCATCTCTACTAAAAATACAAAAATTAGCCGGGCATGGTGCTGCACACCTGTAATCCCAGCTACTCGGGATGCTGAGGCAGGAGAATCACTTGACTCCCAGGAGGCGGAGGTTGCAGTGAGCCAACATCATGCCACTGCTCTCCAGCCTGGGCAACAGAGCAAGACTCTGTCTCAGAAAAAAAAAAAAAGGAAGAACCTCGTGGAGGTAGAGTAGACTGACAGTTATCAGAGTGTAGGGAGGGGGCAGTGAAGAGAGGTTGGTTGATAGCTACAAAAATACAATTAGATAGAAGAAATAGGCCGGGCACAGTGGCTCATGCCTGTAATCATAGCACTTTGGGAGGCCGAGGCGGGTGGATCACCTGAAGTCAGGAATTCAAGACCAGCCTGGCCCACATGGTGAAACCTCATCTCTACTAAAATTACAAAAATTAGCCGGGTGTGGTGGCATGTGCCTGTAATCCCAGCTATTCAGGAGGCTGAGGCAGGAGAATCGCTTGAGCTCAAGAGGCGGAGGTTGCAGTGAGCCAAGACTGCGTCATTGCACTTCAGCCTGGGTGACAGAGTGAGACTCCGCCTAAAAAAAAAAAAAAAAAAAAAAAAAGGAAATTGAAAAACAGGAAGCAAAAAACAAAGTCATCCACAATCACCAGCATTTTACAGCTTGACATTCCTTCTAGGGTCCTGGGTGTAGGCAGAACATCCAATCTCATAGGACTGAGATCACACAATACGTATTATGCTTTTTCACGCATCATGAATATTTACCCATTCAAAACCTAAAGCTATGTGAGCATTTTGGTAACCAAGAATACACATCACCAACTCAATCTGTTAAGGAAAAAAAATGTAATCCTGCTTTTCTTGAGACAAAAATTTCATAGAAGACAAAAGTGGCAATAGGCATCTAGATAAAAAGCATTGGCAGAGTTCTGATTAAAAGACTGCATTCCCTTAATGCTCAATTTAAAATAAAAACGTAGACCAGACACAGTGGCTCACTTCTGTAATCCCAGCACTTTGGGAGGCTGAGGCGGGCAGATTGCTTGAGCTCACGAGTTCGAGACCAGCCTGGGCAACATAGCAAGACCCCTTCTCTACAAAAAATGCAAAAATTAGCCCAGCGGGGTGGCACACACCTGTAGTCCCAGCTACTGGGGAGGCTGAGGTGGGAGGCTCACTTGAGCCCAGGAGTTTGAGGCTGCAGTGAGCTATGATTATGCCACTGTACTACAGCCTGGGTGACAGAGCAAGACCCTGTCCCTTAAAAAGAAAAAAATAGATTTGGGGAAAAGTAGATCTTTATAGAGCCGAACACCTTTTTATTTATTTATTTATTTATTTATTTATTTATTTTGAGACAGAGTCTCGCTGTGTTGCCCAGGCTGGAGGGCAGTGGTGCGATCTCGGCTCACTGCAACCTCTACCTCCTAGATTCAAGCAATTCTCCTGCCTCAGTCTCCCAAATAGCTGGGATTACAGGCGCCCGCCACCAGGCCCAGATAATTTTTTGTATTTTTTAGTAGAGACAGGGTTTTGCCATGTTGGCCAGGCTGGTCTTGAACTCCTAACCTCAGGTGATCCACCCACCTCGGCCTCTCAAAGTACTGGGATTACAGGCATGAGCCACCACACCCAGCCTTTTTTTTGAGACAGAGTCTCACTCTGTCACCCAGGCTGGAGTGCAGTGGTGCGATCTTGGCTCACTACAGCCTCCACCTCCCAGGTTCAAGTGATTCTCCTGCCTCAGCCTCTTGAGCAGCTGGGATTACAGGCACCTGCCATCATGCCCGGCTAATTTTTGTATTTTTAGTAGAGACGGGGTTTGGTCATGTTGGCCAGGCTGGTCTCACACTCCTGACCTCAGGTGATCCACACACCTCGGCCTCCCAAATGCTGGATTACAGGCATGAGTCACCACGCCTGGCCTTAAATTCTTACTTAAATTTATTAAACTTATTCTTATTTAAATTCTTTTATTCCTCAATTCCTTTCTATAAATTTTCATTATTTTACTTTGAAATATCTGCCAGGACTTTCAAGAATCATAATTTTGGCAACCCATATGCCAGCCTTATGTGTCTCACAATTAAAGCACAATGTTTTGAGCATTGAAAAGAACCAATATGTTGATTCACACTCACAGTTGCAAAACAAACGTGTTAGGCCATTCTTGCATTGCTATAAATGCCTAAGACTGGGTGATTTATAAAGAAAAAAAGTTTATTTGGCTCACGGTTCTGCAGGCTGTACAGGAAGCACGGTGCCAGCATTTGCTTCTGGTGAGGACCTCAGGAAGCTTCCACTTACAGGGGAAGTTGAAGGGGAGCTGGCATGTCACAGGGCAAGAGAGAGAGCAAGAGAGAGTGCGGGAGGGAGGTGCCACACTCTTAAACAACCAGATCCCACTCACTATTGCAGAAACAGCACCAAGGGGTTGGCACTGAACCATTCATGAGAGATCCACCCCCATGAGCCAAATACCTCCAACCAGGGCTCATCTCCAACACTGGGGATTACATCTCGACGTGCAATCTGGAAAGGACAAACATCCAAACTATATCAACAAATGAAGGCTGGAGAAATCCAAGGACTGAAGGACATCCTGGTTATAATTCCTACATTTAAGTCACATTGAGATGTGACATAGTATTGTACAACAGAATTTTTAAATCTTATTTGCCATGCCTTAGAATCTTTTTCTTTTGAGACGGAGTCTCGCTCTATCGCCCAGGCTGGAGTGCAGTGGCACAATCTCGGCTCACTGCAACCTCTGCCACCCAGGTTCAAGCAATTTTCCTGTGTCAGCCTCCCAAATAGCTGGGATTACCAGTGCCCACCACAATGCCCAGCTAATTTTTATAATTTCAGTAGAGACAGGGTTTCACCATGTTGGCCAGGCTGGTCTCAAAATCCTGGCCTCAAGTGATCTGCCCACCTCAGCCTCCCAAAGTGCTGGGATTACAGATGTGAGCCACCTCACTCAGCCAGAATCCCTTCCAAATTAAAAATCAAACAGAAACCCCACAGAATCACATTTGTTTGGCATTGCTCTAGTAATATGTGCATCTTGGGTGCAAGCGTCTAAATTGCTAAACCTGCATCTGCAGTTTTACATTTTAAGATGCTTCCGGCCAGGCGTGGTGGCTCACGCCTGTAATCCCAGCACTTTGGGAAGCCGAGGCAGGTGGATCACTTCAGGTCAGGAGTTCGAGACTAGCCTGACCAACATAGTGAAACCCCATCTCTACTAAAAAATACAAAATTAGCCAGGTGTGGTGGCGCATGCCTGTAATCCCAGCTACTCAGGAGGCTGAGGCAGGAGAATTGCTTGAACCCGGGAGGCAGAGATTGTAGTGAGCTGAGATTGCACCATGGCACTCCATCCTGGGCAACAGGAGCAAAACTCCGTCTCAAACAAACAAAACAAACAGAAAAAAGATGCTTCCGGCTGGGTGCCGTGGCTCACACCTGTAATCCCAACACGGTGGGAGGCTGAGGCGGGAGGATCACCTGAGGTCAGGAGTTCAAGATCAGCCTGACCAACATGGCAAAACCCGATCTCTACTAAAAATACAAAAATTAGCTGGGTGTGGTGGCGGGTGCCTGTAATCCCAGCTACTTGGGAGGCTGAGGTAGGAGAATTGCTTGAACCGGGAGATGGAGGTTGCAGTGAGCTGAGATCGTGCCACTGCACTCCAGCCTGGGAGACAGTGTGAGACTCCATCTAAAAAAAAAAAGATGCTTCCATCCACTGTTCATCTCAGATTAAATGAAGACCAAGGCTAGGCACAGTGGTTCACGCCTGTAATCCCAGCACTTTGGGAGGCCCAGGTGGGTGGATCACTTGAGGTCAGGAGTTCAAGACCAGCCTGGCAAACATGGCGAACCCCCTCTCTACGAAAAACACAAAAATTAGCCGGGCGTGGTGGTGGGTGCCTGTAGTCCCAGCTACTTGAGAGGCTGAGGTAGGAGAATCACTTGAACCTGGGTGGTGGAGGCTGCAGTGAGCCAAGTGAGCCGAGATCACACCACTGCACTCCAGCCTGGGCGACAGAGCAAGACTCTGTCTCAAAAAAGTAAAAATTTTTAATATAAATAATGTGATACTTATTAACCCAGTGATTGGGACAAATCCAAATTGAGGGACATTCTACAAAGTAACTGGCCAGTGGTCTTCAAACGTGTCAAGGTCATGAAAGACAAAGAATGAGGAAGTGTCCAAAACACAGGGCACTAGTCGGGCATGGTTGCTCACGCCTGTAATCCTAGCACTTTGGGAGGCTAAGGTGGACAGATTACCTGAGGTCAGGAGTTCAAGACCAGCCTGGCCAACATGGTAAAACCCCATCTCTGCTAAATACAAAAATTAGCCAGTTGTGGTGGCAGACGCCTATAATCCCAGCTACTCAGAAGGCTGAGGCAGGAGAATCACTTGAACCCGGGAGGCGGAGGTTACAGTGAGCCAAGATCGCGCCACTGCACTCCAGCCTGGTTGCCAAAGCAAGACTCCATCTCAAAAAAAAAAAAAAAGAAAATAGAAATAATGAAAAGAATACAGATAAGGCCTCCAGGATACAGCAAAAGCAATGCTTAGAGGACAATGTATAGCATTAAAGTAATTAGGTCAATAAATAAGAATGAAAATAAATAAACAGCCAAGTGTGGTGGCGCACCTACAGACCCAGCTACCGAGGTGGGAGGATCACTTGAGCCCAGGAATTCTGAGCTATAGTGCACTATGCCAATCCAGTGTCTGCACTGAGTTTGGCATCAATGTAGGGACCTCCTGGGAGCGGGGCACCACCAGATTGTCTAAGGACGGGTGAACCTGCCCAGGTCAGAAGCAAAGCAGGTCAAAACTCCCTGCAGATCAGTAGTAGGATTGTACCTGTAAATAGCCACTGAACTCCAGTCTGGGCAACATAGCAAGAGCCCCTCTCTAAAAAATAAATAAATAAATAAAATTAATTAGAAATCCAATTCCAGAAGTTGTAAAACAAACAATAAAATAAACCTATAAACCTGAGAGAGCACATAGACGTTAATAAAGATAAGAGCGGAACTTAATAAACCGGAAAACTGGAAAACACATGAAAAGATGCTCAAATTTCCTCATAATAGAAAGTAGGCCAGGTGCGGTGGCTCATGCCTGTAATCCTAGCACTTTGGGAGGCCAAAGTGAGTGGATCACCTGAGGTCAGGAGTTCAAGACCAGACTGGCCAACATGACAAAACCCCGTCTCTACTAAAAATACAAAAATTTGCTGGACATGATGGCACATGCCTGTAATCTCAGCTACTCGGGAGACTGACACAAGAGAATCAGTTGAACCCGGGAGGCAGCGATTGCAGTGGGCAAAGATTACACTGAGCCGAGATAGCACCACTGCACTCCAGCCTGGGTGACAGGGCAAGACTCTGTCTCAAAAGAAATAGGAAAAATTAAGCTAATTAAACCCTTAATGCTTACTGAATTAAATATATTAATTTAAAAATTAATTAATTTTTAATTTTTAAAAAAATAAAGTAACTGGCCTGGTGCAGTGGCTCACGCCTGTAATCCCAGCACTTTGGGAGACCAAGGCAGGCAGATCACGAGGTCAGGAGTTCAAGACCAGCCTAGCCAACATGGTGAAACCCCGTCTCTACTAAAAATACAAAAATGAGCTGCGCATGGTGGCGCGCGTCTGTAATCCCAGCTACTCAGGAGCGCGCTTGAACCTGGGAGGCGGAGGTTGCAGTGAGCCAAGATTGTGCCACTGCACTCCAGCCTGGGTGACAGAGCAAGACTCTGTCTCAAAAATAAATAATAAATAAATAAAGTAAAGCTGTACTGAAATACCATTCACCTCTTAAATGGGACAATTTTTTTTGTTTTGTTTTTGGAGTTTGTTGAGACAGGTTCTCACTCTCTCATGCAGGCTGGAGTACAGTAGCATGATCACAGATCACTGCAGCCTCAAACTCCTGGGCTCAAGCGATCCTCCCACCTCAGCCTCCCAAGCAGCTGTGACTACAGGCACAAGCCAGCACACTCAGCAATTTTTTATTTTTTGGAGAGCTGGGAGTCTCACTATGTTGCTCATGCTGGTCTTGAACTCCTGGGCTCAAGCGATCCTCCCACCTCAGCCTCCCAAAGTGCTGGGATTACAGGCATAAGCCACCACATCCAGCCAATTTTATTTTACTTTTAAATATACTATGTTGGCAAAACTATAGGCAACCAATAACTAGTGACCCAGTAATACATGTTGAGGAATTTATCCCAGGGATATACTTGCAACACTGCAAAATTATTTGTGCACTAAGTTTGTAATAGCAAGTAACTGAAAGCAACTTAAATGCTCATCAGTAGGGGACAAATTAAATTATGTTACTTTCAACTGGGCAAGGTGGCTCATGCCTGTAATCCCAGCACTTTGGGAGGCCAAGGCGTGCAGATCACCTGAGGTCGGGAGCTCGAGACCAGCCTGACCAACATGGAGAAACCCCGTCTCTACTAAAAATAAAAAATTAGCCGAGAGTGGTGGCACATGCCTGTAATCCCAGCTACTCAGGAGGCTGAGGCAGGAGACTCGCTTGAACCTGGGAGGCGCAGGTTGTGGTGAACTGAGATCGCACCATCGCACTCCAGCCTGGGCAACAAGAGCAAAACTCCGTTTCCAAATAAATAAATAAATAAATAAAATTATGTTACTTTCATGCAATATAAAGTATGCAGCTTTTCATTAAACAGGCAAAAAATAAAGAATGAGGGCCAGGTGTGGTGGCTTATGCCTGTAATCCTAGCACTTTGGGAAGCCAAGGCAGGTGGATCACTTGAGGTCAGGAGTTCAAGACCAGCCTGGCCAATATGCAGAAACCCTGCCTCTACTAAAAATGGAAAAATTAGCCAGGTGTGGTGGCAGGCGCCTGTAATCCCAGCTACTTGGGAGGCTGAGGCAGGAGAATCGCTTGAACTCTGGGGGGCGGAGGTTACAGTGATTGGAGATCACGCCACTGCACTCCAGCCTGGGTGACAGAGCTAAACTCCGTCTAAAAAAAAAAAAAAATGAGAAAGTCTATGATGTACAAATCTGGAACTATCCTTAAGATACACTGTTAGCTAGGTTTCTTTCTTTTTTTTTTAAGTCAAGTACAGAAGAGTGTGTAAAGGATGCTACAATTATGTAAAAACATGGATTCAGGGCAGAAAAATACCTGTTGATGATATATGCATGTACCTGTTTGGGCTACAGAAAAAAATGAAGAAAAAAAGTGGGTAATATATGCAATATAGGACCACAGTTAACACTGCTTTAGGAATGAATACTGGGTCGAGGAAGGCAGGGAAGAGGAGAACTTTTCACTTTATACGTTTTCAATTTTATGAATTCACTAACTGTCCAAATAAATAAAATATAACTTTTTTTTTTTTTTTTTTAGGACAGGGTTTCCCTTTATCCCCTAGGCTGGAGTGCAGTGGCACGATCTCAGCTCACTGCAGCCTTGACTTCCTAGGCCCAAGCCATCCTCCCACCTCAGCCTCCTGAGTAGCTGGGACCACAGCCACGCACCGCCGCACCCAGCTAATTTTTGTATTTTTGGTAGAGAAGGGGGTCTCCCTATGTTGCCCAGGCTGATCTCAAACTCCTGGGCTCAAACGATCCACCCACCTCGGCCTCCCGAAGTACAGGGATTAAAGGCATGAGCCACTGTGCCTGGCCCAAAATGTAACTTAAAAAAGGATATTCCCCAGCCAGGAAATAACTTCTCCCCACTCATCTAAGATCTTTCCCCTCTCATTTCCCGCCATCACTGTTGCCTGCAGCACAGACATTTGTTAAGTGCGCCCAGGACGAGGATGGGAGGGTGTCACAACTGAATGAAAGTAGGGAAGCCAGGCGCGGTGGCTCACACCTGTAATCGATTCCAGCTACTCAGGAGGCTGAAGGCAGGAGGATCGCTCAAGCCCAGGAGTTCAAGGCCAGCCTGGGCAACATAGCGAAACCCTGTATCTATCCAAAAAAAAAAAAAATAGCCAAGCTTGGTGGCATGGGTCTGTAGTCCCAGCTACTCAGGAGGCTGAGGTGAGAGGATCCTTTGAGCCCAAGAGGTCAAGGCTACGGTGAGCTACAATCGCACCACTACACTCCAGCCTGGGTGACAGAGTGAGACCCCCATCTCTTTTTTAAAAATTAAAAATTTAAAAATAAAGGAGGAGGAGTCCCGCCCTAGATGCAGAGAGCCCCCAGATGTTCTGAGCTGATCCATTTTCTGCTGTAGCTCCCATGTGTCAATGGCCCAAAGCTTCCCAGCACAGCCCCAGCCCCGACCCTGGCCCTGCTGGGCACCTCTCTAGTGAGGAGGGGAGGAAGCACCTGCCACTGCCCACATGCCACCACTCTAGGACCCCAGGGTTCCCCACCCTCCCCTGTGGCAGAGCCCCAGTCTCTAAGTCAGTTAGGGAGAGGAAGGGTAGGGAGACAGGGCAGGCGCAGAGAGGGGCTAGGAAGTAATTGTCATCTCAATATTTAAACTCGGGCCGGGCGCAGTGGCTCATGCCTGTAATCCCAACACTTTGGGAGGCCGAGGCAGGCAGACCACAAGGTCAGGAGTTCAAGACCAGCCCGGCCAACATGGTAAAACCCCGTCTCTACTAAAAATACAAAAATGAGCTGGGTGTGGTGGCACGCGTCTGTAATCCCAGCTACTCAGGAGGCTGAGGCAGGAGATTCGCTTGAACCCGGGAGGCAGAAGTTGCAATGAGGGGAAATCGCACCACTGAACTCCAGCCTGGGCAATAGAGTGAGACTCTGTCTCAAAAAAAAAAAAAAAAGAGGAGGAAGAACTTGGGGGAGAATGGGAGGCAGAAGATAATCATCTCCCAGGAAGCACAGGGACTTGGGCAGGGACCCCCACCCCGCAACAATGCACACACCCCACACCTCTCTCCTTGGAAGGGAGGGGCCAGGAGGGCCTGAGAGACTCTACTTGATTTTCCAGAAGTTACAGGAGAGAGTCGCTGCAAAACAGCCCAGCCCATCCAGGTCAGAGTTCTCACCCAAAGTCCAAAGCCTGCAATTTACCAGCTGATGAAACGAAACAACCTCTGTATGATTACCTGTATGTTAATGCCTCTGGGCATCAGTTTCAGTTTCCCAGCTGTTAAATTGTACTAAAAATAGCCTGGGTGTGGTGGCTTATGCTCATAATCTCAGCACTTTGGGAGGCCAAGGCAGGTGGATCAGCTGAGGTCAGGAGTTGGAGACCAGCCTGGCCAACAGGGTGAAACCCCGTTACTACTCAAAATGCAAAAATTAGCTGGGCGTGATGGCATGCGCCTGTAATCCCAGCTACTCAGGAGGCTGAGACAGGAGAATCGCTTGAACCCAGGAGGTAGTGAGCCGAGATCACACCATTGTACTCCAGCCTGGGTGACAGAGTGAGACTCTATCTCAAAAAAAAAAAAAAAATTGTAATGAAAATACAGCCTACCCACTGGGGCTGGGCGCAGTGGCTCACGCCCGTAATCCCAACACTTTGCGAGGCCGAGGCGGGCGGATCACCTGAGGTCAGGAGTTCGAGACCAGCCTGGCCAACATGGTGAAACCCCGTCTCTACTTAAAATACAAAAAATTAGCCGGGCGTGGTGGTATGCACCTATAATCCCAGCTACTCGGGAGGCTGAGGCAGGAGAATCACTTGAACCCGGGAGGCAGAGGTTGCAATGAGCCAAGATCATGCCATTGCACTCCAGCCTGGGCAACAAAAGCGAGACTTCGTCTAAAAAAAAAAAAAAAAAAGGCAAAGAAAATACAGCCTACCCCATTTGAATGCTACAAGTGAGAATTAAATGAAATGATATTTAGCAAAGCATTCAGGAAGCGGCTGGCAAACAAGCTCTTCTTCCCCATACATGCTACTGTGAAAGCAACATTGGATCTGGGCTACTCTTCCACTCCACCCTGTTGTCCCCAGTGTTGTGGACATTTAAGGGATCCAGCTGACCACTGGGCCAACCTCACAGCCAGCCTGCACTGTCCCCAAGCCAGGTGGCAGAATCCCAAACCAGTCCTCCTCACTTCTGCACCAATCTTGTGTTAAATACTCAGTGTCCCTGGAAACCCCAGCCAAGGTCATCTATGGAACCTGTGCTTCCGGCACAGCTCTCACTTGGCCACTTGATACCTGCAGGGCAGCCAGGAGTGACCAGGAGCTCTCTGGGTGTCAAACATCTATAGCACCTAGTGTAACCTCACCAGCTATTTCCAAGAAGCCATTCAAGATGCACTGCTAACATTTAAACTGAAAACCGAGTCAGGGTTGGCTGGAACCTGTGAGACCAGGAACTGACAGCCAGTTGGACCAGCATGCCAGGGACCATGTCAGATGGATGTCAGGTCATACCAGGGAAGATGAGTGGCAACATGGCGTTCAATGTACTACTGGTGAATTAAATTGCATATTTCACTCCTTTCAGAAGCACTCAAGTTCATGGGCAAAAAGGAATGCCAAGAAAAGTACTGATCAGTTCTGATGGCCGGGCGCAGTGGCTCACACCTATAATCCCAGCACTTTGGGAGGCAGAGGTGGGAGGATCGCTTGAGCCCAGGAGTTCAAGACCAGCCTGGGCAACATAGCAAGACCCCGTCTCTACAAATTAATAAAATATTTAAAAATTAGCTGGGCATGGTGGTGCCACCTGTGGTCCCAGCTATTCAGAAGGCTGAAGGAGGGTTACTGCTTGAGCCCAGGACTTCAAGGCTGCAATGAGATATGATCACACCATTTCACTCCAACCCCGGGTGACAGAATGAGACCAAAAAAAAAAAAATTCTGAGCACAAGGGTATGCCACCCGCACTCCACTCTACCCCCGGCCAGAAAAGAGGCTAAACTAAGCAAAAGGTTATTTGGCGAATTGCATGGGAAATACTGTATACTCGTTAAATAAATAACAAAATTGTGAAAATAAAGTAAGACTTTGTAGAGACAAGCTATAAAAAATGTGTGAAATGCTCATAACTAGCAAGAGAGAAAAGGGTAAAAAGGATGGATAAGCCGCAAAGAGAAATCATCCTATCCTGTGTAGGATGACGTAACTTGGATCCAGCAGGAAGGCTGGCCCAACATTAAGTAGGGGACATAGGAAGGGGTGGGTAGAGGGAGGAAAGTCCTTTGTGTGGCCTCAGGCTCCCAATTCTGCCAGGTTACAATCTCGATTAATGGGGGGTTGGGCAAAGGCTCATCATTAAAGGAAGAGTTCGGCCGGATATGGTTGCTCAGGCCTGTAATCCCAGCACTTTGGGAGGCTGAGGCAGGTGGATCACTTAAGGCCAGGAGTTTGAGACCAGCCTGGCCAACATGGTGCAATCTCATCTCTACTAAAAATACAAAAAATTAACCAGGCATGGTGGTGCGCACCTGTAATCCCAGCTACTCAGGAGGCTGAGGTGGGAGAATCACTTGAACCTGGGAAGTGGAGGTTGCAGTGAGCCGAGTGCCACTGCACTCCAGCCTGGGGCGACAGAGTGAGACTCTGTCAAATAAATAAATAAATAGGAGATACTGTTCTTCAGCCCCTCCTCCTTCCTGCTGGCTGGAATGTAGATGTGATGGCTGATGTTCCAGCAGCCATTCTATGCCATGCGGTAGAAGTCACATGCTGAAGATGGTGCAGTAACAAGATACTGTGCAAGGAGCAACAGGGTTCCGTGTAAAGAAGCCTGGACCCTGACATTGAGGGCACCATGCCAACCCTGCAAGACTCATTTCTAGGTCTCTTTTTTTTTTTTTTTAAGACAGAGTCTCCCTCTGTCACCCAAGCTGGAGTGCAGTGGCGAGATCTTGGCCCACTGCAATCTCCGCCTCCCAGGTTCAAGCAATTCTTGTGCCTCAGCCTCCCAAGTAGCTAGGAGTACACGCACGCACCACCATACCAAGCTAATTTTTGTATTTTTAGTACAGACAAGGTTTTACCATGTTGCCCAGGCTGGTCTCAAACTCCTGGCCTCAAGTGATCCTCCTGCCTCAGCCTCCCAAGTAGCTAGAACTATAAGTATGCACCACCACACCCAGCTAATTATTTTTATTTTTTGTAGAGACAGGGTCTCACCACATTGGCCATGCTGGCCTCATACTCCTGGCCTCAAGTGATCCTCTCTCCTTGTCCTCCCAAAGTTCTGGGACGACAGTCACTGCACCTGGCCCAAGAAATACATTTCTATTATTTTTTTTTTTTTTTGAGACAGAGTTTCGCTCTTGTTGCCCAGGCTGGAGTACAATGGCATGATTTCCGCTCACTGCACCCTCCACCTCCTGGGTTCAAGCGATTCTCCTGCCTCAGCCTCCTGAGTAGCTGGGATTACAAGCATGGGCCACCATGCCCAGCTAATTTTTTTGTATTTTTAGTAGAGACAGGGTTTCTCCATGTTGGTCAGGCTGGTCTTGAACTCCCAACCTCAGGTGATCTGCCTGCCTCAGCCTCCCAAAATACTGGGATTACAACAGGCATGAGCCACCATGCCCGGCCTCTATTATATCTTGTTAAAGCCATTATTTGGTTTTTGGTCTCATACAGCTGAATTGAATATTAACCAATAAATAGAGGAAATAAGAATCTTTTGTGTTAGAAGATGTGGATCAAGGTCTGTAATAGAAGTGGGGTTCCCTGCCAGGCATGGCAGCTCATGCCTGTAATCCCAACACTTTGGGAGGCTGAGGCAGGAGGATCACCTGAGGTCAGGAGTTCGAGACCAGCCTGGCCAACATGGTGAAACCCCACCTCTGCTAAATATACAAAAATTAGCCAGGTGTGGTGGCAGGCGCCTCTAGTCCCAGCTACTCAGGAGGCTGGGAAAGGAGAATCCTTGAGCCCAGGAGGCAGAGGTTGCAGCGAGCTGAGATGGCATCATCTCTACACTCTAGCCTGGGCGACAGAGCGAGACTCTGTCTAAAAAAAAAAAATGGCGCTTCCTTCCAAGGTGGGAGACAGAGATAAAAGAGGGGTAGGGAAATTCTCTGAATTGGCAGAACTGGTAGTAGAAGCAAGGCTCATTCCTGGATAAACAGAAATGGTGAGAGAAGAAATGGGAAAAATCAAGGACATCCCTGCAGTGACAGCTGTGGAGGGTGGGGAGTTTACTATGCTAGACTATGTAGGGAAACGCCTCCTGGCTTGACAGGTTAGGTGCCTGTGTTGACAACGGTTGCTGAGAGCTCAAGGTGAAAAGAGGGATAGTTCCAGGAAATGATAACCCTGGTGATAAACTATCCCTGCCCTCCCTATCTTCATTGTACAGGCCTAGAAACTCGTGACGACAGAGGTTAGGTGACACCTGCGTGGCACAGTTCGTCTGGAGGGTGACAGGGGCAAGCCTTCATCACTAGCAGGGCCAAAAATCCCTAAAGCCTCAGGACTGGGGCAGGCCTCAGAGCACTCGTTCACAGTTTGTTTCCATCATTTTATTTTTTTGCGGAGAAGGGAGTCTCGCTATGTTGCCCAGGCTAGTCTCCAACTCCTGGACTGAAGCGATCCTCCTGTCTCGGCCTCCCAGAGTGCTGGGATTACAGGCACCGCACTAGGGGCCACACGCGGCCCCATCATTTTAATAATTCATAATTACCACGCTTAGAAACCTGCCTCAGATTCATTCCCCCCGCAGCAACACCCACCATCCACCCTCCTGTCCCCTCCCCCATGCACAGCCCTTACATCTGCTCTTCAGGGATCTCAACTAGGGCACATGGTCTGGCCAGTGAGGAGCCTTCAACTAGTGCGGCCAGAACGCTGAAGGCCGGATACAAGGAGCCTCGGTGTCCAGGCAGGGGATTTGGGGTTGCCTGAGATTGGGGCGGGGAAAGCCGGAGACAGTGGGCACAGATGGCGAGGGGTTCACCTCCCCAACACCCCCAACCCAGCCCAGTCTCCGAGGCCCGAGTGGCTGCTTTTTGCGCCACCTGGCGGCCGTCTCCAGCGAGCGGAGCGCGGGTGACCGTGCCTGCGGGACCCGGTTCCCGTGGGGCGAGCGGGCGTGGGGCCCGCCCAGCTTGGAGAGCCGGGAACCGCGCGGCCCAGGGACTGGCAAGACTCCGGATTCAACCCCTGCGAGGCCCCGCAACCCGGTGCCCGCGGTCCCTGGCGGCGGCGCCCGCGTGCCCGAGGCGCTGCGGGGCGCTGCGGGGCGCGCGGCGGTTAGAGCGAGCGTGTGCGCACGCGCCCACCCCACGCCGCGCCCCGCACCGCCGCGCGCGCGCACGCACGCCCGACGCTGGCCTGCGCCGGCCGCTCTCCCACGCGGGGTCTCGGGGGCTCCTGAGCCGGCCGCCTCCAGGAAGCAGGCGCCGCGCGGTATTGCCGCATGCACCTCGGTCGTGGGGACCCCGCTGCAGCAGCCCTGTCCACACGGGTGAACTCCTGGAGGGCGGGGCGGGGGGCAATCTGCGCGGGTCAGGCCCCTCGGAGCAGGCTGGGGGCGCCCGAGCCAGGCCGCTCCCACCTGCCAGCCGCGTGGCCAATGAATGCTAGGCCTGGTGATGTCATGCCCCGACCGGACCCTGGTGACGAAAGTCCGAAGTCACCCGTCAGGGAACCAGCACAGACCCACCCGCGGGGGTTCCAGAAGTTTCCACTGCCGCCGCGGAGTGCGGCCTCGCCCAGCAGCCTTGCGCGTGCTACCACGCTGTCCTGCCTTCTCAGGTGTCCCAAGTCACCCCTTCCTCCCCCAGGGGTCTCCTGTCTCCATGCCCTCCCACCTCATTTCCACTAGCGATCCCATTTTACATCTCCATTCCCACAGGTGTCCTTTCATCCCCAGGAGTGTCCCACGTCACCTTTTCTGCACCCGTGCCACCTGGACCCCTAAGGGGACGGTACTCTGCCACACTCCCACATGCCTCTCCTCCCATGCCACCCGTCTGTGTCGTGGCCGGGGATGCATGACCCCTTGGCCTTGCGCTAACTTCACCAGCCTCGAGCGAGACCGACAGGGTGTCCAAGTGTGTCCGTCCGTCTGTGAAAGTCGTCCCTGCGTTTGTCTGTGCCTGTCACTGCATGAGGTCGTCCGTCTGCGCGTGTCTGTCTCCACGGGCTTCTGTCCGTCTGTCTGTCACGTGGGTGTCTACTCCGCCGCTGCAGGTCTTTGGGTCGCGTCTGTCACTGCGCTCTGTCGTCGGTCGGCGTCTGGCACTGGAGTGCGTCTGGGCCCCGGGGTCTCCGGGTCTCGGCTCCAAGGGAGGGAGAGAGAGGGGAGGTGGCCACCCGGGAGAGCGGGGAGGGGCGGGGGCGGAGACAGTGGGCGGGGGCGGGCGGGGGCGCTGTGAGGCCCGGAGGGGGTGTGTGCGGGGGGCCGGAGGCGGCGGCTGTCAGAGTCGGCTCAGCCTGCGCCGGGGAACATCGGCCGCCTCCAGCTCCCGGCGCGGCCCGGCCCGGCCCGGCTCGGCCGCCTCAGGTGAGTCTCCCTCCCCGCCCGGGACTCTCCTTAAGGCCCGGGTCCGGGGCACCGTGCGCTCCCCGAGGGGTCCAGGCCCCCCTAACGGGACGGCTCCCGCTTCCCCGGGCCTGCCCCGCGCCGCCCTCCGCTGCCCCGCACTCGTCCGGAACTCTTCCCCGGCCGCCTCACACTCACCGACGCCCACGCAGGAGCCCGAGCCCGCGGGAACGGCCGCCGCCTCTGCGCTCCGATTCCCGCGGGGACCCCCGAGCACCCCTTCCCCGATCGCTCCCTAGTCCGGGGCCACTGGAAGACACCCCCTAATTGGGGCGGTACCCGAGCTGCGCAGGTTCCCGGCGCCGGGCTGGGCACCCCCATCCCCAGGGCCACAAGCCAGCGCCCCTGCGCAGCGCCCCGCAGAGGCCCCCTCCGAGGCCCAGGACGCCCCCTCCCGCGGAGACTCCATCTCTATTTTTTGGGAAGGGGAGGCTCGGCGGAAGCCCCGAGTTATAATTAGCGCCACTCGGGTTTCCTAGTTAATCTCCAGCAGCACCACCACCCCCCGCTCAGGGCGGCGGGGGCTGGGCTAGGAGTGACCGGCGGGAGAGGGGGGAGTTCCCACCCGGGGAATTTTGATCCTTTGGCTGGAGATGCCGGAACCGTAGCAGCTGCTGCCCCCAAAATAGCGCCCCCGCCCCTGCAGCCGGGGATCTCCGGAGTCCCGGGAACGCAGGCGTCCCGGCTCGCCCTTCAGGCGGCTCTGCAAGGCCCTCGAGCCCCCAGGCCCCCTCCCCAAGTTCCCGGCTCCTGGCTCGGGGCGGGGAGCGCCGACCTTTTCTCGGTCTCTACTGCCCTCCGCCGGCGGCGGCGTGCACGGCAGCTTCAGACGGATGGGGGGCTCTCGAGTCCTGGGGGACGCGGGCTGGCGAGCCTGTTTGCTGGGGCTGGGCTGGGAGCGTGCGCAGCTGATGGGAACCCGCGGGCATCAGCGCTCGGTGCCAGACATTGGATGAGAAGGGGCAGGGTTGGGTGGGGAGTGGACTAGGCAGGATTTGGGGGACCCCGGGACCTGAGGCTTCCACACCCTGAATGCCCAGCCCACCGCCCCCCAGGGCCCCGGGTCTGGCCGACCCAGGAGAGCGGGGCTGCGCTTCAGGCCGCCGCAAGCTCCCCCAGCGGCGCTGCCCGTCCGTGAGGCCGCGCCCTGTCGGGTGGCCTGTTCGTGGACTGAGGCTTCTGGTGCCCTCACTGCACGAGCTGGGCCCGGCCCAGTTCCGGGAAGAGGTGAGGGCAGTGGACCCCTGCGGAGCAGAGAGGGTGCTCCTCTCTGTTCCCTGCATTTGTCTGGATATGGGTGTCTGCCTGATCTCTTTCCCCTCCTGCCCGCTGGCCTGTGTCCTTGTCTCTGCCTGTCTCCTTCCCTCCCTCCCTCTCTCCCCTCATCTTTGCCAACCTGCCCCACCTCCTCTGCAGCTGAGCGATAACCCTTGGGCCGACAGTGCCCTAATCTCCTCCCTCCTGGCTTCTCGACCGACCCTTCACCCTTTCCCTTTCTTTCTCCCAGCAGACGCCGCCTGCCCTGCAGCCATGAGGCCCCCGCAGTGTCTGCTGCACACGCCTTCCCTGGCTTCCCCACTCCTTCTCCTCCTCCTCTGGCTCCTGGGTGGAGGAGTGGGGGCTGAGGGCCGGGAGGATGCAGAGCTGCTGGTGACGGTGCGTGGGGGCCGGCTGCGGGGCATTCGCCTGAAGACCCCCGGGGGCCCTGTCTCTGCTTTCCTGGGCATCCCCTTTGCGGAGCCACCCATGGGACCCCGTCGCTTTCTGCCACCGGAGCCCAAGCAGCCTTGGTCAGGGGTGGTAGACGCTACAACCTTCCAGAGTGTCTGCTACCAATATGTGGACACCCTATACCCAGGTTTTGAGGGCACCGAGATGTGGAACCCCAACCGTGAGCTGAGCGAGGACTGCCTGTACCTCAACGTGTGGACACCATACCCCCGGCCTACATCCCCCACCCCTGTCCTCGTCTGGATCTATGGGGGTGGCTTCTACAGTGGGGCCTCCTCCTTGGACGTGTACGATGGCCGCTTCTTGGTACAGGCCGAGAGGACTGTGCTGGTGTCCATGAACTACCGGGTGGGAGCCTTTGGCTTCCTGGCCCTGCCGGGGAGCCGAGAGGCCCCGGGCAATGTGGGTCTCCTGGATCAGAGGCTGGCCCTGCAGTGGGTGCAGGAGAACGTGGCAGCCTTCGGGGGTGACCCGACATCAGTGACGCTGTTTGGGGAGAGCGCGGGAGCCGCCTCGGTGGGCATGCACCTGCTGTCCCCGCCCAGCCGGGGCCTGTTCCACAGGGCCGTGCTGCAGAGCGGTGCCCCCAATGGACCCTGGGCCACGGTGGGCATGGGAGAGGCCCGTCGCAGGGCCACGCAGCTGGCCCACCTTGTGGGCTGTCCTCCAGGCGGCACTGGTGGGAATGACACAGAGCTGGTAGCCTGCCTTCGGACACGACCAGCGCAGGTCCTGGTGAACCACGAATGGCACGTGCTGCCTCAAGAAAGCGTCTTCCGGTTCTCCTTCGTGCCTGTGGTAGATGGAGACTTCCTCAGTGACACCCCAGAGGCCCTCATCAACGCGGGAGACTTCCACGGCCTGCAGGTAACTAGTGGCTAGCTGGCGTGAAGCTGGCTCCTCTGGGTCCCAACGGTCCCTCCCCTCCCTGCAGGGACCCAGGCATGAGGGCTTCTCCAGGCCCATTCCCAGAAGTCCCAGAAGTCCTCCCTGAGGGCTCAGATCCCAGGGTGGTCAGCAGGGCAGACAGGAAAGCCACCATGGGTCTATTTTCTCTTTCTCTGCATCCCTCCCCTGATCTCGTCCTCTCTCTGTCCATGGTTCCGGGTCTGTAACTGTTCATCTCTCTGGCTCTTTGTCTGTCCATCTGTTTCTGTCTACTTGTCTGTCTGTGCCTGTCGCTCCATCCCACCCCCCTCTCCCTCACCCCCAGGTGCTGGTGGGTGTGGTGAAGGATGAGGGCTCGTATTTTCTGGTTTACGGGGCCCCAGGCTTCAGCAAAGACAACGAGTCTCTCATCAGCCGGGCCGAGTTCCTGGCCGGGGTGCGGGTCGGGGTTCCCCAGGTAAGTGACCTGGCAGCCGAGGCTGTGGTCCTGCATTACACAGACTGGCTGCATCCCGAGGACCCGGCACGCCTGAGGGAGGCCCTGAGCGATGTGGTGGGCGACCACAATGTCGTGTGCCCCGTGGCCCAGCTGGCTGGGCGACTGGCTGCCCAGGGTGCCCGGGTCTACGCCTACGTCTTTGAACACCGTGCTTCCACGCTCTCCTGGCCCCTGTGGATGGGGGTGCCCCACGGCTACGAGATCGAGTTCATCTTTGGGATCCCCCTGGACCCCTCTCGAAACTACACGGCAGAGGAGAAAATCTTCGCCCAGCGACTGATGCGATACTGGGCCAACTTTGCCCGCACAGGGTCAGCAGTGCAGAGGGAGAGAAGGCTGGGGAGGACAGGAGTCGGGGGCGGGAGGACACACAAAGGCAGACACACGGAGACAGAAAGGACGGGTGGGACAGGGGCAGGATAGAACAGCCAGAGAGGGATATGCTCACAAAGTAGATAAAAGGGGAGAGAAAAAGAAAGGAGACAGAGAAGGCAGAGGGGGTCTTGCAGAGACAGAGGCAAAGGAAAGTGAGGAGGAGACGAGGTAGACATGGAGGGGGCGGGGCACAGTGGCTCACCCCTGTAATTCCAGCCCTTTGGGAGGCCAAGGTGGGAGGATCCCCTGAGGCCAGGAGTTTGAGACCAGACTGGACAACATAACAAGACCCCGACTCTTAAAAAGAAAAAAAATACAAAACTTAGCCAGGCACGGTGGCTCGTGCCTCTAGTCCCAGCTACTTGGGAAGGTGAGGCAGGAGGATTGCTTGAGCCTGGGAGGTTGAGGCTGCAGTGAGCTATGATGGCACCACTGCACTCCAGCCTGAGTGGCCCTATCTCTGGAAAAAAAAAAAAAAAAAAAAAAGGGAGACCAAGACAAAGGAGTTGGAGCTGGATTAAGTCAAACCAGTGATGATTCACTAGCAGTGACACATTCTCTCACACACACACCAGTTTACCTGGATCGAGAAGAGGACAATGAAATCTAGCATTGGATGGGTGTTGTTAAAAAATGTGATGTTTGTAGACATAGGACCCGTCCTGGTTATTTAGGAAAGTCTCAAGACATCCTAGCCATTTTTTTAGTGAGAGAAACAAAGATGGAACAGAAAAGCTGAGGGAAACGGAAGGAGACGGAGCGCTTGAGGAAGGGAAGACCCCAATGACCGCGCACATTGGAGAAAGTGGTGGGAGGGAGGGGACGGGTTCTCTGGGGCTCTCCGCTGAGCTGAAGAGTCCGGGATCCCGTGGAGTTGGGGGCCACCTCCTCCCACTGCCCGTCTGGACTGAGCCTTCCCTTCCTTCCGCAGGGATCCCAATGAGCCCCGAGACCCCAAGGCCCCACAATGGCCCCCGTACACGGCGGGGGCTCAGCAGTACGTTAGTCTGGACCTGCGGCCGCTGGAGGTGCGGCGGGGGCTGCGCGCCCAGGCCTGCGCCTTCTGGAACCGCTTCCTCCCCAAATTGCTCAGCGCCACCGGTATGCAGGGGCCAGCGGGCAGCGGCTGGGAGGAGGGGAGTGGGAGCCCGCCAGGTGTAACCCCTCTCTTCTCCCCCTAGCCTCGGAGGCTCCCAGCACCTGCCCAGGCTTCACCCATGGGGAGGCTGCTCCGAGGCCCGGCCTCCCCCTGCCCCTCCTCCTCCTCCACCAGCTTCTCCTCCTCTTCCTCTCCCACCTCCGGCGGCTGTGAACACGGCCTCTTCCCCTACGGCCACAGGGGCCCCTCCTCTAATGAGTGGTCGGACCGTGGGGAAGGGCCCCACTCAGGGATCTCAGACCTAGTGCTCCCTTCCTCCTCAAACCGAGAGACTCACACTGGACAGGGCAGGAGGAGGGGGCCGTGCCTCCCACCCTTCTCAGGGACCCCCACGCCTTTGTTGTTTGAATGGAAATGGAAAAGCCAGTATTCTTTTATAAAATTATCTTTTGGAACCTGAGCCTGACATTGGGGGGAAGTGGGAGGCCCCGGACGGGGTAGCACCCCCCATTGGGGCTATAACGGTCAACCATTTCTGTCTCTTCTTTTTCCCCCAACCTCCCCCTCCTGTCCCCTCTGTTCCCGTCTTCCGGTCATTCTTTTCTCCTCCTCTCTCCTTCCTGCTGTCCTTCTCCGGCCCCGCCTCTGCCCTCATCCTCCCTCTCGTCTTTCGCACATTCTCCTGATCCTCTTGCCACCGTCCCACGTGGTCGCCTGCATTTCTCCGTGCGTCCTCCCTGCACTCATACCCCCCCTTCAACCCGCCCAAATGTCCGATCCCCGACCTTCCTCGTGCCGTCCTCCCCTCCCGCCTCGCTGGGCGCCCTGGCCGCAGACACGCTCGACGAGGCGGAGCGCCAGTGGAAGGCCGAGTTCCACCGCTGGAGCTCCTACATGGTGCACTGGAAGAACCAGTTCGACCACTACAGCAAGCAGGATCGCTGCTCAGACCTGTGACCCCGGCGGGACCCCCATGTCCTCCGCTCCGCCCGGCCCCCTAGCTGTATATACTATTTATTTCAGGGCTGGGCTATAACACAGACGAGCCCCAGACTCTGCCCATCCCCACCCCACCCCGACGTCCCCCGGGGCTCCCGGTCCTCTGCATGTCTCAGGCTGAGCTCCCTCCCCCGCGGTGCCTTCGCCCCTCTGGGCTGCCAATAAACTGTTACAGCCACGGGAGTGTGCGCGACTAGGGAGCCAGGGGTAGAGGCAGAACGCCGGAATCACGGGGGCCGAGTCTATGCAGGAGCGGGGCTGGAGGGCAAGAAACAGGCGAGCTCCGAGGCGGGCGCAAGGCAAAGGCCAACCCCTAGCCCTGCCCTGCCGGGCGGAGCTCGCGCCTGCGTAATGAGGCCCGCAGGCAGGCTAGCTGGCACGGCGGAGGGGAGGAGAGGGGAGGGGAGGGGAGGGGAGGGGAGGGGAGGGGCGGGGCGGGGCGGGGCGCGGCGGAGCATTGTGGGAGCTCCTCGGTCGGTGCCGGTCGGTGGCTGCCTATTGCGGCCTGCGGTGATCAACGAGGCCCGGGGAGCGCGTCCCCAGTCTGCGCGCCGGTCCTGCGGCAGCTGGCCCAAGACCCGGAGCCGAAAGGAAGTGTTGGAGCCTGAGGTCGCTCCGCGCCGCTAGGAGGACGCTGTGCCTGGCCTGGGACCTCCGCTCCCGCCCACCGCCCTGGAGCCGCTGAGGGACGTCCACGTGGGCCTGTCCCCGCCGAGCCGCGGCCCTGTCCGCCTGGCGCTGCTCTCGGGCCACTACCTCTACTACCACTACGGCTGCGACGGCCTGGACGACCGCGGCTGGGGCTGCGGCTACCGCACTCTGCAGACGCTGTGCTCGTGGCCAGAGGGCCAGCCCGCGGGCGTACCTGGACTGGCCGCCGTACAGGCGGCCCTGGAGGACATGGGCGACAAGCCCCCCGGCTTCCGGGGCTCCCGGGACTGGATCGGCTGCGTGGAGGCCAGCCTCTGCCTCGCTCACTTCGGAGGGCCCCAGGGACGCCTCTGCCACGTACCCCGGGGAGTGGGGCTGCACGGGGAGCTGGAGAGGCTTTACTCGCACTTCGCAGGGGGTGGGGGCCCAGTCATGGTTGGGGGGGACGCAGATGCCAGGTCCAAGGCCTTGCTGGGAGTCTGCGTAGGGTCAGGCACGGAAGCCTATGTCCTGGTATTGGACCCTCACTACTGGGGCACTCCAAAAAGCCCCAGTGAACTACAGGCTGCTGGGTGGGTGGGCTGGCAAGAGGTGAGTGCAGCCTTTGACCCCAACTCCTTCTACAACCTGTGCTTGACCAGCCTTAGCTCCCAACAGCAGCAGCGCACCTTGGACTGAGGACGAAGTTACAGAACTGAGATTCTCGGGTCCCAGACACGCACCTATGTACCTCCCACTGGTGTCCCTGCAAAGCCTGGCGCTTTTGACATCAATAATAAAAGTGGCAGGGCTGAGCAACACCTCAGGAGTTACTCTGGAAGGATGGAGGAGTTATGTAACACACGAGAGTCAGGAGCCCTGTGGAAGTGCTTTTATTAGCAGTAAGGCTGATCGTACAAAAAATTCTCAGAGCTTCATAGGACAAGGTAGTACAAGTATGGATGATACAGGACTGAGGAACGGGGGACGGCTCAAAAGAAATCAACATCGTCTGGGGCATCCAGGTCCCGATATTCCACAATGGCCCTTGGGTCTCCACGAACCATCCTGTGAGGTGAGAGGTACAGGATGAGAGCTGAGGGCTCCCAAAAGGGAGTCTGCAGGCGGCAACAAAGCTTGGGCGTCTGCCCTCCTCACCTGTTGCGAGGTTTCCCAGGATAACCTCCCTGGCCTCGGAAGGCATCATAGTTCCCTCGACCAGCACCATACGGGGCATGGGGGTATGGAGGGCCTCCTGTGGGGACTGCAGGGCGGACAGCACCAGCTATGACAGAGATCAGTGTTGAGTTGCAAAACTATGTCCTCAATTCCATCCTCTGTTTTCTTCTCCCAAAGCCACACACTCACCAAGCCCCTTCATCTCCCTCCTGTACTTACCTCCATAGCCCAAGATCGGGGGCCGGGGCTGACCATAGGGCATCAGGCCCTGGGGAGTCTGGTGTGGGTAGGGGAGTCCTGGGGTCAAACCTGGGGGGAGTACAACACGGACAGGGACATGAATTACTGCGGGGGCGGGGAGGGGGATACGGGTACAATTGACTTCTAGGGCTATGGCCTGAGGATGGGGCAGAAACTTCTCGGGGTGACACGTTAAAGAGAAACAGGAGTCCCTGGGTAGTCAAGGAAGAGGGCACATGCGACCTTCATGGATCGTATCTTACTCTGGGCGGGGCCAGGTGGCTGGGCTGGCTTGATCTCAGGCAGAGCTGGGCGCTTAGCATCAGTGAGGAAGTTGTTAAAAAACGCGACTTCCTTTTTCACTTCCTCAATTTTCTCTGCATGCTTGTTGAAGATATGTTTGCGCACAAACTCAGGACCCTGGGTGGAGAGAGGAGAGGGGTCAGGACAGCCACATAAGGGTTGCCTCGCTCCCAGGCCCGAGCTGGAAGGATTCCCAGCTCCCGCCTGCCAGTGCAGTAAGCAGTTCCCCCACCCCTGCCCAGGGGGCTTCCTGTCTCAACCCCACCTCCCACCACCGTAGCACGGCCATTCTCCAACATCCCACACCTTGAATTTCTTGCCACTGAGAGGACACAGCCACTTATCCTTGCCCAGTTCCTGCGTGTTGGAGGTGACGAACTTCTCCACTTCCTGCTCTGGGTCTTTGCGCCCCATCTTCTGGGCCTCTTCCTCTGAGAGTGACTCCCGCACACTCAGCAACGGCGTGAGCTTCTCCTCAAAAGTCTTCTGCCACTCCAGCACTGTGGTTTGGGAACAGAGGAAGGAAGGTTGGCAAGGGAGCCAGAAGGAAGGATGGTGGCAAGGGGCTGGAGGACCAAGGCCAGGGGCAGCCGGGAACAAAGGGGAACCTGGAGCTCACCTTCCCCGTGACTGATGCGGTTGGGTGGCATGGGCCCCCGAACGTGGATGATCCCACAGCGATTGGGCATCTCGTCCTCGTTGGGGTACTCACAGGTGTTGTAATAATCCAAGGAATGCACGATGCGCAGGTAAAGGAGGAGCTTGTCCAAGACCTAAGGGAAGTGAATGCGAGCGTTCAGCTCCTGCCCTCACCGCCCGAGCCCCCACGTGCCCCGCGCTGCCACTGGCACCTTAATCAACTTCTCATCCCGCTCCACGTTGATCTCTGCCGGGTTCCCTTCCTTAGGAGGCTCCTCAGGAGGAGCGCCCCCGCTGCTCCCCAGCAGCTCCTCCTCCTCGGCGCTTACTTCCTCGATCAGGTAGTCGGTGATATTCTTCAAGATCGGGTTTTGCGAGGGCAGGCTCTGATGGGAGGAAGAGAAGCAAGTAAGGCAGAGAAGACCTTCAGAGGAGGTAACCTGAGACTTTCCACAAGTGAAAGAGCAGCGAGGGGACAGGAGTTCACCGGACATAAATGGCACCTTTTGCCCCCTTGAGATTTGTCTTTATTTTAGCTTTTGTTCCACCCCAGCCACAAATGATCACTAGCATCCCCCCAGTTCTGCTGGAATCTGGAGGTGCTGCTACCCACACACGAAGGGGCAAATGAGTGAGCAGGCGAGTGGGTGCAAGGGTTCAAGGCTACAGATAGGTAAGGTCAGAGGTGCCCACAGCAGAGGCACTACCAGTTGCTTCTGACAAAGTCCTTTGGGGAGTCACTGACCGTGGGCAGGGGAGGCGTCCCTGGTTCTGAGGCCCAAAGCTGTGTCCTGTCATCCAGCGTGTGGATCAGCTTGGCCGCCAGCTTGATGTCGTTGCGCACAATCTGCTTGTGCTGGGTGATGCCGTTGATGTTGCGAACGCGCCGGGTCAGGTCCCTGTTCACACCAGGGCTCAGCTCACACTCCCGGAGCTGGAGGGCAGACATCATCAGCAGCTTACCCCACTTACCCCGCTTGCCAGAGAAACAGCAGCTCTAAGACCCTTCCCTCTTGAGCACCAGCGATTGATCAGACTGCGAGCTCCCTGGGGACGGGGACCACATAGGTTCCGTCCATGCTAACGCCCTAGAGCCTTGCCCAGAGACAACGTAGCCAGACAAAACGGTCAAAGAGTGTGCAGAACAACCAAACTATCAGATGAACAAAGTCACACAGAGGTCCCGTGTGGCACAGAGTCTCCCTTCCTCTTCCCCACAGTCCCACCCCCAGCACTCACACGGATGTTCTGCAGGTTCCAACAGATCTCTTTAATGTTAACACTGCGGTCGAAGGTCACCCAGCCACGACGGAAAAACCTACACAAGAAAGAAAATGTTAGCATAGTCAAGCGAGGGAGTTGGTGTTGGCCATTAACGTTCCCCTGCACTTTTCCCTCCAACGCACCGAGTTACTCACCTCCTCTCTGGCTGGGGCTCTGAGAGCGCCACCCGCATAAAGCCTGGGTACCTTTTACAAAGCTGCAAGAAGCAGAAAAGCAGCCCCACAGTGACTCAAGGATTCATTCGCTTCTTCCTCCAATCCCCCACTGCCCTCAGAACCCTAGGGACTAACTGCCTTATCACTCTTCCCATCCTTGGGCAGGGAAAAACCACTAAAGGGCTTCAGAACACCAGCACCTGAAAGCCAATGGCGCTATCAGGACTAGTCCTCGGAGGCCATGGAACCTGGGGAAGGGGCCTCCCTAGCAGGTGAAACGGGGGCATCTGTCACAGGCAGGGCCCCACTGCCTTCCCTCTACCCTCCACTTCTCCATCAGCCCTGCCCTGACTCCACGGGTCCCCACTCACGGAGATGATCTCGGCCCGGGAGATGTTGGGCGCGATGTTGCGCATGAAGAGGGAGCAGGTCTTATGCAGCGGCCGCGGCTTGCACTCCAGCCCCGCGGCGTCCTTGGGCTTCTCCCATTCTTCTTCCTTGGGCTTCTCCTTCTCCTTGAGCGCTTCTTCTAGGCAGGAAGGGGGGTAGGAAGGAGTTGGTGCATTTTTATTACTGATTGTGGTGGGGAGGATACAGAAGCTTTCCCCTAAAAGCCACCCACCCTCCCGTCAATGTCGCCAACCTCTCACCTCCCCACCCGCATTAGGAGAACGCACTTTAAAGCAGAAAAGAAACCCTACCGGCCTCCTCCTTCTCCTCCTCAGCCTGGCCGCTCTCTGACTCCGACTCAGACTCTGACACGCTGCCCTCGTCAAAGCTGTCGTCACCACTGTGCTTCCGGTTCCGCTTCTTGCTACTCTGTGTGAGCCACAGCAGAGGGGACAAGTCAGCGTGCCAGAACCCCAGCCCCAACACTCTGACCCCAGGCCACAGACACCTCACCTTTTTGGCTTCCTTCTCGGAGTCTTCTTTCTTCTCTTCCTTGTCCCCATCACCCTCCGACTTCTTTGTTTTGTCATCATTAGAACTGTCATTCTCAGCCTATGGTAAGAGACAACCACTGGGGATGTCAAACCTCCCCTCCCACCTTTATCAGAGGGCCCCCACCCCCACAGCTGAGGCCACAGGTTCATTTTCCCCAGCCCCCTACTTCTAGCTCCTATGGACCCCTACCCGCCCCCCTCCCCCAGGCTGCCAGGGACAACACTAGGAGACCCAGGGCTCGGACCTGCTTGCCGTCTTCCTTCTTCTCATCCTTGTCGTTGGTTTTGCGCTCCCCGTCCCCTAGGCCTGCTCCAGCCCGTCCTTCTTCTTTCTTGCTGGGCTCCCCAGGCTTTCCTGCCTGCTCCTCCTCCTCCTCCTGCTCCAGGATGCGAAGATCATTCTCCGTGCCTCCTTCCATCTTAATCACGGCTACCAACAAAGGGAACAGAGGTCATGACCCCAGGGCCCTGGCTCCTGTCAACCGGCTTCTACCTGATCCCCAGACACCCCCACCCCCATGGGGCCCAGATGCCTGCCACCCCTCCAAATCCGCACACCTGCATCCAGCATCTTGACAATGGCATCAGCTTTGTCTATGTCCAGGAGAAGGTTATCAAACCAGCCAGTCTCCATGAGGGACAGGAAGACCCTCAGTCGGTTTTGCAGGGCCCCCCGGGCCTCCTGCCGACGCTTCCCCACCTCATCTGGGTGGTACTTAGACCGAAACCTGGGAACGAAGCGGGGGAGGGAAAGACAAAACAGTTATTGGAAGCCAAGGCCAGGATGTGGGAAGGGGCCCAGGAAAGACAGGGCATATCCCCCTTCCTCTCACAACCACAAAAGGTCATCAAAATAGAGAGATTAAGGGATAGGGGTGCGCTAGAACCACCCAACACCCCAAAAGGAACCAGAAGTTGTGTTCTGTGAAGATTTGGGGGAGAACCAGGAACTAAGAGCTCTGGATTTGGGAAGACCAATGACTACAGGGGGACGCCAGGGTAGGAGAGGCAGATTTACCACTTTAAATCTCTGGGAAACACTAACGTAGTAAAAAGGTGTCATTTCCCAAAGCTTCAGAGAGGAAGGCTCAGGAAATAGCAGGCCCTGAAGAACCTCCCTCTCCTCACCAACCCCAAACTGCAGTCATTCAAAAACTGCTCCCGCCAACTCCCTCCACCCCGAGGTGGAAGACAGAGGGCCAGATAGCAAAAGCCCAGAGGCAGGGCACCTTTCTCCACCCGTGGGAAGATAAGCAAGACGGTGAAGGGACAGGAAAGACCGAAGGGAGACACTGGAGTGCCCTTTAGAGCCTCAGGTCCTGCCCACAGGGGGAGAGAGAGGAGAGGGCTGGAAGGTTAGGGAGAAGAAAAATAAAACATTTCAAATAGGACCTCAGAGGGAAAACAGAAGAAATGAGGAGTATGAGGAAAAGGGGAAAGGGAGGAAAGGGGAGAGTGTGAGAAAGTCCCAGAAACCGAAAACAAAGGGAAAAACTAAAGATCAGAGAGAGAAACTAAAAAAACCAACAGGGAAGAAGGTGGTGTTAGGCAGGGAGCAAGAACAGAAACAGAGAAGAATGAAGGTGCTGAGAGATTAGGACAAAGACACAGAGCAATTCGAGAGAGGGGACAGCGAAGACAGAACAGAACCACGAGTGGGGCAGAAGAGGAAAGGAAAGCCGCAGGCATCACCTCCAGGATCTTTACCTTGGCCGCTTGGTCAAACAGAGCTCAAGATTTAACTAGCGGCGCCCAGGGCCCATGCTGGCTGGTGGGCCACCGGCTGGCTCCTGGCTGGGCGCCCGGCCGAGATGCCCACGCGGGACTCCGCAGTGGGGCCTGACTGGCTAGCTGCCTGAGCAATCACATTCAGCTAAACCGCTGCATTGTGCACAGCAGTGCCCTGGCCTGTCTGCCTGGCCGGGGCCGCGCAGCTCAGCCCAGGGGCTCATGTATGGGCTGGGTATGGTGGGGGTGGAGGTGGGTTTGCTCCGAGCTCCGTCGATGAGCGGGTGTAGTTCCCAGTTCTGGCTCTTTTCAAGGAGGAGGAGCAGAAAGAGGATGAGGAGGAGGAGGAGCAGGAAGGGGGGAAAAGATGGTTGATTAAAATTAAAACATCCACAAAAGGAAAAAAAAATTAAAATTCTTTTTCTGTCAAACGACCGAGATCTTTGCTTTTCTTGTCTGGATTCACTCGTCGCTTTAGGAGGACGCCACAGCCACACAGGGTCCTGGTGATCAGGGATGACAATGACCCAACACCAACAAGTGGGAAGCAGTCTGTCTGCTGCCCCAAGGGGCCAAGTGGCTCTGGCCTGCTGCCTGGAGGTGTCCCACTCTCTGAGGACAGCAGGACAGGAGACAGGGCGGGGCGGGGGCCGTGGCAGTTGCTGAAGTGAGGGGGAGACCCCATCAGCCAATGCTGTCATACTTCCCGACCCCCGCCCCCAGAAAGTTCTGGACAGGGAAAACTGGGAAGAGGACAGGGCTGTGGCTCCACCAGCGGGGCCAGGGGGACATGCCAGGGCAGAGGTCCAGGGAAGTAGGGGCACTCACCACTCCTCATCTTTGTGCGCCAGGAAGAAATCCTGCATCTGTTGCCTCCGGAAATCCAGCTTGTAGTCATTATAGCGCTTGACGGCCTCCGTCTCATCCACCGAGTCATCCAGGGAGAGGAGAAACTCCTTGAAGGTCTTCATCACGGGCGGCGGCACACCCAGGTCAATCTCTGCAATGCTGCCCAGCCTGGAGGGGACCCCGGTCAGGAAGGCTTGGTTTTTGGGGAACGGTGGGAGGCTACAGGGGCCAAAGTAGCTGGGGCCCCTTTACTTTGTCCACCATGGACATCACCCCAAACCCCAACAGCTACCACCCCTACCCCAGGGACATGCCTCTGTGTGCCTGACCCGCTCCCTGGCTTCAGCCATGGCCTTCAGCAACCCCATCCATCCCCCAGGCCTACCAACCCTCTTCTGAGAAGCCCCACCCTTACCTGGCCTGGATAGGCAGGACATGGTGCTGCATGATGTGGACGTCAGGGTGGCCCCAGGGCTGAGGGGGGCCATAAGTTGGGCCCCCACCCCCCCCAGCATAGGGCATCTCATAGCCACTGTGGTATGGGTCAGAGCTGTGCTCATCCCTGAAGGTGGGGGACACAAAAGTAAAGCAGAGAAGGGAGTCACCTCCCCAGAGCATGGAGGATGGACAGACGGGGGTACACACAGCATGGTCTCCCAGACAAGGGTTTCAAGGGACAAAGTAACGATGGGTGATGGGAAGTTGAGAAAAGGAAATGACAAAGATTTAGGCACAGGTGAGGGGAGAAAGGGGAGGCCCAGGTGGAACTGAGGCAAAGGGGAGGAGAGGGAAACCGCTCCATCTCACCAGTCTCTCCTCATGCGCTTCTGTGGCGGGCTGAGTTCGTGGCGAGGTGGCGAGAAGCGCTCTCGCCGATTCCGGTCATAGTCCCGATATTCACCCCGACTACGGCGCTCACGGCCACGGTCCCACTCTCTGGCAGTAAGAACAAGTAACAAAGATTAAAGGCCAGGCACAGTGGCTCATGCCTGTAATCCAAGCACTTTTGAGGCCGAGGCAGAGAACACTTGAGGCCAGGAGTTCGAGACCAACCTGGGCAATAGTGAGACCCCCCCCCGCCCCCCGCCATCCCTACAAAAAATTTTTTATTTTTTAAAAAGGTAACAATAATTAAAGATACAGCTGGATATGCCACAGCCACATTCCTAAACAGGCCCTTCTTACACCCTGAGATACCAGACTAAAAAGCCTACAATTATAAAACTTCGCTCCTAACAGAAAAAGATTTTTCTCTAGTCAGGGCAAGCCACTGCACTCCAGCCCTGGCAACAGAGACCCTGTCTCAAAACAAAACAAAACAAAGATTCTTGTCTAACTCCATGAGTTCAGCCAATACCCAAGAACTGATGGTTCTCCAACTCTTCTCCCAGCCTGGCCTTCCGCCTGTGCTCCAGACCCACATGAATCACCCCTGCTACAGGCCCACTTACGGGCAGGTCGCGGCTGCAGCAAGCTTCGACTGCACCAGTGCACTCAGCCCGGGTGACAGAGGGAGACCCTGTCTCTAAAAATAAAACAGAAAACTTTTTAAAAATCATCCCCTACTAGAAGTCCATCACCCCCTCAAATTCAGCCTGTCAGAATCAAGCCTATTCAGCCGGGTGCGGTGGCTCACGCCTGTAATCCCAGCACTCTGGGAGGCCGAGGCGGGCGGATCACGAGGTCAGGAGATCGAGACCATCCTGGCTAACATGGTGAAACCCAGTCTCTACTAAAAATACAAAAAAAAATTAGCCAGGCGTGGTGGCAGCCACCTGTAGTCCCAGCTACTCGGGAGGCTGAGGCAGGAGAATGGCGTGGACCCGGGAGGCGGAGCTTGCAGTGAGCCGAGATCGCGCCACTGCAAGCCAGCCTGGGCGACAGAGCAAGACTTCATCCCCCCCACCAAAAAAAGAAAAAAGAATCAAGCCTATTCATCCCACCACTATGGGCCCAAATGTCTTTTCCTCCTCCCGCTCCCCACTCTGCTGTATCAACGGAACAGCATCTCTCGCCAGCTGTCATTCACTACCCTCACCGCTAATTACTGCTCCTGCTAATCCTCTGCCTCAAAGCCTATCAAAGCTGTCCCACTCTCTGCCATCCCCACACACCCTGTCCTAGTCTTTGTCCTTGGCCAGTGTGGCTCCTGCAGCCCTGGCTGCCCGCCTGCTTCTGGTCTCTCGCTTCTGTCTCCCCACTGGCAGGCAGACCTTCCTCAAACACAAGTCTCATCACATCACACCGTTACTTCAATGTCAGTAAGCAACACTATTGTTTTAACTTGGGCTCCTGGCTGTCACTCCAGCCTCTCGACCAGTCACCAGCCTCTCCACCAGTCACCAACCTCCCAACCAATCACCAGCCTCCCCCATCCTCATCTTCTTCTTCTTCTTTTTTTTTTTTTTTTGGAGACAGTCTCACTCTGTCGCTCAGGCTGGAGTGCAGCAGCACAATCACTCTCGGCTCACTACAGCCTCCGCCTCCTGGGCTCAAGCAATTCTCCTGCCTCAGCCCCTTAATACTCTTAAAAATGACTGAGGACACCAAAGAGTTTCTGCTTATGTGGGTTACATCTATCGATACTTACTATATTCAAAATTAAAACGAAATGTTCCAAAACCTTCATTTTTAAATTACACAGTAAGATGAAACACATTACATGTTTTTATGAAAAATCGTTTTCCAGAAAAATTTTGGTGAGAAAAAGTGGCATTGTTTTTACATTGTCACCAATCTCTCCAAGTTCTGGCTTTGTAGAGGATAGCTTCTACACTGAATCTGTTGAGATATTTTGTTCTGCTTGAAAAATGAGGCAGGCCGGGCATGGTGGCTCACATCTGTAATGAATGCTAGCACTTTGGGAGGCCGAAGCAGTGGATTGCTTGAGCCCAGGAGTTCAAGACCAGGCTGGGGCAACATGGTGAAACCACCTTTCTACTAAAAATACAAAACTTAGCTGGCTGGCTGGAAGTGGTAGCTCATGCCTGTAATCCTAGCACTTTGGGAGGCCAAGGCAGGCAGATCACTTGAGGTCAGAAGTTTGAGACCAGCCTAGCCAACATGGCAAAACCCTGTCTCTGCTAAATACACAAAAATTAGCCGGGCGTGGTGGCAGGCACCTGTAATCCCAACTACTCGGGAGGCTGAGGTGGGAGAATCGTTTTGAACCCGGAAGATGGAGGTTACAGTGAGCCCAGATCACGCCACTATACTCCAGCCTGGGCAGAGTGAGACTCCATCTGAAAGAAAGAATGAAAGAAAGAAAGAAAAGAAAGAAAAAGAAAGAAAGGAAGGAAAAGAAAAGAAAAGAAAGGAAAAGAAAAGAAAAGGAAGGAAGGAAGAAAGTAGGTTAGCTGGGTGTGATGGCATACACCTGTAGTCCCAGCTAATCAGGAGGCTGAGGTGAGAGGATCACCTAAGCCTGGGGAAGTCAAGGCTGCAGTGATCTGTGGCCATGATCGTGCCACTGCACTCCAACCTGGGCAACAGAGTAAGACCCGTCTCAAAAAAAAAACAGAAAATCAGGCCTCATACTGATAAGGAGTTGGAAAGGCCTTTTCAGATTAACTGTAGATATTCATTTTGGATACTACCCAAAATTCAACAAGAGGTAGGTTCTTTTTTTTCTTTTCTTTATGCTACCTTGTCCAAGAAGGAAGTAGTTTCTCACAGGCTAGTTAGAACCTTCAATCTGAAATAGTATCAGTGAATATTTCTTTCTCTGCTGCATTAAAATCCACTGTTCTATCTTTCCCTTTCAATGGACCTGGATTATGTCTCACCCAATATCAAAATGTACTCATCAGCATCACTGCCTATCTCACCAAGAAAGTCTTTACTTAATGGGAAGCTGTCAAGCTCACATTAGTAGAAGTTTTCCAAAATTTTAATTTCCTTTTTTTTTTTTTGACAGGGTATCTCTCTGTTGCCCAGGTTGGAATGCAGTGGTGCCATCAAGACTCACTCCCACCTCCACCTCCCAGGCTCAAGCCATCCTCCCGCCTCAGCCTCCGGAGTTGCCGGGACTACAGGCATGTGCCACCACCCCCAGCTAATTTTTGTATTTTTTTGTACAGACAGGTTTCACCACGTTGCCCAGGTTGGTCTCAAATTCCTGGGCTCAAGCAATCCACCCACCTTCGCCTCCCAAAGTGTTGGGATTACAGGCATGAGCCACTGCGCCGGCCCAAAATTTTAATTTTCACTGGAAAGTTCTACTTCATCACTGGCAACAAATACCAACAGCTTACACTGAAGTAACAGGTTCTCAGTTCATTTTCAAGATGTCTGCCAAATACCCAAGTATGAACAATCACTGTTTGTCATTCATTCAAGTAAAAATAACATCCCATGGAAAAAAGCTGTTAGTTCAGCTCACTCAATCACATGCGTACTCTTGCTCAAGACAACTAACGCGGGCCTGTAATCCCAGCACTTTGAGAGGTCGAAGCAGGTGGATATGTGAGGTCAGGAGTTCAAGACCAGCTGGCCAACATGGTGAAACCCCATCTCTACTAAAAATACAAAAATTAGCCAGGCAGAGTGGCACGCACCTGTAATCCCAGCAACTCGGGAGGCTGAGGCAGGAGAATCACTTGAACCCAGGAGGTGGAGGTTGCAGTGAGCTGAGATCGCCCCACTGCACTCCAGCCTGGGTGACAGAGCAAGATTCTGTGTCAAAAAAAAATTTTTTTAAAAAAGACGTACAGTCAAGAGTCCAATCTAATCAAATTTAAATGTTTTACTCTTTCATCAAGAATCATTGATGGAAGTGGCTTTTTTTTTTTTTTTTTTTTTTGAGACAGAGTCTTGCTCTGTCGCCAGGCCGGAGTGCAGGGGTGTGATCTCAGCTCACTACAACCTGTGCCTCCTGGGTTCAAGCAATTCTCCTGTCTCAGCCTCCCAAGTAGCTGGGACTACAGGCGCGCACCACCATGCCTGGCTAACTTTTGTATTTTTAGTAGAGACAGGGTTTCACAATGTTGGCCAGGATGGTCTCAATCTCTCGATCTCGTGATCTGCCCGTCTCGGCCTCCCAAAGTGCTGGGATTTCAGGTGTGAGCCACTGGGCCCGGCTGGCTTTTTTTTTTTAACTCTTTGCTGTCACTGCCTTGATGTTTGGTAAAGCATCAGCGGTTTTACCCATCATTGCTATGGCACCAACAGTGGAAATGGCAATAATATGTAAACATTACCACAAAAACTAATTTTAGCCTCGGAGACCCCCTATGGTCTGTGGACATCCTGAGAAACAGGACTCTAACCAAACTAGAATATGCTAAAATCACACGTTATGTCCACAACTCCAAGCTGTTCATGTCACTCGTGTCTGGGGAATTCCCACTCATCTTTCCAAGTCTAGCCAAGTGTCACTTTCCAGTGGGTCCCTGACACACAACCTCCAGCACCGCTCCCCTCCTTTAGAGATCTGTTCCCTCAATGCTTACCCTCTTTATAACTTCCACTATATATACTCATTTACAGAATACATCCACTGCCATTCTGATCCCCCATGCCAAGCTCACTGTAACACCCTAAGGTCAATAACCACATCTTATAATCAATCCAATCAGCACCGCCCTATGAACTCTGAGATTTTAGGCAAAACAGTGACAAGAAACCTAATCATATATTGTCAGGGAAATAATCTGACGACCTCTCCAGTCAGATCAACTCTATATTATTATTTTTCTGAAGCAATCCTCCTAAAATATAATTTACAACCTGGGCAACAGAGCAAGACGCTGTCTCTACAAAAAATAATTTTAGACCAAGCACTGGCTCATGCCTGTAATCCCAGCACTTTGGGAGGTCGAGCTGGGTGGATTACCTAAAGTCGAGAGTTCCAAACCAGCCTAGCCAACATGGTGAAACCCCGTCTCTACTAAAAATACAAAAATTAGACGGGCGTGGTGGCAGGTGCCTGTAATCCCAGCTACTCGGGAGGCTGAGGCAGGAGAATTACTTGAACCCCAGAGGCGAAGGTTGCAGTGAGCCAAGATTGCGCCATTGCACTCCAGCCTGGGCGACAGGGCAAGACTCTGTCTCGAAATAACAATAATAATTTTTAAAAGTTAGGCGGGCGTGATGGCCTCCCCCTGGAGTCCCAGCTTCTCAAGAGGCTGAGGCGGGAGGCTCGGTTGAGCCCGGGAGGTGGAGGCTGCTACGACTGCATCAATGCACTCCAGCCAGGGCAGCAGAACAAGACCCCATCTCAATAACAAAACAAAAAAAAGCAAAAAAGCACGCTTTTCGTGCATGTATAAACAGTGCTTCTTCATACTCAAACTCTTAGCTCTATAGCTCTGATCTGCAGAGAATTTCAAAAACCAAGCCACAGCTAGTTATTTGGCCAACAGCAAATAGGCTGAACCACAGAAAACGGTCCAATGAGCCATTTCATAGGATTCGCCCTCATAAAAATTACAAGGGGGAGAAAGAAAAGCGACGCGGGTGGAGTGAAACGGCATGAAACGGGGACAAGATGAAGTTAAAAACGGCTCACCTGTCATTCCAATCGTCCCCTCGACGTCTTTCATCTCTCTCGCGGGAACGGTCGTAGTCGCTGCGCTCTCTTCTGAACTTGTCCCTGCGCCTTCGATCGTACTCGTCATCACTGTCACCCATGGCACGGTCTGAGGGGGCCTGGGGACCGGGGAGAGGCGGTAGGAGTGGTGCAAAAGGACGAGCGGAGGAAGGGACCGTCCCTCGCGGGCAGCTCGCCCGCTTCCCTCCCGCCAAGGCCAGCCCTCCGCGGCCCCCACCATCCTAGGCCTGAGAACGCGGCTCCAACACCTCCACTCGCCCCGAGTTTCTCCGCGCCCGCCCCCGTGGACCCCGGTTCCTCTCCCGCCCCAGCGGGGCCCCCCAGGCTCCTCCCCTCCCCCACCTTGGTGCGGCCGCGGCCGTTGGACTCGCGCTCGGACGGGCTAGATTTCAGGGCGACCTGGGTCGCGGGCGCGCGACGAGGACTTCGAGGAGGGCGAGACGGAGACGGAGCTCTTGAGTAGAGGGCCGAAGAGAGGCGAACAAAAGTGGGACAACCGGGGATGGGCAGTAGCGCGCGCAGCCCGCGCTGCGCCTGCGTCACCCACGCCTCCGAGGCACAAAGCTCCACCCTCGCGGCCGGAACTGGAACTAACAAACCGAGCGCGAAGGGCGGGGAGAGCAGGGCGTGATGGGAAAGGGGCGGGGATCTCGCAAGTCTCGCGCGGCTTTTCGAGACGATAACGGCTCGAGCGTTAGGAACTACGGGACCTCGGCTGGGCCAAGCGCGGCCTCGGGAGGCGAACAAGCCCTCTGGGCGCGAAGGGAGAGCGGAAGTCGAGGATCGCGCGACCCCAGATGTGTCGGGGTCCTAAGACGGTTCTCATCCAGCCATGTTCCCCCCACGGGCCTCCTGACCTCACCGGGGGTGATTTCGTCCCCTCCTCGGGCAGGGCGTGGGCTTGGGAAGCGCGGGCGCTTAGGGGATGGAAGGTGGAAGCAACCATTTTAAAGCATCGTATCCCACCATTTTCTGCTCCAAATATCCAGCCAAAATTGGGTGCCACAGTGCGCACTAAATGCAAAGTCCGCCGTTCCTGCTTTTCCTCGACAAAGACGCCCCGTCTTTAAGTAAAATTGGCAGATCTCAGTCTTAACCCCGCTCAGTATTTGGATGAAATAGGCTGTAAGTTAACGCCCTAAACAGAGTATGGACCGCCCAGATTCAATGGATTACCACCCCCGGGAGTAACACCAAGGCCCCTCTCAGTGAATTGAGTGTGAGACTTAATAGGAAGACCAGCTGAGATGGCTCACGCCTGCAATCCCAGCGCTTTGGGAGGCCGACGTGGGAGAATCACTTGAGCCCAGGAGTTGGAGACCTGCCTGGGCAACATAGCAAGGCCCCTTTACAGAATATTTAGGGCCAGGCACATTGGCTCACACCTGTGATCCCAGCACTTGGGAAGGTCGAGGAGGGAGGACTTAAGCCCAAGAGTTCAGGACTAGCCTGGGCAACATAGCAAGATCCCATCTACACACAAAAAAATAATAACTGGGCTTGGTGGGATGCCCCTGTGGTCCTAGCTACTGGGGAGGCTAAGCCAGGAGGACTGTTTGAGCCCAGGAGTTCAGGGCTGCAGTGAGCCTTGATTGCACCACTGCACTCTAGCCTGGGGAACAGAGTGAGGCCCTGTCTCAAAATAGATACATAGAGGAAATCTTGCCTCCTCCCTGAGGCGTGCTTGCTCCCAGCACTGAGAGGAGGGTAGTGACGGATTACAAGAGTTGTCAAAAAAAACTGGACCTGAGTCAAAAAGACCCAGGTTCCACCATTTAAGAACCATGCAATCTGGGGGAGTCACCTCTCAGCTCTGACATCCTCACATGTAAAAATGCAGACAGTGGCCAAGGGCGGTGGCTCACGCCTGTAATCCCAGCACTTTGGTTGGGTGAAGCGGGCAGATCACTTGAGGTCAGGAGTTCAAGACCACCCTGACCAAGGTGGTGAAACCCCGTCTCTACTAAAAATACAAAATTAGCCAGACGTGGTGGCGGGCGCCTGTAATCCCAGCTACTCAAGAGGCTGAGGCAAGAGAATCACTTGAACCTGGGAGGCAGAGGTTGCAGTGAGCCGAGATGGCACCACTGCATTCCAGCCTGGGTGACAGAGCCAGACTCCGTCTCAAAAAAAAAAGAAAAAAAATGCAGGCAGTAACAATGACTGGGCCTGTAATGGGCTACTGGGAGAATCAGATGAGACAACAGACTTGGAAGTGTTTTGTAAACTCGAGGGATTATTATTTCTTGATTGGAGAAAGAGAAGACAGCATTTGGTGACAAAGTCATACAGGTGGATGTCAGGGAGAGTGATCAATCAAAGGATGGGAACTGGAACTGAGAACCCAGCAGGTACTTCTAGGAAGACTCAGCAGTCAGTGGTGACGGTGGCTGAGAGCTCCTGGATGCGCCAGGCGCTGCAGGCCTTGCACAAGATGTGCCCATCCAGCGGGTAGCAGCCCTGACACTCGCCCTCAGAGGAGAGCAGCAGCCCACACTCCTGTTGAAAAAGAAGCAACAATTGGCCGGGCGCGATGGCTCACGCCTGTAATCCCAGCACTTTGAGAAGCCGAGGCAGGAGGATCACAAGGTCAGGAGTTCAAGACCAGCCTGGCCAATATGGTGAAACCCTGTCTCTACTAAAAATACAAAAATTAGCCAGGCATGGTGGCCAGCACCTGTAATCCCAGCTACTCAGGAGGCTGAGGCAGGAGAATCACTTGAACCCGGGAGGTGGAGGTTGCAGTGAGCCAAGATTGTGCCACTGCACTCCAGCCTGGGCAACAGAGCAAGACTCCGTCTCAAAAAAAAAAAAAAAAGAAAGAAGCAACAGGTTTCCATCAACCCCAGACCTCTGTGTTCCCCCTCATGCTCTACCCAGCACCCTAGACACTGCCAGCCCCTTGCACGTGCTGGGGGCCCCTGACCTCGCACTTGTAACAGCCAATGTGAAAACTTCGATCCAGAGCAACAATTCTCACAGTCTCCTCCTGACCTGGCTCAGGCATTATGGCCCCACCGCACACTGAGCATCTTGGGGCAAACTTCCTGCAGGGGAAGAGAACCAAGAAGGCCATCAAGCCTTGGGGTTGCAGGGCACCAACAATGGAACCCAGAGAAGGTGGGGCACAGGAGGGAATCAGAGAGGCCAGAGGTATGGCCTTAGGTCTTGGGGAAGGGACGATGTCAAAGAGAATGAGAGAGGCTAGGTGCAGTGGCTCTAGCCTGCAATCCCCCGACTTTGGGAGGCCAAGGCAGGAGGATCACTTGAGGCCAGGCGTTCAAGACCAGCCTAGGCAACACAGCAAGACGCTGTCTTTATTAAAATACAAAGAAGAAGACTGGGTGCAGTGGCTTACGCCTGCTATCCCTGCACTTTGGGCGGCCGAGGCAGGTGGATCGCTTGAGCTCAGGAGTTTGAGACCAGCCTGGCCAACATGATGAAAGCCTGTCTCTACTAAAAATACAAAAAAAAAAAAAAAAAAAAAAACTAGCCAGGCGTGGTGGCATGCGCCCGTAATCCCAGCTACTGGGGAGGTTGAGGCAGGCAAATCACTTGAACCCAGGTGGTGGAGGTTGCAGTGAGCTGAGATCGTGCCACTGCACTCCAGCCTGGGTGACAGAGTGAGACTCCATCTCAAAAAAAAAAAAAAAAAAACGAAGAAAACTAGCCAGGCATGGTGGCGTGTGCACCCGTAGTCCCAGCTACTCAGGAGGCTGAGGTAGGAGGATCACTTGAGCCCAGGAGTTGGAGGCTGCAGTGAGCTATGATCATGCCATTGCACTCCTGCCTGGGCAACAGAGTGAAACTCCGTCTCTAAAAAATAACAATAACAAAGAACGAAGGAGGGCCAGGGTTGGAAACAGGAAGAGACAGTCCTGGGGCATGAAGAGATGAGAGAGACAGGAAAGGTCAGACATTGTGAGACAAGGTGGAGGCCAGGCCTGACCTGTGAAAGTCCTCAATGCAGTGGATCTGGCTCGTAGCATCCACTGTGAAGGGGATGCCGTCGAGGCCGCGGTGACACACCACGCAGGTGAAGCAGCCAGGGTGGTAGGCCTTCCCCATAGCCCGCAGGATCCGGTCCAGGATGGGCTGGGAGCACGTGGCACATTTCTCCAGGGTGGCCTGTTGGGAAGGAAGGCAGGAAGATCTGGGAGCGGGCGGGAGCCATGGCAGCTCAACAGGAACCCCAGCAACCCAGCCATCTAATTTCTGCAGCCTCCTGCATGCAGCCTCCTGCATGTGATTCGGTGAAAGGCAGACTTGAGCAGATCTGAGTTCAGGTCCCAGCACTATACACGGTATTTAAACACTATGAGAAAAACAGGAATCAGGCTGGGTGCAGTGGCTCACGCCTGTAATGCCAGCACTTTGGGAGGCCAGAGTGGGCGGACTGCTTGAGGCCAGGAGTTTCAAAACAGCCTGGCCAACATGGCGAAACCCTGTCTCTACTAAAAATACAAAAATTAGCTGGGTGTGGTGGTGGGCACCTGTAATCCCAACTGCTCGGGAGCCTGAGGCATGAGAATCGCTTGAACCAGGGCAGGCTGAGGTTGCAGTGAGCAGAGATCACCCCACTGCACTCCAGTCTGCGCAACAGAGCGAGACTGTCTCAAAAAAAAACAAAAAACAAAACCAGGAATCAGTAGTAATACCTGCCTCACAGGGGTGTCATGGGAATCTAACACATTCTCTTTAACTGTAAGATGCTCCACACTTGTAAGAGCTGCGTCCTTCCCTTCAGCCACCAGTGTTAAGCTACTTGCTTGATACTTGCAGAATTCCGCCCTGTTTGTACATCACTTTCAGTCGCCTGGCTTTTAGCACCGTTCCTCCTTTGGTCTTGGACGCTCTAGTTACCACCTTGGATGGAAGCCCCCTGCATCCAGCCACTGACTCCCTCCTCCCAGCCCCAGCCACTCACCACGTAGCAGCCCTCGCAATATGCCCTCCTCTCCACGGCGTAGAAATGCTGGCCGCGAAGCTGGGCCCGGCATGTAGAACATACAAAGCAGCCCACGTGAAAGACGCGATCAAGGGCCACAACCCCAGCCCCATCCCCAACCACATCTTCTCCGCAGCCACCACACTGGCCTGAGGACAGGGAGAAACAGCATCAGTCTTCACAGACCCAGGAAGCCACTGTCCCCTCTGTCTCCCAGCCTCCCTTCCCACGTCCCACCCACCCCACAGCCTCAGCTCACCAAAGTACTCCCCGCTGGGCGGGTGGTTCATGTCGTGAACCAGCTTCTTCGTCAGCCTATCCAGCTCATCCTCTGGAGGCTGGCTCAGGGGCACCTGGAAGGTGGGAATCGGGCTCGGTCCTACTCTAGCTCCTGATGCTGTAATACCAGGGCCCTCAGCCGCCAGGCCATGGCCTGTTAGGAACTGGGCCACACAGCAGGAGCTGAGCAATGGGCAAGCAAAGCTTCATCTGTATTTACAGCTGCTCCCCATCACTTGCATTACCGCCTGAGCTCCACCTCCTGTCAGATCAGCAGCGGCGTTAGATTCTCATAGGAGCATGAACCCTATTGTGAACTGTGTGTTCGAAGGATGTAGGTTGCAAGCTCCTTATGAGAATCTAATGCCTGATGATCTGTCACTGTCTCCCATCACCCCCAGATGGGACTGTCCAGTTGCAGGAAAACAAGCTCAGGGCTCCCACTGATCCTACATGATGGTGAATTGTATAATTGTTTCGGTATATATTACATTGTAATATACATTGTAATATATACCGAAACAATTATATATACTATATATTCTATTATTATTATAACAGAAATAAAGTGCACAATGAATGTAATGTGCTTGAATCATCCTGAAACCATCCCCCTCCCACCCCCTCCCATCCCCCTCCCCAGTCCATGGAAAAATTGTTTTCCCCAAAACTGGTCCCTGGTGCCAAAAAGATTGGGGACTGCTATAATGTCTCTGAAGGTGGCCAGGCAGTTCCAGCTAGAAAGCTCATCTGAGAACATCTCAGCCCAGGGGCCCGTAGGCAGTTCTTTTTTTTTTTTTTTTTTTTTTTTGAGACAGAGTTTTGCTCTTGTTGCCCAGGTTGGAGAGCAGTGGTGCGATCTCGGCTCACCGCAACCTCCACCTCCCAGGTTCAAGTGATTCTCCTGCCTCAACCTCCCGAGTAGCTGGGATTACAGGCATGTGCCACCATGCCTGGCTAATTTTGTATTTTTAGTAGAGACGAGGTTTCTCCATGTTGGTCAGTGTGGTCTCGAACTCGTGACCTCAGGTGATCCACCCACCTCAGCCTCCCAAAGTGCTGGGATTACAGGCATGAGCCACCGCGCTCAGCCCCAATGGGCAGTTCTATCCTGCTCCCCCGCACTGCCCTGCCCTTACCTATTCCACGTCCCAGACCTCTGACTCTGCTCCAAAACCAGCCCCTTGGCCAGGCGCGGTGGCTCAGGCCTGCAATCCCAGCACTTTGGGAGGCTGAGGCAGGCGGATCACCTGAGGTCGGGAGTTCGAGACCAGCCTGGCCAACAAACTGGGGTTTTAGTGAAACCCCGTCTGTACTAAAAATACAAAAATTAACCAAGCGTGGCAGCGTGTGCCTGTAATCCAGTTATTCAGGAGGCTGAGGCAGGAGAATCACTTGAACCCGGGAGGCAGAGGTTGCAGTGAGCCAAGATGGCACCACTGCACCCCAGCCTGGGCAAACAAGAGCAAAACTCTGTCTCAAAAAACAAAAAAGCCCCCTAAAACACCACCAGCCACCCCACCCAGTCGGTGTCCCATTGTCTGTAGGGCCTGAAATCCCAGTTCCCCAGGGCTCACCTGGGGCCCGTGCTCGCCTCCTCTTCCTCTTCCTGCAGGGCCAGAGACCCCAGCAGCTTCCTCTTTGGCCCCTGGCCCTGGCTCTCTCTGGCTCCTATAGCCAGGCCCCCAGACTTCACCTCGGCCTGGGAGAGGAAAGTGGGGGCCCGGGAGGGGCCCAGAGGCCTGAGAGGCTCCCCGCCTGGGTGGGCCGCAGCCCCTCACTGGCTGTGCCACCTTCACTTGCACGGGGAAGGCTGGGCCAGCCGGGGTGCTGGCGGTAGTGTAAGAGGCTGGAGTGGGGCCCCCATAGGGAGACGCTGGGAGCGGCGAGGCTGGATTTGGCTTCAGGGAGCCCGTGCGGTAGGCAGGAGGTGGCGGGGGCTCATATGCCTGAGGAGAAACGCAGGCCAGAAGTCGTAAGCAAGGACCCCACTCCAAGACCCACATTTGTGGAAATGACCCTGGCTGTGGGGAAGCACAGGCTTTTTGCATTTGACAAGGTCCCGTCCTCAAGTGGCTGACATGTTGGTACTTGCAGCCACGCTTCCTCCATGCTGGGGTGCACATTACACACATGGGGGATCGATCAGGCTGGGTCTGAGAGTCCAGAGAAGGGGGCAGGGTGCTGACGGGGAGGAGGGGCAGAGTCACCTGTCGGTCTGGTCGCCGTGACGCATGACCCCGACCCCCATTCAGCTCGGCCAGCGTGCTGCTCAGCAAGTCTATCTCGGCGTCCAGGCTTCCAGGGCGAAGGCCCCCCCTGTCTGCAGGGAGCCCCTGAGGATGGAGCCAGGGCAGGAAGAATGCAAATCACCATAGGCCTTCTCCTGTCCTGGGTCCCTCAGACTCGGTTCTGGGGGATCCCACATGTCCCACCCCACGATCCCGGGTCTCACCTGCGTGTGCTGGAGTACTCCATGGGACCCCACCCACGCCGGCCCCCGATCCTCCGGTCCCCCTGGGGCCTGGTAACACTGCTCAGATGGAAGGGGGCAAAAATTGACCCTGGGGTGGGGCTGGAGTGCTGGGTTGAGGGAAGAGAAATCAAAGGTGGGGTGGCGGAGGACAGGAGGGGTGTATATTTGAGGAGCCACCCTCTCCGCCTCTCGTTACCTCCTCCCCCAAATCTAGGGTCCCAAGAGAGCGCAGGCGGCTGTTCCCCCCGCCTCGGCTTGGGGAAGGGGCAGGAGGAAGCAGCCAGGGCGGGAGGCTGGAGCGGTAGGACAGAGGTGAGCGCCACAGCTGGGTGGCTCTTCTGTCTCACAAGGGCTGCCTTACCTGCTCCGTGGGCCGGTGGTGGCCCCGGGGTGCCGCGGGGGATCGCCCTCCCCTGAGGGGCTCTGGCGGGCTCCGGCTGCTTCGGGGGCAGCCAGGTGGGCCCCGACATGGCCTGGAAAGGGGGACTCCAGACAGCGGTCTTGAAGCCCCGAGCCTCTGGCCTTCACCCCCTCTTCCGTCCCGCACCTCGTTTGGGACTCCAGAAAAGAAAACTTTTTCTGGCTTTTTTTTTTCCTCTTCCTCCCTAATTTTGGGGACGACCACGCCTCCGATGACGTCACCACATTCCTGGGGGAGGGTCACGTGGCCCCCTAGGCCCTAAACTGCCATTTCTCCCTGAGTCAGCCCCCTCCTGCCGAGAGGGGAGGGCTCTCCGGGGGATCCCGAGTCACTGGGGGTTGCGGGCAGCTGGGGATGGGAGGTGCGGGCCCGAGCCAGCCTCCAAGTCCACGGATGCGTCCGGGCCCCGCACCCCAGCCCTGCACGTGGCAGCCTCGCGGCGGGAGGCTGAAGGCTCCGATCTCCACCCCTCTGCAGAGCTCTCCATTCCCACCCCCTCCCTCTCAGCTACCCACCAGCACTGCTCAGCCAGCCTGTAGTGTTTTGGTCTTTTATTCATGGTCAGCAGAGTTAGAAAAATAAAACAGAACGAAAACATCACCACCCCAGTGGGCCGGTGAGTCTGGCCAAAATGGGGAAACTGAGGTAGCCCAGAGTCACAGAGGAGGCCTGGCCCCTAGCATCAAGGCACCAGTGAAGGGAGGCTGCGGACTCCCTCCCCTGCACGGTGGGGACAGCCACCCAGAGTTAGTGTGCTGGGGTCCCTCTGCCAAAGGAGGTGGGCGTGATGCCCAAGCCCAGGATCCCCTTCAAACCTCCCCTGGGCTCCACGTCCCAAGGGCAGGGCCACGGGCCACAGTGGCCTCCTCTTCCTCCTCCTCCAAGGATCAGGATAGGCCGCCTGCCTGGGCCCTCTCTACCTAGCCCTGGAGGCAGGGGCATCACAGATCAGTGCAGGTGACTGGAGTGACCCCATGAACCAGCAGCGTGGGGCCCAGGTCTCGGGTTAGAGTCTCCAGTAGCGCCAGGTAGCGGGGGTATCGGGCGGGATCGGCTGGCGGCCGAGGCAAGTACAGGAAGGTGAGGGCTGTGATGGGGCCCTCAGCATCCCCACCCTCCGGCCCACCCGGCCCTCCTCCTGTGCCGCGCCCCTGCTGGGCCCGAACCAGGGCGTTGGCGCTGCGTGCCAGGGCCTCTGCCTCTGCGTCTCCCCGCCCACTGTTCACAAAGTCCCCTTCCTCCTCCGCCTCGGGTTCCCCAGCCCCGGCCCCCTCGCCCCACACCACCTCCTGCACCTCAGCCCGGATCCTCAGTTGGCTCAGCAGTGCCCGCAGCCGCCCCTCGGCCGCCCCAGGCGCCTCCCGAGGCCCCAGGCACAGGAAGATCCGGAGCCGGGCGCTATGCCAAGCGGGCACCATGCCCAAGATGGTTGCCATCTGCAGCAGGAAGAGGCCGCAGACATCCACATAGCCGGGCCCACCCCGGGGCCGCAGCAGGTTGAGGGGCCACACGTCCACATGGTGCAGCTGAGAGGTGCCCCCAGACCCCCGGCTCAGCCGCTCAGGGGGCAAGGCCCCGCTGGCCCGGGCCAGCACCACATTCTTGTTCATCTTGAGGGCGTCGGCCACCGTGGCCACATAGTCCTGGGGATTGAGGGCCCGGGGGCTCCCAGGAGCCCGGGGAGGAGGGAACAGGGTGCTCAGAGCTGGGGAACTGCCCTCCCTGGTGCTGTCTGCAGGCTCAGAGAAAGCCGGGTCCGTCAGGAAATGGTCCTGCGGTGGAGCGTCATCGTAGAAACCTAGGACCAACGTGTTGGGCTTCATGCCACCTGGGGGCAGAGCGGGGAAGGCAGGAACAGACAGGAGTCAGGCTCACAGGCTAAGTTTACACCACGCTCCCACACACTGACAGCAAGGTGCGTCAGCCATAGGTATGACATTCCCACTGTGTACGGGCTCTTACGGCAACATTCTGCATATTTGCATAAAGACTTTTCATTTTTCCTAAACACTTTCACATGCATTTATTTTATTATCTCAGTGACTAATCTCCTCCACTTAAACAGGCAAAGTTCGCCTTAGGATTCTTGCCACTAATGAGCACTCCAATTCTATGGAGAGGAGGATGCTGTCCACTCCCGGCTTCTAGCGGGGCATCTGTTTCACGGCAGGGGATGCGAGTTTGACTCTGTTGTGCAAACCAGACACCCTGATCAGCCAAGCTCATGACCTGAATCCCCAGGGTAATAGCGTCCCAGACTCTGCAATGGGAAGATGAAAAAATGGACCAGGCAGGGCACCGTGGCTCACACCTGTAATCGCAGCATCTTGGGAAGCTGAGGCACGTTGATCACCTGAGATCAGGAGTTTGAGACCAGCCTGGCCAATACGGTGAAATGCTATCTCTACTAAAAATACAAAAATTAGCCGGGCATTGTGGTGGGCATCTATAATCCCAGCTACTCAGGAGGCTGAGACATGAGAATTGCCTGAACCCGGAAGGTGGTGGTTGTAGTAAGCCGAGATCACGCCACTGCACTCCAGCCTGGGCAACAGAGCGAGACTCCATCTCAAAAAAAAAGAAAAAAAGAAACAGGGCTACCCCGTATGTTTACTGCAGTAAACCCTAACCCTAGTAGGTTTTACCAAAACCCTAATCATGGTGGTTCATTGCATGGTATCCGCTTACCAGGGGCTATGTCCTGTAGAAAGCACTTTATATTTTAACTTATTTGAAACTCGAAGTAATGCTATGAGGTAGGTAATATTTAGTCTCCTCTTTTTACTGATAAGGAGCCCAAAGCACCAAGGGATGAAGTCACTTGCCCATAGGCTCATATCTGGTAGGTACTGGGGCAGGTAGGTCAACGCAATCCGCCTCCATCCAGCGTGAGAGGCCACACTCTGAGCCACCGAGCTGGGCACGTGGCAACCACAATGCTCCAAGTCCCTGCTGACAAGCTCTTCGTTCTTAATTTTTGAACAACCCTTGTGGAATCGGATAATTGCTGAGTTTACAGGGAGACGCAGAGACCTCTTCCAAGACCCCTTCTCATGAAACAAACACTGCTCAAGCCATAAATCAAATTTTCTATGACAGGAGAATCCACCATTTAAAGGAACTACTTTTCCTTTTATTGGAATAGGTTGGTGCAAAAGTAATTGTGGTTCTTTTTTTCCCCCATTAAAATGGCATCCCAGCACTTTGGGAGGCTGAGGCAGGCGGATCACCTGAGGTTGGAAGTTCGAGATCAGCCTGGGCAATATGGTGAAACCCCGTCTCTACCAAAAATATACAAAAATTAGCCGGACAATGCTGGCGTATATCTGTAGTCCCAGCTACTTGGGAGGCTGAGATGGGAGAATACTTGAACCCGGGAGGCAGAGGTTGCAGTGAGCTGACATTGTGCCACTGCACTCCAGCCTGGGCAACAGAGTGAGACCCTGTCCAAAAAAAAAAAAAAAAAAAGGCAAAAACCGCAATTGCTTTTGCACCGACCTGATATCTTCCACAGGAAAAATTTCGTATTTCATAAGCATTGTGGTCTCTGCACAAAAAGTGAAGACCAGGCTCTCAGATGTTCTGTGGGTCAATGATGCTTGACGACACCCCAAAACATCTCCGCAGGTGTGAATTCCAGCTGATCTTGCAAAATAAACTAGTCATGCCCCCTCCTCAGTATTTCCCAGGGTTCTGATTTACACTGAACTGGGCAATGTCCAACACTGTTGAACTTTAGCCAGACTCTGAATAGAGAAGGAAGCATGCACTTTGGTGACGGGCACTGGTCCAGGATTAAGGGAAAAGGCAGTGACTGAGCATAGATAACCCTGGTGGCCTCAGCGCTAAAAGCTGAGAATTTACCGCTCCATCCACAGACGTCCGCCCCACACAGCCTCCGGCATCCTTTGTGGCTTTGGGTGGCGGGGGCAGGGGAGACATGTTACATCTCCTACATCCCAACCTCTTTCAAAGTCTGGATGAATTACCATCTCTCCGCAAAACCTTTGCTGGCCACATCAGTGTATAGTGGCTGGCCTGCCTTCCTCTGAACACTGGTGGTTAAAAACCATCTGATTTGATGAGGCAGCTGGAGATTCAAATAATGCTCCATTGTCTCCAAAAATACACTCTTCAGTGCCTATGCCCCAATTTTTGGATCAGAAAAAAAAAGAAGGAAAGGCTGGGCACAGTGGTACATGCCTGTAATCCCAGCACTTTGGGAGGCCGAGGCGGGTAGATCACCTGAGGTCAGGAGCTCGACACTGGCCTGGGCAACATGGTGAAACCCCCATCTCTACTAAAAATACAAAAATTAGCCAGGTATGGTAGCACATGCCTATAGTCCCAGATATTTGGGAGGCTAAGACAGGAGAATCACTTGAACCTGGGAGGTGGAGGAGGCAGTGAGCCAAGATCGTGCCACTGTACTCCAGCCTGGGCAAGACAGAGTGAGACTCCGTCTCAAAAAAAAAAAAAAAAAAGAAGAAGGAAAAAAAACCCACAACATCGCCCACCCCATCACTAGTCCCTAGCATCTCCTATTAGACCTTATCACACACTGTCTGAGGCTATTATCTTTGAGCACTGTCTTATCTCCTCTCGACTATAAGGTCCTTTTGCAGTTTGCAATCTGTGGCTGACTCTCTAGGGGAGGGGAGCGGAGATTTGAAGTGGCCACAGAGGAAGGCCGAGGGCATCCAGGGAGAAGCAGCTCACCGAGGCCGGAGATTCGCAGCAGATGCTGAGCCCCCTGGCGCACGGAGGGTGAGAGGGTTAGATCCACAAAAGCCTTCACCTGGGCACGGTCCACCAGGCTGAGCCATGCCCCATACTGCGGCTGTACAGGGTCCGAGGGCAGGGAGTCTACAGAGAAGATAAGGAAAGGAAGGTAGCCAGTGTTGTCCAAACTCAATGTCTCCTAGAGTCCAAATCACAGACGGGCCTGGGCAGGGCTATGGCTACTTGGAGGGGTCATGGGAAAGGATAAAAGGGGCAGAGGGGCTGGTGTCGGGGCTCATGCCTGTAATCCCTGCCCTTTGGGAAGCCAAGGTGGGAGGGCTGCTTGAGCCAGGAGTTCCAGACAGCCTGGGAAACATAAAGAGACCTCATCTCTACAAATGAGCCAGGCCTGGTGGCACACACCTGTAGTCCCAGCTACTCAGGAGGCCAAGGCAGGAGGATTACTTGAGCCCAAGAGGTTGAGGCTGCAGTGAACTATGATGGCACCACTGCTCTCCAGCCTGGGTGACAGAGCAAGACCTTGTCTCAAAAAAAAGCGGGGGAGGGGTTCTGGCCGTGGTGGCTCACACCTACAATTCCAGCACTTTGGGAGGCCGAGATGGGCGGAGCACTTGAGGTCAGGAGTTCGAGACTAGCTTGGCCAACATGGTGAAACCCCTTCTCTACTAAAAATACAAAAACTAGCCAGGCATGATGGTGTGTGCCTGTAATCCCAGCTCAGGAGGCTAAGGCAGGAGAATTACTTGAACCTGGGAGGTGGAGGTTGCAGTGAGCCAAGATCGTCCCACTGCACTCCAGCCTGGGCAACAGAACGAAGCTCCATCTCAAAAAAAAAAAAAAGGTAGGGGGAGAGAAGGATGGGAGTGAGTGAGTGAGTGGGAGGGCAGCTCACCGAGGTCTCCCAGGGTGACGTGGCCCAGCACATACAGCCCCCCCTTCTTAAGCTGGTTGGCCAACCGCAGCAGAGGCAGGGCGCCCCGGGGGTTCCCCACCAGGAGCAGCAGCTGGGGCCGCCAGAACTTCACGTGATCCTTCCGGACGTCCAGCCGAAGCAGATACTTACGCACCTGGGTATAGGGGTGAGGCAGTGGGGAAGTGGCAGGATCAAATGCACAGCCCCGTTCAGCGCCTCCTGGACGGGAGCACCAACTCCAGCCAAAGAGAGAGGGGGTTCTTTGACCACCTCCCATTTCCCCACCGCCCCACCAGCTCCCCATACCTGGTGGAAAAGCAAGGCCTGGCTGACATAGCCCCAGCTACTGGGGCCTCCTCGCGCGGTGAGCAGGGCAGCCAGCAGACCCATGAGGAGCAGGGAGCCACCAGCCGCGCCAGGACTGATGAGGAACATCATGAGCAGGCAGGAGGCCACCCCCAGCAGGCAGGTGTGCCAGGAGAACAGGCTGAAGGTGGGGCTGCGGGCATGGAGGGGAGGAGGGACAGAAACTCAGGGCAGGCCGCACACGAGGCTGCAGTCCCCAGCCCCACGCCTGAGCCCGAGTCCTCCCTTCTTCTCTCTGGGGACACAGATCTGAGTCTCTCACCGGAAGTTGGGGGCCGAGGCCCACTCCAGGCTCAGGCAGGACAGGTCCACGGCAGCATAGGCCACCAGGTAGAAGACAGTGACCACAGCAGCCAGTGTGTTCAGCTTCCCAGCCAGGAGCACCAGCTGGGCAAGGGCCAAGAGGCGTGCCGTTGTTCCAAAGTGCCAGTGCACCCCCAAAATGCCAGTGAACACCAAAGAATGCCAGTGTACCCCAAAGTGTCAATGAGCCCCAGAAAGTGCCAGTGAACCCTGCAAAGTGCCAGTGCACCCCCAAAGTGTCAATGAACCCCCAAAATGCTATTAAACCCCAAAAGTGCCAGTGCACCCCCAAAGTGTCAATGAGCCCCTAAAATGCTATTAAACCCCAAAAGTGCCAGTGTATCCCCAGTGTCAGTGAACCCCAGAAAGTGCCAGTGTACCCCCAAAGTGTCAGTGAACCCTGGAAAGTACCAGTGAACCATGCAAAGTGCCAGCGCACCCCCAAAGTGTCAATGAACCCCAGAGAGTGCCAGTGCACCCCAAAGTGTCAATGAACCCTGAAAAGTGCCCGTGAGCCCTGTAAAGTGCAAGTGCACCCCCAATGTCAGTGATCCCCAGAAAGGGCCAATGCACTCCCACAGAGTGCCACCAAACCTCCAAAGTATCAGTGAACCCCCACAAAGTGTTGGTACATCCCACAGAGTGCCAGTGAATCCCTCAAAGTGCTGGGGCACCCCACAAAGTGCCAGTGAATACTGAAAAATACTAGTATACCCCAAAAAGTGTCAGTGAACCCTGCACAATGCCCGTGTACCCCAAAAAGTGCCAGTGAACCTCCCAGGGTGCCAATGAACTCTGCAAAGCACTGGGGCAACCTGCAAGGTGCTGGTGAACCCCACAAAGTGCCAGTGAACCCTGCAGAGTGCCAGTGCAACCCCAAGTGCATACGCATTTGTCTTTACATTTGTCTCCCAGCCTGCATCTAACTGCACCCCCATCCTGCCAGCTGGTGGGGTGAGGGAAAGGGCCCCTTGAAGAAGAAGGCTCACCTGCACCAGGCCCCAAGAATAAAGTACAGCTGCCCAGGGGTTTCCCCCTCGGGACACAACCTTGGCCGGTGCCAAGATCACGCCTAGAAAAACAGAATCCACAGCAGACACATCAGCCAGGGCTCAGCGGGGACGGAGAGACAGACAAGGGAGGGCGTGCTCCAAGCCAGCAAGGAGGCAGAGAACCCACCAAAGAGGTCATCCCGGGCCAGGGCATGGAGGATGCGGGAGGCACCAATGAGCGAGCTCATGGACGCTGAGAGCGCTGTGGCATAGATTCCGATCAACACCAGTGGGGGCCACAGGCTGATGGCGCGGAAGAACCCATAGTCTTCCTGCAGCAGGGTCCTAGGAAGGAGGAAAAGGAGGACACGGATGATCATGCGTCACGGGGTAAGAAAATCTCCAGCCCCGATCTTAAGGATCAGACTCAGATATCAAATGTGCTAAAGGGATATGCCTGGTATTCATTGGGCAGCCTTGGATTTAATCACTCAGTGGTCATTCCTTCCTTTTTTTTAAGAGACAAGGTCTCACTCCAACCCCCAGGCTAAAGTGCAGTGCTGTAATCATAGCTCACTGCAGCCTCGACCTCTTGGACTCAAGCAATCCTCCCACCTCAGCCTCCCAAGTAGCCAAGACTACAAGCATTTGCCATCACACCTGGCTAATTTTTGTATTTGGGGGGAGGCTCTTGCTCTGTTGCCCAGGCTGGTCTGGAACTCCTGGGCTCCAGCGATCCTCCTGCCTCAGCCTCCCAAAGTGCTGGGATTACAGGTGTGAGCCACCGCACCCGGCTGTCATACCTAATGGTATATGCACAAGAGGCCAAATATTTGTGGAAATGCAAACTGGGTAGAAAGCCACTACCCACCCTCACTCCCAAGCTAAGTGCCTGCAACAGTACTGGGTCCATGGCAGCTGCTGGCTATAGGTTGTCAATCGCCGGTAGCCACCCTCCACCCCAACAAGCTGGGTTTCTGCTTCCCAGTCCCCCAGCCTGTGTTTCCCCTTGGTGACCCAGGTGCACCAATCTTGTTCGACACTCCACCCCCATCCCTCCCCAGACACCTGTCACAAGTGAAGCTGGAGAGAAAGAAAAGCAGGACATAGACGAAGAAGGTGTAGGCGACGGCGACGATCGTGCCCAGAGGGATCGCCCGGCTGGGGTCCTTCAGCTCCCCTGGAGAGGGGGAGCAGAGGGAGTGAGGTCAGCCCTCCAGCCATCCCCCTGGGTCCCTCACGGTGGCAGCCCCAAACCCCCAGGAGGCAGCAGGCAGGGACTCTCACCTGACATGTTGGCCCCAGCCATGATGCCTGTACAGCCGTTAAAGAGGACAGCAAAGACGCTGGCAAAATTCATCACGGCTCCCGTGGTGTAGTCCTCAGCATAGCCAGCTAGGAGGATCCTCCCAGGGAGGAGAGTGCATCAGCATCCGTCTCAGGGATCCAGGCCTCTTAGCCACCCTCTCCACACATTCCCACGGTCCTCTTGCCTCCCCTGCACTGCCCTCACTAAGACCCCAGCCTGTTCCTGCACTGGCCCTGGGTCAGCCAGACACATTGCCACGTCCCCCCAGTGCTCCGATATTCCTCCCTCCAGACCCTAATCCACGCTCTTTTATTTATTTATTTATTTTTTAGAGACAGGGTCTGGCTCTGTCATCCAGGCTGGAGTGCAGTGGCACCATCGTAGCTCACTGCAACCTCTACCTCCTGGGCTAGAGCGATCCTCCTGCCTCAGTCTGCCAAGTAGCTGGGACTACAGGTGTGCACCACCATGCCCATCTAACTTTTTAATTTTATTTATTTATTTATTTTGAGATGGAGTCTCGCTGTGTCACCCAGGCGAGAGTGCAGTGGTGCGATCTCGGCTCACTGCAACTTCTGCCTCCCAGGTTCAAGCAATTCCCCTGTCTCAGCCTCTCAGGTAGCTGGGATTACAGGTGCCCGCCACCACGCCTGGCTAATTTTTGTATTTTTAGTAGAGATGGGGTTTCACCATGTTGGCCAGGCTGATCTCGAACTCCTGGACTCAGGTGATCCACCCGCCTCGACCTCCGAAAGTCCTGGGATTACAGGCGGGAGCCACCGCACCCAGCCTATTTATTTTTTTGAGACGGAGTCTCGTTCTGAAGCCCAGGCTGGAGGGCAGTGGTGGCGATCTTAGCTCACTGCAGCCTCTGCCTCCCGGGTTCAAGAGATTCTCATGCCTCAGCCTCCTGAGTAGCTGGGACTACAGGTGCGCACCACCACCCCTGGCTAATTTTTGTATTTTTATTTTATGGTGTTTTTTTTGTTTGTTTGTTTTTTGGAGAGGGAACCTCACTGTCTCCCAGGCTGGAGTGCAATGGTGCAATCTCGGCTCACTGAATGGCACAATCTCGGCTCCTCCTCCCGGGTTCAATCAGTTCTCCCTCAGCTTCCCGAGTGTCTGGCACTACAGGTGCAAGCCAGCGTGCCCAGCTAATTTTCGTGTTTTTAGTAGAGACGGGGAGAGGGTTTCACCATGTTGGCCAGACTGGTCTCAAACTCCTGACCTCAGGTGATCCTCCTGCCTCGGCCTCCCAGAATGCTGGGATTACAGGCGTGAGCCACCGCACCTGGTCTCAAGCTCTTTCCTGAGATGCCTTCCCTCTCTGCTCCCAGCTCCTGGCTGAATCCCCCACCTGTCTATCTCAGGCCACCTCCAGCTCCCCGGCTCCTGCCCTCCCCAGCCCATAGTCAGGCCTCCCTTCTCTCCACTCCTGGGTGATCCTGATCTGTTTAAGTCATGCTGGGCCATTCTGTGCTATTTAACTGATTCCTGAATGCATGTCTCTCCTCAGCTAGAACACAAGTTCCTCTAAAGCAGGGACTGTTTTGTGGGCTTCCTCCTGCCCTGCCGGCCAAGCACACGCTAGACAGGCTTGAATTAAATTGCACTGCTCTGCAGTCCAGACCTCCTGCCCTCCATTCCCTCTGACACCTGTGCTCATCCAGAGGTTTTACGGGCCCGGCCCGACGTCTGCCCACCCCTCACCCCGAGATCCCTGCCACGGCAGCACCCAGCTCACCGCCCAAGTTGTCCTTCAGGGTACTGCTGTTGAAGCCGGTGAAGTGGCCAAACCGGGGCGGCAGGGAGGAGCCATTGGGGCCAGGCCTAGGAGTCAAGCGGATGTCCCTCGGCCCCACAGCCACAAAACTGATGAGCACAGAGGCCAGGGAGCCAGAGACCAGCAGGAATGTGAGGAATGAGGCCCGGGCATAGAGGCCGGCTCCCAGGGTGCAGACCCCACCCACAAGGCCCAGCAGCAGGGAGCCATACAGCAGGTTCCAGCCGTAGCCCTGGGGCAGGACCCGGAGCCCACTGGGCCCTGTGGCATCTGGAGAGAGGTAGGGACAGAGTTAGAAGGCCCGATCCTAAGGCACCCCACCAGCCGGGCATGGTGGGCGGCTCACATCTATAATTCCAGCACTTTGGGAGGCCGAGGTGGGAGGATTGCTTGAGTCCAGGAGTTTAAAACTAACCTGGGCAACATTGTGAAACCCCAGCTCCACAAAAACTGCAAAATTAGCCAGGTGTGGGGAGGCATGCCTGTAGTCCAGCTACTGGGAGGCTGAGGTGGGAGAATCGCATGAGCCCGGGAGGCAGAAGTTGCATTGAGCCGAGATGGTACCACTGCACTCCAGCCTTGGTGACAGAGTGAGACCTTCTCTCAAGAAAAAAAAAAAAAAGAAGAAGGGGCAGGGCGCCGGGGCTCACGCCTGTAATCCCAACACTTTGGGAAGCTGAGGCAGGTGGATCACTTGAGGTCAGGAGTTCAAGACCAGCCTGGCCAACATGGTGAAACCCCGTCTCTACTAAAAATACAAACATTAGCCAGGCGTGGTGGTGAGTGCCTGTAATCCCAGCTACTCAAGAGGCTAAGGCAGGAGAATTGCTTGAACCCGGGAGGCAAAGGTTGCAGTGAGCGGAGATCACACCACTGTACTCCAGCCTGGGCAACAAAGCAAGACTCCATCTCAAAATAAATAAATAAATAAGAAGGGACCCAGCCCCAACTGTGACCCAAAGCAAGACAAGCCCTCCTCTGCCCACCTGCTATCAGAGAGTCCACCTTCCCCACTTCCCTCTTAGCTCCATCCTAGCATCTTAGCTCTCCCTGGTGGTCTCTGTCAGTTTTAAGAATCTTAGCCTGGTCTCTCCGATTAGATGGTTAGCTCCCTGCAGGCAAGGACAATCTCAGGGATGTCCATATCTCCTGCACGATGCTGGCCACACAGCAGAAGCTCCAGAAAGCCAAGGTAATGGCTCAGTCTGCCCCTCTGCTGGAGAGGACCTTCTCCCTCATGATCCCACACTCCCAGACCCTGTAAACCCGCAGCACTGCCCAGATCGGACAGAGCACAGACCGGCCCCGAAGACATCAAGCACAGACTCCACCAGCCCCAGGAGGGAGACGGCACAGCCACAGACGTTAGCCAGGTAGAACATGAGCCCAATGCTGCCCCCGACCTCGGGCCCCAGTGTGCGGCTGATCATGACTGAAAGTGGAAGCAGGGGTGAGCATTAAGGGAAAAGACTGAAATGGACGTGAGGAAGTTGCCATAGCTCCAAGCACTGAACCCAAGTGCAGCCAGGCCCCAGCCATGTGGCTTTGCCCAAGTCACTCATATCCTCTGAGTGCCAGTTTCTGCATCTGTAAAACAATCACTGCCTAACAGATGAGATTGTTGGACTAGAAATTGGCATCAACGTGCAGGGCAATGTTGATCTCCTTCACTATACCAGCCTGCCTGCTGCACATTTATTAAAACTTGCCCTGCCAGGCCAGGCACAGTGGCTGACGCCTGTAATCCTAGCATTTTGGGAGGCTGAGGCAGGAGGATCACTTGAGGCCAGGAATTCAAGACCAGCCTGGGAAACATAGCAAGATTCCATCTCTACAAATATTTAAAAATTAAACAGGGGTGGTGGTACATGCCTATAGTGCTGGCTACTCAGGAGGCTGAGATAGGAGGATCACTTGAGCCCAGGAAGTCGAGATCACAGTGAGCTATGATGGCGCCACTGCACTGCAGCCTGGGAGTCAGAGTCTTGCTCTGTTGCCCAGGTTGGAGTGCAGTGATGCGATCTTGGCACGCTGCAACCTCCACCTCCCAGGTTCAAGCGATTCTCGTGCCTCAGCCTCCCGAGTAGCTGGAATCACAGGCGGGTGCCATCATGCCCAGCTAATTTTTGTAATTTTAGTGGAGTCGGGGTTTCACTATGTTGGCCAGGCTGGTCTTGAACTCCTGGCCTCAAGTGATCCACCCACCTCAGCCTCCCAAAGTGCTGGGATTACAGATGTGAGCCACCGCACCCAGCCTAAAAAAATTTTAAGAATGAAAAAAACACTTGTCTTGCCCCTGAGCCAACAAAGGTAATGGCCCCTTCCACACCCTCCCTAGCAGGCAGAACAGGCCAGACCCCAGTCCATCGATGTTGGAGGATACAGTAGGCTCCGCCCCCCTGCACGGCTCCATTGGTGGCGATGGCACAGACAGAGAGGACGGTGAGTGCCAGGATGAAGTAGGCAACCAGCAGCATGGCCAGGGCCTGCAGTAGCCCAGCATGACCCACCACGAACCCTGAGGCAGGAGCAGCAAATCAGGTCACAGGGGACTCACACCCCATATCCCCCACCCCCTGGTTCTGCAGAGCTCCAGGGTGGAGCTAAATGCAAGCCCACAGAGAGCCCCTCCCCAAACCCTTCAGCCAACCGCTTCTCTTGGGTCCCCTTCCTAATCTTATCCCAGTCCCATCTCCACCCCTCCCCATCATGTCCTCCCATACTATAGTCAGTCCACACCCGCCCCAGGACCCACTCACCAATCCTCAGAAAAACAACTATGCTGAACATGGACAGGACAGTGGGCACCACCACACCCAGGAAGGTGGACAGCTTCCGGGCAGACGCCCCTCCAGGACCCCCGGCCCCATTGGCAGGGAGGGCAACCCCCTCCTCCCCCAGGAGCCGGTAGGCCAGCAGAGGTGAGCTCTCGCTGGCCATGGCTGAGCACAGGTAGAGGAAGCCACAAATGGGTTAGGTGACCTGCAAAGGAGATTATGTTGCATCAAAAGCTCCCCCACAGAGCTCGCCCACCCCCAAAGACCACTAATCAAACACCCTGAAGCCTCCCCAAAAGACAGAGCTGCTCTCTACTAAAAATACAAAAATTGGCCAGGCTCGGTGGTTCATGCCTGTAATCCCAGCACTTTGGGAGGACGAGGCAGGTGGATCACCTGAGGTCAGGAGTTCGAGACCACCCTGGTCAACATGGTGAAACCCCGTCTCTACTAAAAATACAAAAAGTAGCTGGGCATGGTGGCTCATGCCTGTAGTCCCAGCTACTTGGGAGGCTGAGGCAGGAGAATCCCTTGAACCCAGGAGGCAGAGGTTGCAGTGAGCCGACATCACACCACTGCACTCCAGCCTGGGTGACAGAGTGAGACTCCGTCTCACAAGAAAAAAAAAAAAATTAGCCAAGCGTGAAGGTGCATGCCTGTAATCACAGCTACTTGGGAGGCTGAGACACGAGAATCGCTTGAGTCCTGGAGGCGTAGGGCTGCAGCGAGCCGAGATCATGCCACTGCACTCCAGCCTGGGTGACAGAGCGAGACCCTGTGTCAATAAAAAAAAAAAAAGAGACAACCGCAAGGAAACAGGAACGCACCCACACCCTGCTTACCGGCAACTCAAAAAAGTCCGTGGGCTGCAAATGGTACCAGCCACTGCCCCACAAAAAAGTGGTACCCCAAACCTGTCAGCAGGGGTTTCAAGGCCCCTCCCGGCTCCTGGGGGCCACCCCTTCCCTTATGTTCCTGAGACTAGGGATGGCACCGGTTCTGGAAAGGGGCAAAGGTTCTCTGACGGCACAGGCTTCTCCAGCCTCTCCTTCCTTAACTAGCAATGCAAGAGGAACCAAATCTCCCAAAAGGGAAGTAAGTTACGGGCAGGAGAGCCTTCCCCATCCTCTCCTTCGGTGTCCTGAGCTGCCCCTACCAAGCCCCCCAATGCAATCACCGCACCCACAGGTAACAAGAAACTTCCAACTCTTTCAAAACCCCACCCTCCGTCAATCCTCTCCCTCAACCCATCTCAAACCCCCTCCTCCTCGCCTTAGCCTCCCCGATTCCTCCCATCCACACGAGGCACCCCTCCCCACAAACTCTACCAACCCAAACACACCCTAGCGAAACAGAAACACAGACCGGCTCCCACCGAGCGACACAAGGTCCCCGGGTCCTCCTCCTCCCCCAATCCGGGCTCCTGCCCCTTTGCGCCCGTTGGGGTGCAAGGGAGCCAAGATATCCTTCTCCCCGGCCAGGTGCACCCCACAGCTCGGGGGCCGCGAGGCGCTCACTCACCCACCCGCAGGACGCAGCGCTCGGGGGCGATCCCCGCGAGCCGGGGGGCTCCGCTCGGGCGGAGAGTGCACGGGGGCCGGAAAAGACAGCTGCGGCTACCGGGATGCCAGGCCTGGAGCCTGTCCCCACCCCCACCAGCACGCGCGCGCTATTGGTCCCCGTCCTCGGCCCCGCCCCATGGCGCGCCCGGAGAAGCCCGACCCTCTCTGCTCTTCCCCAGCCTGCGCTGCTCCAGCTCCACGTGCGCCCGGGGATGCAATGCAGCCCTGCAGACAAGCGTCTCCGGCAGGACGTGGGCCGCGGGTCTCGGAGCCTCCTTCACTTAGGTACAAACAATCGTCGCCGCAGGGGCCGGACCCCAGTCCGAGCTCCGAGGTGCGGTGAGCAGCCACCCCACTAAAGGGGGCGTGTGAGGATGGCGGAAAGCGGCAGGGAGGTGGGCGGGGCTGCAACACCTGGGCCAGGTGCGTCACGGGAAATCCGGCCCACTTCGTTCAGGGACTTCTGGAGTTCTAGTCCTCCAACCTCTCAAAACCCTAGAACCTCCACCGGGTCCCAGCCTCGCCCCTCACCCGCTGCGGGGATCCTCCCTTCGCGCCCGATCCAGCTGCGCTCTTCGCTTCCGCCACCGGAGGGAGCCATTGGCCGCCGATCTGGGCCCAGGGTCGCTTTGCACCGTCTGATGCCCGCTTTCTTGCCTCCCTGCAGTGTTCTCACTTCCAGCAGAAATCCTAGAGCCTATGAACTCTACTGAGAGCTGAGACTCCTTCTTCACTCTTTACAGATCCCATGAACAGCAGTACCACCTGCCAACGCGTCCTCATATGTAAAATGGGCATAAACTCGAACCTCCCTCCTAAGGCTGTGAGTTCAGTGAGCATTTAATGGGCACTTTAGAACAACGCCTAAAGGTTTGATAAATTATCCCTTGCAAATAGCACTGCATTAAATTAGCCACTCTGTGAGGTAGGTACCGCTATTTCAATTTTTCAGATTAGGAAATTGGAGCTTGGAAAGTTTCAGATACATTTCCTTTTTTTTTTTTTTTTTTTTTTGATCCAGGAACTATTACACAGGCTGGAGTGCAGTGGCGCGATCTCGTGTCACTACAACCTCTGCATTTCCGGCTCAAGCATCCTCCTGCCTCAGCCTCCGCAGTGCCTGGAACTACACAGGCACACACCACGCCTGGCTAATTTTTAAATATTTTGTAGAGACCGGGTTTCGCCATGTTGCCCAGGCCTCTCTGGAACTCCTGAACTCAAGCATGCGCCTGCAGTCCCAGCTACTTAGGAGGCTGAGGCAGGAGGATCGCTTGAACCTGGGAGGCAGAGGTTGCAGTGAGCTGAGATCGCACCACTGCACTCCAGCCAGGGCAACAGAACGAGACTCTGTCTCAAAAAAAAAAAAAAAACTTTTTCAGGGTCAGTTAGTTATAAGCACTCCCTTGGCATACCCTGGCCTGTCCGTCACTGAACTCTGCTTCCATAAATCTCAACCTCCACCTTACCTTGTTAGTCTGTGGTTTTGCCTTGGACCTTGTCTTCATCAATGACTGCAGCCCCTCCTCTTCAGTTCACCTCTTCTACTGCGCTTATTAAAGAAAAAAATCTGACTCTTGTTAAAACAGTAAGTCAGACTTTATTCAGGACTATTTTGATTGGCACCAAGAAGGTGGCAAGGAGCTGGGTGCAGTGGGTCACGCCTGTAATCTCAGGACTTTGGAAGGCTGAGGCAGGAGGATCACTTGAGCCCAAGAGCTCCAGACCAGCCTGGGCAATAAAGTGGGACCTCATCTCTACAAAATTTTTTTTAAAAATTGGGCCAGGCACGGTGGCTCACGCCTGTAATCCCAGCACTTTGGGAGGCCGAGGTGGGTGGATCACGAGGTCAGGAGATTGTGACCATCCTGGCCAACATGGTGATACCCCATCTCTACTAAAAATACAAAAATTAGTTGGGCGTGGTGGCACGCACCTGTAATCCCAGCTACTTGGGAGGCTGAGGCAGGAGAATAGCTTGAACACGGGAGGCGGAGGTTGTGGTGAGCTGAGATCTCGCCATTACACTCCAGCCTGGGCAACAAGAGCAAAACTCCATCTCAAAAAAAAAAAAAAGAAGAAGAAGAAGAAAAGAAAATTAACCAGGCATGGTGGTGCACGCCTGTTGTCTCAGCTACTCAGGAGGCTGAAACTGGAAGATCCCATGAGCCAAGGAGGTTGAGTGAGCTATGATAGTGCCAGTGCACTCCAGCCTGGGTGACAGAGTGAGACCCTGTCTCAAACAACAAAAAAGACTGTGGCAAGGTGTAGTAGCTTGCACCTGTAATCCCAGTACTTTGGGAGGCTGAGGCAGAAGGGTCATTTGAGGCCAGGAGTTCAAGACCAGCCTGGGCAACACAGAAGACACTGTCTCTAATTTTTTTTTAAAATCAGCTGGGCATGGTGGCCCATACCTGTAGTCCCAGCTACTCAGGAGGCTGAGGTGGGAGGATGGAGGCTGTGGTGAGCTATGATCCTATGGCTGCACACCCATCTGGGTGATAGAGCAAGACCTTATCTCAATAAAAAAAAAAAAAAAGAAAGAAAGAAAAGGAAGGAAGGAATGAAGGAAGGAAAGAAGGGAGGGAGGGAGGGAAGGAAAGAAGGGAGGGAGGGAAAAGAAGGAGGCTGGGCATTGTGGCTCACGCCTGTAATCCCAGCACTTTGGGAGGCCAAGGCAGGCAGATCACTTAAGGTCAGGAGTTCAAGACCAGCCTGGCCAAAATGGGGAAACCCTGTCTCTACTAAAAATACAAAAATTAGCCGGGCGTGGTGGCAGGCAACCGTAGTCCCAGCCACTCGGGAGGCTGACGTGGGAGAATCACTTGAACCTGGGATGCAGAGGTTGCAGTGAGCCAAGATCACACCATTGTACTCCAGCCTGGGTGACAGAGCGAGACTCTGACTCAAAAAAAAAAAAGGGAAGGGAAGATGTTGGGGAGAGAGAGAAGGGGCACAGTAGAAAGAGGGTAGGATGGATGAACTCGGGATCCAGTGAGGTAGAGAACTGTTGGGCTCAGGCCTGACAGAGACTTTCTCCTTGACTAAATTTTAGTCTTCTCTGGGTCCTCTTTTTTTTTTTTTAGACAGAGTCTCCGTCTGTTGCCCAAGGCTGTAGGGCAGTGGCGCGATCTCAGCTCACTGCACCCTCCGCATCCCAGGTTCAACTGATTCTCCTGCCTCAGCCTTGGAGTAGCTGGGATGACAGGTGTCTGCCACCATGCCTGGCTAGTTTTTGTATTTTTAGCAGAGACAGGGTTTCACCATGTTCTCCAGGCTGGTCTCAAACTGCTGCCCTCAGTTGATCCACCCACCTCAGCCTCCCAAAGTGCTGGGATTACAGGTGTGAGCCACCGCACCCGCCCTGGGTCCTCTTCTTGACTGGGTCTCAATGTTGTGTTCCACTCCCTCCACATCCCACTGCCTTGCCAGGCCTGCCTAGCCCAGTTTAGAGTGAATCTGGGAGGTTGAGGGTGCAGTGAGCTGTGATCGCACCACTGCACTCCAACCTGGTTGACAGAGCAAGACCCCACTTAAAAAAGACATTTAAGCTAGGTAAGAAGGGAAGTGAAGGCTGGGCACGGTGGCTCACACCTGTAATCCCAGCACTTTGGGAGGCCGAAGCAGGAGGATCACTTGAGGTCAGGAGTTCAAGACCAGCCTGGCCATCATGGTGAAACCCCATCTCTACTAAAAATACAAAAATTAGCTGGGCCTGGTGGTACACGCCTGTAATTCCAGCTACTCGGGAGGTTCAGGCACTCCCACCTAGGCGACAGAGCAAGAGTCCATCTCAAAAAAAAAAAAACAAAAAACTAACCAAACAAAAAAACTCTCCTTATATTAGTTGTCTATCCTAGCTCTTTCTTTCTTTCTTTCTTTCTTTCTTTTCTTTCTTTCTTTCCTTTTTTTTGAGATGGAGTCTAGCTCTGTCACCCAGGCTGGAGTGCAGTGGCACGATCTCGGCTCACTGCAAGCTCTGCCTCCCAGGTTGAAGCGATTCTCCTGCCTCAGCCTCCCAAGTAGCTGGGACTACAGGCTCCCGCCACCACGCACGGCTAATTTTTTGTATTTTTAGTGGAGACGGGGTTTCACCGTGTTAGCCAGAATGGTCTCGATCTCCTGACCTCGTGATCCGCCCGCCTTGGCCTCCCAAAGTGCTGGAATTACAGGCGTGAACCACTGCGCCCAACCTCTTTTCAACATTTATACCCAGTCCCTTCACGATCTCATCCAGTCTCATAGTTCTATTTTTTCTGTATTTATTTATTATTTATTTATTTATTTATTTATTTATTTTTGAGACTTGGTCTCACTCTGTCGCCTAGGCTGGAGTACAGTGGCACCATCATAGCTCACAGCAACCTCTATCTCCCAGGCTCAAGCAATCCTCCTGCCTCAGCCTCCTGAGTAGCTATAGGCACATGCACCCATGCCTGGCTAATTTTTTATATTTTGTAGAGACAGGTTCTCACTATGTTGCCCAGGCTGGTCTTGAACTGTTGGGCTCAAGTAATCTTCCCACCTCAGCCTCCCAAAATGCTGGGATTACAGACATGAGCCACCGCACCCGGCCCAATCTGTTTTAATACCATCTATATGATAGTGCCTCCAAGGGTGTACCTCTAGCCCAGACCTCTACTCTGAACTTCAGGCTGTATAGCCAACAATCTACTACCATCTTTTTCTATTTTTTTTTTTTTTTTTTTTTTTTTGAGATGGAGTCACTCTGTCGCCCAGGCTGCAGTGCAGTGGTGAGAGCTCTGCTCACTGCAACTTCCACCTCCCGGGTTCAAGCGATTCTCCTGCCTCCGCCTCTCAAGTAGCTGGGATTACAGGCACGTGCCACCATGCCTGGCTCATTTTTGTATTTTTAGTAGTGATGGGGTTTCGCCATGTTGGCCAGGCTGGTCTTGAACTCCTGACCTCACGTGATCCGCCCACCTTGGCCTCCCACAGTGTTAGGATTACAGGCGTGAGCCATGGCACCCGGCTCTACTACCATCTCTGCTTGGACATCAAATGGGCAACTCAAGCTTGGTATGTCCAAAACTAAATACTCAAACTCCCACCACCTGCTCCTCCTGTGGTCCTCTCAGGCCGGAAACCTGGGGTTACACCGGAATACTCTCACATCCAACATCCACACCATAGACAATTCCTTTGGCCTCCACTTTCAAGTTATAACCAGTCTGCAACCACATTTTACCACCCAAGTCCAAGCCACCATCACCTCTTCCGCTTTCACAATAGCCTCCTAACTGGTTTTCCCACTTCTGCACTTGTCCCAAAATCTATTCTCAGCTGAGCAGCTAGAGGGGTGCTGTTTAGGTAAACATCCATTCCCGATGGGTGCCACCTTTCATAATTCTCCAATGACATGCCTTTCTCCTCAAAGCAAAAGCCAAAGGCCACATCTGTAAATATGATGGCCTGACTCACCAACTACAGTCCTGCTGTATGCCTGATGCCTTGACTTCAATATTAACAGCATCTCCCGGCTGGGCGCGGTGGCTCACGCCTGTACTCCCACCATTTGGGGAGGCCAAGGCGGGTGGATCACTTGAGGTCAGGCGTTTAGGACCAGCCTGGCCAACATTGTATTTCCATTAATGTAGCAGGACGAGCCGCAGACAAAACTCCTCAGACACTGAGTTAAAGAAGGAAGGGGTTTATTCGGCCGGGGGCATCGGCAAGACTCTTGTCTCAAGAGCCAAGCTCCTCGAGTGAGCAATTCCTGTCTTTTTTAAGGGCTCACAACTCTCAGGGGGCGCGCAAGAGAGGGTCTTGATCGATTGAGCAAGCAGGGGGTACGTGACTGGGGGCTGCATGCACCGGTAATTAGATTGGAAGAAAACAGGACAGGGATTTTCACAGTGCTTTTCTATACAATGTCTATAATCTATAGATAACATAACCGATTAGGTCAGGGGTCGATCTTTAACTACTAGGCCTAGGGTGTGGCACCAGGCTGTCTGCTTGTGGATTTTATTTCTGCCTTTTAGTTTTTACTTTTTCTTTCTTTGGAGGCAGAAATTGGGCATAAGACAATATGAGGGGCGGTCTCTTCCTTTATTCCTCCCCTTTGAGACTCACTCAATAGTGGAAGTTCTCACTTTCATTCTCACTACCCATGTCTTCTTGCACGACAGATCGATAGTGATTCATATAGTACACTTGTGCTGAAGCATTTTGGTGAACTAAGGTAGCGATGAAGCTTTTTTTTTTTTTTGAGACGGAGTCTCACTTTGTCGCCCAGGCTAGAGTGCAGTGGCGCGATCTCGGCTCACTGCCAGCTCCGCCTCCTGGGTTCATGCCATTCTCCTGCCTCAGCCTCCCGAGTAACTGGGACTACAGGCGCCCGCCACCACGCCCGGCTCATTTTTTTGTATTTTTAGTAGAGACAGGGTTTCACCGTGTTAGCCAGGATGGTCTCCATCTCCTGACCTCGTGATCCACCCGCCTCGGCCTCCCAAAGTGCTGGGATTACAGGCGTGAGCCACCGCGCCCGGCCTGCAATGAAGCTTTTTATCATTTGAAGAAGTACAGGTAGCAAACAAAGGAGCAGTAAGCAGGTTCCTATTACTATTATAACTCTTATTATAAGACTTTTAAATTCTCTTAGCACTGGGAACCATTTTCTAAACATGGCCTCAGGATCAAATCCATGCCACACTTGCCTAGGCACATGTGCCAGTTTTGTCATATCTCTATGTCTTCAACTACTTGCCTTTGATTATCTATGTGTAGGCAGCAATTAGTAAGGTTAAATTTCTTACAGACCTCTCCTTCAGCTGCTAGCAAGTAGTCGAGAGCTAATCTATTTTGATAGAGAGCATTTCTCATCTGAGTTTCTTGCCGGCCTAGAATAGTCAAGGCTCTGCTGGTTTTATTAGTGATTATTTTTAAGACAGCTTGTAACCATATGATTCAGTTGATTATATAAATGGGGGTCCAGTATCTTCACGAGCCGTCTTGTGTCTAAGTAGCAGGCCTATAATATTGTATGATTCTCTCAGAGGGCCATTTATCATTTTTTGAATTTCCTATGGCTATGCTTCTCTTTTCACGGGAAGCATAGACAGGGAAGCCTAGGAGTTGGCCTGTTTTTATGGGCAGTAGGAAGAAAGATGGTTTAATAGTGCCAATAGGCCGGGCGTGGTGGCCCACGCCTATAATCCCAGCACTTTGGGAGGCCGAGGCGGGTGGATCACAAGGGCAGGAGATCGAGACCATCCTGGCTTACATGGTGAAACCCCGTCTCTACTAAAAATACAAAAAATTAGCCGGGCATGGTGGCGGGCTCCTGTAGTCCCAGCTACTCGGGAGGCTGAGGCAGGAGAATGGCGTGAACCCGGGAGGTAGAGTTTGCAGTGAGCCGAGATTGCTCCACTGCACTCCAGCCTGGGCGACAGAGCAAGACTCCGTCTCAAAAAAATAAATAAATAAATAAAATAAAATAGCGCCAATAACACAACTACTTGTCTGCTGGTCAGGCAGCCTAGCGTAGGCTCTATGTCCACATATCTAGTATAGCCTAGTGGGGGCCGTCCAGTCCTGGTGGGATTCTGGGTGGGCCTAAACGGTCCGCAACTTTGGAAATTTAGTGAATGGATTTTTCTCTGTGTGGTTTGAAGTCCACCATGCAGTCTTCCTACAGGAAGGATGAAGTCCTTCTCCACTTTTGCTATACAGTATTGTCCAATGATTGAGGCTTTTAGGACCTAGAAGTGATCAGGGTGATTTTTTTGTGCCAGGAATTCATCAGGAACTGGGTATGTAGGTACCAATTCTCGGGCTTCCCATGGCCATTGATCTCCTATTACAGCTCCTCCACATATATAACAGGAAGTGACATTGAGAGACTGGGCTGCACGCTCGGCTAATTGCAAAAACAAATTTCTTGTTTTTCCTGGAATTTCTGGTACTGGCACTTTTAGTTTATCATAGAAGTTTTGAAATACTGGCTCAGGAGAGCGTTTATAAACTTCTCCTCGAACTAAGATATTTACTCGAGGATCCAGTCCAGCCCCGTTGATTCCTAAGGTCACACGCTCCTCTTTTTTCTAGCGAGGATCAAGGGGATTGGTTATTACTAGCTCTAAAGGGTTACATTGTCCTTTAGTACAGGAAGGGCCATTTTTTCCTTTCTGAAGGTGGACTGGGTCCTTTTTATTTTTTTTTAATTTAAGTGGCTTAAATGACACAAGACCAGTATTTACATTTATTTCCACACAGTCCTAATTTATGACAGATGTACTTATTTTCTGCCATATAGCCTCTTTTCTAATTAAGAGAACTACACCTTATTCCCAACTTATTACTATTAATGATAGCACAGGCATCAAATTTTAACGTGACTTGTTTGGGCACCTCTTTTTCTTCTGTTTTGGTTAACACTTTACTCATATCGTTTGTGAGCCCCCACCAGTCTTCATTCTTAATCTTATTTTAAAAACTGTGGTCATGGGAGGCTCAGGTGGGTCATAACGCACATCAGGTTGGTCATTTCCTGGGCTACATACCTTGTACAGAATAACATTATACAAACAAGGCTTTTTTAGAGTTCTAGTACACTTATAATAACTGTAAAATAATAGGACCATAGCAACCTTTTGTCCTACCTCAGTGACTTGATGTATATACTGGGAACAGTCCTCAGTCTGAGGAAGGTCAGTTGAAGTCCTTACTGTAAAATTCCAAATTTTAAGGCAAATGAGTCCTGCGATGAGTTTTCTCATGCTTCGGCCATGCGTGGACCAGTCAGCTTCCGGGTGTGACTGGAGCAGGGCTTGTCATCTTCTTCAGAGTCACTTTGCAGGGGCTGGCGAAGCTGCTTCCGTCCACATACTGCTCACAGTCTACTGATGTTTAAGGATGGTTTCGGAGGTTGGGCCTGCTAGGATAAACTGAGTCTAACACCCCTATACAGTTATGTTCAACTGGGCTTTCTGATACTGGCAGCAAGGTGGTGGGGTTTAGGGTGTTGCAAACTTCAATGGTTATGTGGGGATTTTCACATAGCAAGCTTTGGTACTTGGTTAATCTAGCATTTGTAACCAATGAGGTCCTTTGGTAGTCATTCAAGTTACCACAGCATGGGGGGACTTTATATTCAGGTTTTGCCTAAGGGTTAGTTTATCTGCTTCTTGTGCTAACAGGGCCATTGCTGCTAGGGCCCTTAAACCTGGGGGCCAGCCTTTGGAAACCTTGTCTAGTTGTTTTGAGAGATAGGCCACTGGCCTTGCCCAGGGCCCTACAGTCTGGGTTAAAACTCTAACTGCCTTTTTTTCTCTTTCTGACACGTAGGGTGTAAAGGGTTCAGGTAGCCTCAGGGCTGGGGCCGACATGAGTTTTTCTTTTAACTCATGAAAAGCTCATTGCTGTTGGTTGTAATAGATGTAGTTTATCTAATCTACATTTTTATTAACTGTCACTCACCAAAATATTGACTCAAATCCTGCAGCTATTTGATTTCAAGCTTTAAATTGATCTGGTATTCCTCATGGGACTCCAATTGCGTCTAAATAGACATGAGAGTCAAAAGACCCATAAGGGGCTTCTCTCGCTTTACAATGTCTTATTTTTTCTCCCTCTGGTTGATGAAATGCCAGGGTGAAAGGGATAGCCAATTGGACTAAAGTACAAGTGCCACTCCAGTTATTCGGCAGAGTGCCTAGTAAAGGTCCACCAAAATACCACCACACATCCGCTCAGGGATGAACAAGGGCTGACTGATTAATAAGCTCTTGAAAATTCTTAAGCTCATCGCATCCCTTCAGGTCTCCAAGGAATGCTAAGTTTCCTCCCTGTAGTGAGAGATACGAAGTGAACTTAGTGTTGGGAGACGGAAGCTGGATGGCCCTCAGGGGCTGACCCGCAGGGTGCCAGACTTAGGGATACAGCAGAGAGAGCTTGGCATGACTTATTACTCCAGGCTGTAGAATCCTGGAAAAGAGCTACCATGCAACCTACACCTGGTCGACTGGAGGACCACCTTAGTGGAAGGGGGACAGTCTGGGCCTCTGGCCTGCCATGTGCACAAGCATAACAATTGCTTTTGTTTAATGTGCAGATGGAATATTTGATCCATTTTAACTAGGCATTTGCATGTTGGTATCCTGTCTTAATTGCTAAAATTTGTTTTAAGTCTTTAACTTCTATGATCCTCTAGTAAAATTAATGTATGATTTTAGGAAATTATAAAAACCGGTTGGGGCAGTCCATCTTTGCTCTTTAATGGTCCACAGAACATTGGACCAACTATGGCATGAAAGCTCTACGTCGGGGGCAAGACTCTTCGTTGGCACTGGGGTCTTTATCGAAATCTCCCTGGATTAAATGGTCCTAGTTTACTAATGCCCAGTCTGAGGAGAGTCAGGAGAGACAGAAGTGCTTTTCTGAAGTAGAGAGCTGTCTTTGACTTGGCAAGTCCTCACAGGGTATAACAAAGCAATCATTAAATGCAATAGTTTGAGGAGAAATTGACTTGGTTATGTTAATAACTAGATGGTCAGCAATAGAATGAGGAAAGAAGAAAGAGTAATAGAATAGATGAAAAGAGTTAAGTTTTTCTTAGCTTTAGTTTGATAGGGTTTTCCTTTGGGACTATGGCCTACAACTCTGGAGGGGGTGGCACTTTCTTGACTCGGATGTGATGAGTCCATTCTTTTTTTTTTTTTCTGTACGAACAGCAGTCTTGGTGGTTAGCAGCACAAGGCAGGGTCCTTCCCAGGCTGGCTTGAGTTTTTCTTCCACAGTTTGATGAGAATATGATCTTCAGGCTGGTGCTGGTTTACCGGAAATTCTAGGGGTGGTACATGTGCTAAAAGACTTTTAGTTTTTGAGAGAAAGGAAAGTGGAAGGTAAACCAAGTATATGATTTTTAAGAAAATGTCTTTTTGTTTTAAATGTGGGGACCTTGGCCGTGGACTTTATAGTCCTTAGTGCCTTTTTACTGAGAAATTTCCTTTAGCACCTATTTTTATTAGTTTTTAAACTAAAGAAAGCCAAATTTTTTTTACATTTAACAATGCTTCTCGTATGATTTTCATACCAGATAAGCTAAATTTTATCTTTATATTCGTGTGTTATGAATGTTAAACCTAATTTTAATAAAACTTTATAGACATATTTATCTAATTTTTAATGTTTGACCATAAGGTAAGATTTTATAGACTCTTTTTAACTTTTTATAATTTTTGCTAAAGAGCAGGTTGGTGCTTTAAGAAAAACCTGTTATGCTTTTACTTTAATGTCCAGTTCACAGAAAAACTGGATGATACTTCTTTAACTTTAGCTAATATGTTTACATACAGAATTTTCTTTACAATTAACATTTTAAAACTTGCTTAAACTTTTAAAACAATAATTTGTTTTAACTTTTTAACATAGGTAAAAATGTACATTCTTATGCCTCCTTACCAAAGGTATATTTTACTTTTCTTATACACCTTGCACATAAACTGGTTTGTTTTTTTTTTTAAATAGTTTTACATTCAGGAGGCCTAGTTACTTTTAAATTATACTACATTTTTGCATAAATTCTTTTTTATAACTTTTTTTCTTTCATGGTTTTCGCAGACAATTCTTCGATATTCTTCAACTTTTTGACTTATTACAAATATTTCTTTCTTTAAACCAGTTAATTTATTTCAGGACAACAATTTACTATATAATACTCTTTTTATATAAATTCCACCCCCTAAGGAAAAAAAATTCTTTTTTCCTTAGGATACTTCTGAACTGGTGAGGTGTGCTCACAATGAGGTTTCCTCTAAAAGTTTTTTTTTTTTACTTTTTTTTTGTTGTTAGCAAAGCAGTTGCCGCTACAGACTGAATGCATTTGGGCCATCCGCGGGTCACTGGGTTAAGGATTTTTGATAGGAAGGCCTCAGTGCTTTCGGATACGGCTTTGTTTACACTGACAACAAAGTGGTATTGGAGTGTTACAGGGTTACGGAGAATACCTTCAATTATCAATTATAGGTTTTAAATTTACCTTGGCTTTTAAAGGAATAGGGTACACCTTTTTTTTTTCTTAACTGCTTGTATATCTCTCTTTCTTTCTTTCTTTGACTTTGTCTCTCTTTGACTTTCTTTTTGCCTCTGTCTCTTCTCTCTCTCTGCATTTCTTTCTCTCTGTCTTTCTCTCTCTCCTTGACTCCCTCTCTGTCTGTCTTTTCCTCTCTGTCTCTTCCTCTCTGTCTCTTTCCTTTCTCTCTTTCTGCTGGTCTTTCTTTGCCTCTGCCAGCCACTTATGCTGCTGTTCTCAACCGCTGTGTGTTGGGGGCGGGGGGTCTAAAACTAGCTGTAACCAAGTGTCTATGTACGGGAACTGGTCTGGGTTCCCTGGCTTACAGGTTACTTTGTGCCATACCTTTGAAACAAGGGACCTGTCCAGGCTTTTTTCTAATGGCCAACCTACCTCTAATGCTGGCCAGTCTATCTTACACAAAGTTTTAAGTTTTCCTCGTGTCATAGTACTCTATAGTCTCCTTTAAATTCTTTTTTGAAATTTTTCAACATAGTTCCTAGCAGGGTGGGCTTATTTGTGCCTGACCTATGCTTCTTCGACACAAAACACCACACTCACACCACACGCACACCACAAAACAAAGAACAGGTAAAAAGGGCACACACACACTTTCGCAGTTTGCACCAAACTAAAATCAAAACTAAAATCAGAGTATCTAGAAATCTAAGTTAGGTCAAAACCAAAACCAGAGTATTAAGCAATCTAAGTCAAGTCAAAAACAAAAACTAAAGTGCCGGTACAGGCACACCATGGGTGATCAGGCCACGCTTCCACTTAAATGCAGTGGGCAAGTTTCTTTTTTTTTTTTTTTTGAGACGGAGTCTCGCTCTGGTGGGGACTACAGGCACCCACCACCACGCCCAGCTAATTTTTTTGTATTTTTAGTAGAGAAGGGGTTTCACCGTGTTAGCCAGGATGGTCTCGATCTCCTGACCTCGTCATCCGCCCGCCTTGGCCTCCCAAAGTGCTGGGATTACAGGCCTGAGGCACCACACCTGGCCTGGAGTGGGCAAGTTTCAAAGACTAGTCTTACCAAGTTTTAGATGTCCAGACTCTAAGTGCCCGTTCCTTCCTGGTGTTCAGCCACTGTGTTGATCCTCCACAGGGGCCTGCCACACACTGCTCTGGCGAAGCGTCCTCCTGGGGCAAATGCCTACCAGGGAGCACTCTCAGGATCCGCGTCGCCCGGGCTAGTTAGAGTCGCCCGCAGGGATGTTCCACACGGCAGGCTTAAGCCGCCTAAGGAGCTGCCTCGACCATCCGCCATTCACCTCGCTTCCCCATCAGGGAACCAAGAAATGTAGCAGGACGAGGCGCAGAAAACTCCTCAGACACTGAGTTAAAGAAGGAAGGGGTTTATTCGGCCAGGGGCATCAGCAAGACTCCTGTCTCAAGAGCCGAGCTCCCTGAGTGAGCAATTCCTGTCTTTTTTTTTTTTGAGACGGAGTCTCACTCTGTCGCCCAGGCTGGAGTGCAGTGGCGTGATCTCGGCTCACTGCAGCTCTGCCTCCTGGGTTCACGCCATTCTCCTGCCTCAGCCTCCTGAGTAGCTGGGACTACAGGCGCCCGCCACCATGCCCAGCTAATTTTTTTGTATTTTTTAGTAGAGACAGGGTTTCACCGTGTTAGCCAGGATGGTCTCGATCTCCTGACCTCGTGATCCACCCGCCTCGGCCTCCCAAAGCGCTGGGATTACAGGTGTGAGCCACCGCGCCCGGCAATTCCTGTCTTTTTTTAAGGGCTCACAACTCTAAGGGGGTGCATGTGAGAGGGTCGTGATTGATTGAGCAAGCAGGGGTATGTGACTGGGGGCTGCATGCACCGGTAATTAGATCGGAACAAAACAGGATAAGCATTTTCACAGTGCCTTTCTATACAATGTCTGTAATTTACAGATAACATGGCTGATTAGGTCAGAGGTCGATCTTCAACTACTAGGCCTAAGTTATGGCACCGGGCTGTCTGCTTGTAGATTTTATTTCTGCCTTTTAGTTTTTACTTTTTCTTTCTTTAGAGGCAGAAATTAGGCATAAGACAATATGAAAGGTAGTCTCCTCCTTTACTAAAAATGCAAAAAAATTAGCCGGCGTGGTGCTACACACCTGTAATCCTAGGTACTGGGGAGGGTGAAGTGGGCAGATCGCTTGAGCCCCAGAGGCCAGGTCGCAGTGAGCCAAGATCGCGTCACTGTACACCAGCCTTGGTGACAGAGTGAGACTCTGTCTCAAAATAAATAAATAAATAATAGTATCTCCTCTGCTCAGAAGTGTCTCAGAATGCTAGGCATGGTGGCCCATGCCTGTAATGTGGCCTCTCCATCACCACATCTCTCTTCTCACCTCCTGCGCGTGCCCCACTAGGGCCTCTGGGCTGTTCCTCAGACAACTCCAGAACCTCTTTTAGGTCTTCTGGACTCAAATATTATCTTCCTAGTGAAATCTTCCCTGCGAATCCCATTTAAAATTGAACCACATGGCTGGGTGCTATACTCCCAATGCTTTGGAAGGTGGAGGCAGGAGGATCACTTGAGCCCAGGAGTGTGAGACCAGCCTGGGCAACATAGCAAGACTGTCTCCACAAAAAAATTTTACAACTTGAAATAGCCGGGTGCGGTGGCTCACGCCTGTAATCCCAGCACTTTGGGAGGCTGAGGCGGGCAGATCACGAGGTCAGGAGATCAAGACCATCCTGGCTAACATGGTGAAACCCTGTCTCTACTAAAAATACAAAAAAATTAGCCAGGCATGGTAGAGGGCGCCTGCAGTCCCAGCTACTTGGGAGGCTGAGGCAGGAGAATGGCGTGAACCCAGGAGGCTGAGCTTGCAGTGAGCGAAGATCACGCCACTGCACTCCAGCCTGGGCAACAGAGCAAGACTCTGTCTCAAAAAAAAAAAAAAAAAAAAAAAAAAATTGAAATAAATGTTTTAAAAATAAATAGATGAAATAAAATTGGCTCAGGTTTATAATCCCAACACTTTGGGAGGCCAAGTGTGGAGGATCACTTGAGGTCAAGAGTTCGAGGCTGCAATGAGGTATGACCTTGCCCATGCACTCAGCCTAGGCAACAGAGAGAGATCCTGTCTCAAAAAAAGAAAGGAAGTTAAGCTCCACGAAACAGGAGCTTCAGTTTTCTTCGCTGCTGCCCTGCGCCTGGAATAACCAAACATTCACTGTGGCTGCAGGAATCCTCCGGAATCCGCCCCACTGCACGCCAGCAGTCGGAGGCCTGGGGCGTGCTGCCCACGTGACTGACGGCCGGGAAGGAAAGATGGCGGCGACTATGATGGCTTCAGAGAGAGGGCAACCAACGAGAGGACGCCGCCCGCCAGAGCGTCCACACCGCCGCTTTTTCTGCGGTTGCGTCCTGGGAAGGCGCGAATTGTGTGGCTACGGGCGGGTCGTCCTCTCCACCATTTTTTAATGGAAAAAATAATAATTCTCAAAGACGGTTTGGTCTGACCTGCCTCCCCACCTCTTGGCATCCGCAGGATCGCAGGCGTGTAAAAGACGGGATTGTGGGACTGGGCCCAGTGACTCATGCCTGTAATCCCAGCGCTTTGCGGGGCCAAGGCCAGAGTATCTCTTGAGCCCAGGTGTTCGAGACCAGCCTGGGCAACATAGCGAGCCCCCATCTCTATTTTTAAAAATGGTGTATAGATATAGAGGAGATCGTGGGATTCAGTATCTGAGATTTTCTACCTTGGTGTCAACGCCCCTGTCAACCTATTAGGTGACCTCAGAGTGTTCCCCCAGCCCTCAATTCTAGGGATCCCAGATCCTGGAACACACACATGCCCCGTCTGCCCCTTCGGGACAAGGAGATCTAATGGCACTCTCAGAATTAGGCCTTAAATGCTAATTTCCTGGAGATCCGCCCACCTCACCCCCACCCTCCCCCACCCCATTCCTGCTGTAAACTCCCCAGGATTAAGTCTGGTGAATCTGCGCCCCCCTCCCCCAGGTCCCAGGGGCAGATGAGCCCTTGGGCACCGCCCCTCCAATTTCCTGCAGACCCAGCAAACAAAAGACTCTCGGGAAGAGAGGCGAGCTGAGCAGGGCGCCCTTCCTGCAAGAACAGCTGATGGGGCAAAACGGCCCAGGAGTGAGCCGAGGGGAGGGATGAAATTCCAGGGTTCCTGGAGGGCAGCAGTGCGAGGCTAGACCCCTGGATCCTGGGGAGGGAGGGTATCTGGGCAGCAGCTGGATGTGGAAGGCTCTGGCCAGACAGGTTGCTGGGCTGTGGCGCATGGGGTGATGTCAGCCTTAGGGAATGGAGCGGGGGGTGGGTTTTCTGAGGTTCAGGTGAGCTCTCTGGTCCCCAGGCTGGAAGAGTGGGGCCTGGGAGAGGGCTGAGGCCCTGCGTCATCTCCTCTGGGGCCCGGCCTACCTTCCCCTGGCCCGACCTGCTACCCTCGGTGCCGGCCCCACCCGGCCTGGCTTCCTGCTCCTCCCCACACACATCTTTCTGTGCCAAGCTTCCCTAACCAGCCCAAGAGCTTCTTGTCCCTTCCAGACCCCGGTATCCTGGCCTCCAGCCACAAATAGTCCTTCTTACTTTCCCTCCTAGAGCCAGCCTCCTGCCTGCCCCTGCTCCCATTCCCAGCCAGGACACAATAGTCAGGGAAGGGCCACAGTGCAGTCCAGTGGGTGCTGGGATGCTGCTGGCATGGGGGGGCTTGGCCTCATATCCTGCCAGGCTGTCAGGGGAAGAGAGGAAACAAAAGACTTCCCCCTGCTGGGACAATGAGCCTCCCACTACCTCTCCCCAACCCTCCCACTACCCTGTACCTTTCCACTCCACTCCCTGAACAGTCGTTCTTAGCTCTGGCCCCAGCCCCTTAGCCTCTCTCTCCTCCACCTCCATGCCCTTTGGCATCCCTGGCCTCTGCTACAAGCTCTGCCCTTCTCTCATTCTTATCAGCTCACTGATGCTCACTGCCATTTCTAGCTATTTCTCTCAGCCTCTTGCTATTCCAACAGCACTCAAGAGCCCTTCCTCTATCCCCAGCACTAGGGAGGGGAGCAGGATGGGAAAGTCTGCATGAAATGTTAAAGGGTCAATCACACTCTTTTGTGTATGTGTGTTTTTGTTTTTTTGTTGTTTTTTTTTTTGAGACGGAGTCTTGCTCTGTCACCCAGGCTGGAGTGCAGTGGTGCAATCTCAGCTCACTGCAACCTCTGCCTCCCGGGTTCAAGCGATTCTCCTGCCTCAGCCTCCCAAGTAGCTGGGACTACAGGCGCGTACCACCACACCCAGCTAATTTTTGTATTTTTAGTAGAGACGGGGTTTCACCATGTTGGCCAGGATGGTCTCGATCTCTTGACCTCGGGATCTGCCCACCTCGGCTTCCCAAAGTGCTGGGATTACAGGCATGAGCGACCGCGCCCGGCATTTTTTTTTTTTTTAAAGACAGAGCCTCGCTTTGTTGCCCCGGCTGGAGTGCAGTGGAACCATCTCAGCTCACTGCAACCTCTACCTCCCAGGTTCAAGCGATTCTCCTGCCTCAGCCTCCCAAGTAGCTGGATAACAGGCACGCACCACCATGCCCAGCTAATTTTTGTGTTTTTAGTAGAGACTGGGTTTCACCATGTTGGCCAGGCCGGTCTCAAACTCCTGACCTCAGGTGATCCACTTGCCTTGGCCTCCCAAAGTGCTGGGATTACAGGCGTGAGCCACTGCACCCGGCCAATCACACTCTTTTGTTTGTTTATTTTAATTTTTTTTGTTGAAACGGGGTCTCACTCTGTTGCCCAGGCTGCAGTGCAGTGGTGTGATCACGGCGGCTCACTGCAGCCTCCACCTCCTGGGGTCAAGCAATCCTCCTGTCTCAGCCTCCTGTATAGTTGGGATTACAGGCGTGAGCCACTGTGCCCAGCCCATTATTTTTATTTTTGAGACAGGGTCTTGCTCTGTTGCCCAGACTGGAATGCAGTGGTGCAATCTCACTACAACCTCTGCCTCCTGGGCTCGGGTGATCCTCTCACCTCAGCCCCCCGAACAGCTGGGACCACAGGCGTGCTCCACCACGCCTGGCTAATTTTTGTAGAGATGAGGATTCATCATGTTGCCCAGGCTGGTCTTGTACTCCTGGTCTCAAGTGATCTGCCAGCTGCGTCCTCCCAAATGCTGGGATTCTAGGTGTGAGCCACCGCACCCAACCCTTATCTCCTGAATCCTCCCCGGCTCCATACATGCGTGCACCATCCCCCCCAACACACACACACTCACACATACACGCCTATCTGGGTTCAAACCCACATAGTCACTTGGATGCTGCACTGGTTTCCCCGCCTTCAGTCTTCATTCCTTTCAGTCTATTCTCCAAAATTGTATAAGTGGGATCTTTCTCTACAAACCATGCAATGTTGCTTCTTGGCCTAAAACCCTTCACTAGCTCCCCAGAGCAGTCCTGCAAAAACCCGTAATGACCTGAGGCTGGCCCTCACTCACCTCTCCAGTTCACCCATGGTCACTGTCCTTGCCCTCTCTGACCTGGCGTTGTGAACTCTGGCAGCTCTCTGAATGGGGCGACCTCACAACTCTGCCTTTAAACTCCTTTCCTGCCAATCTCTAGGACTCATTCAGACATCATCACCTTCTGCAGAAAGCTCACCTGAAACCTGCATCGGCTGTGCTTCCTGCGTGATCCTGTAGGGTCCTCTGTGCACCACAAGTTAGGCTGTGCGCTTAGCCACCTGGATGCTGGTGAGGCCCCGTGGCTGTTTCTACCCCTGACTTGTCTAATCCTGGAAGGTAGAAAATGACTTGGTGTCCTCCATTTTCAATTTTTCCTTCTTTCTTTTTTTTTTTTTTTTTTTTTTTTTTTTTGAGACAGAGTCTCGCTCTGTACCTGAGGCTGGAGTGCAGTGGCGTGATCTGGGTTCACTGCAAGCTCCGCCTCCCGGGTTCCCGCCATTCTCCTGCCTCAGCCTCCCAAGTAGCTGGGACTACAGGTGCCCACCACCACACCCGGCTAATTTTTGTATTTTTAGTAGAGATGGGGTTTCACCATGTTAGCCAGGATTGTCTCGATCTCCTGACTTCGTGATCCGCCCACCTCAGCCTCCCAAAGTGCTGGGATTATAGGTGTGAGCCACCACACCCAGCTATTTTTTCTTTAGAGCTGGGGTCTCACTATGTTGCCCAGGCTGGCCTGGAACTCCTGGGCTCAAGTGATCCTCCCACCTCGGCCTCCCAAAGTGCTGGGATTACAGGCATGAGCCACCATACCTTGTCTGTTTTTTTTTGTTTTGTTTTGTTTTTTTGCTTTTTGTTTTGTTTTGCTTTGCTTTGAGACAGAGTCTCGCTCTGTCACCCAGCCTGGAGTGCAGTGGTACAATCTTGGCTCACTGCAACCTCTGCCTCCTGGATTCAAGCAATTCTCGTGCCTCAGCCTCCTGAGTAGCTGGGATTACAGGCGTGTGCCACTGTAACTGGCTAATTTTTCTATTTTTAGTAGAGACGGGCCAGGCAGGTCTTGAACTCCCAACCTCAGGTGATCCACCCGCCTCGGCCTCCCAAAGTGCTAAGATTACAGGTGTGAGCCACTGCGCCCAGCCTTTTTTTCAACTTTTTTTTTGGCCTCACACAGTGCTAGAATTAGGTAGGAGTTTGAGACCAGCCTGGACAACATAGCAAGACCTCATGTCTACAAAAAATAAAAATAAAATAAAATAAATTAGCCAGGCCAGGTGCAGTGGATCACACCTGTAATCATAGGACTTTGGGAGGCTGAGGCTAGACAATCACTTGAGCTCAAGAGTTCAAGACCAGCCTGCGCAACATAGTGAGACCCTGTCTGTACAAACACTAAAAATATTAGCTAGGCATGGTGGCACACGCCTGTAGTCTCAGCTACTTGGGAGGCTGAGGCAGGAGGATCGCTTGAGCCTGGGAGTTCGAGGCTGCAGTGAGCCTCGATCGTGCCACTGCACTCCAGCATGGGTGACAAAGGGAGACCCTGTCTCTTAAAAAAAGAAAAAAAAAGGTATAAAATCTTTGGATTGAGAGAAGAAATCACAGCTGACCTCAAATGTTTAAAATATGACAAATATCATAAATATTATACAAGCTAGAAAAATAACAACATTTATAGTAAAGAAGACTGATATAGCCCTGGAATACTTGCATTTACTACCTTTTTCTTAGATGTGTACTCTTTGACCATCTCTTCATATGATGATTTTGTAATATTATTTTCTATTCTTTCTCTGTCTTTCCTCTAGGATGGCTGATTAATTTTTGCTTAGAGATGGGGTCTCGCTCTGTTGCCCAGGTTGGAGTGCAGTGGTGCCATCACGGCTCCCTGCAGCCTAGACCTCTCAGGCTCAGTGATCCTCCCACCTCGGCCTCCCCAGTGTCTGAGAGACCATAGCCACATGCCACCACGCCCAGCTATTTTTTATTTTTTATTTTCTGGTAGAGACAGGGGTCTCACTTTGTTGCCCAGGCCGGTCTCAAACTCCAGGACTCAAGCAATCCTCCTGCCTTGGCTTCCCAAAGTGCTGGAATTACAGGTGTGAGCCACAGTGCCTGGCTAAGTTATTTTTTTTTGGTGGGAGTGGGACGGAGTCTCGCTCTGTTGCCAGGCTGGAGTGCAGTGGCGCGATCTCGGCTCACTGCAACCTCCGCCTCCCAAGTTCAAGTGATTCTCCTGCCTCAGCCTCCCGAGTAGCCTGGCTAAGTTTTTAAGGTTTCATCATTGTTTATAAAAATTTATTTGAGCTTTACAACTCTATTGGTAATGTTGAAAACTCTATCAAATTCCTTTTGTAACAGAGCTGTAAGATTTCAGGTCATTTCAAGTGTTGTCCTGCTGAAACTCACCTTCAAAACTGTTTAAATTATGGCACTTATTAACCAGGGCCGTGGAAGAAGCCAGGCAGGTGAGAGGTGCTGAAGCTTAAACTTCATGAACTTTGGGGTAAACCTGAACTTTGGACCCGACACAGTTAGGTGGCCCAGAAGAGGGGAGACTGAGATGTGGAAAGAGTAATGAGAAGTTCAACAATTTACGGAGAAAGGGGTGATTTGCTGCTTGTTATTTCTTACAATAGGAAAAGCTGTAACTCCAGGATTACTCAAAACAACTGTCACAATCTGTACAAGAAAAAGTAAACTTATTAGCCGGGCATGGTCCCCGCGCGGGGTCCCAGCTCCTCAGGAGGCTGAGGAAAGATTGCTCGAGCCCAGGAGGTCAAGGCTGCAGTGAGCCATGACCGTGCCACTGCACTCCAGCCTGGGCAATACAGTAAGACCCTATCTCTAAAAAAAAGAGCCACGTGCAGTGGCTCACGCCTGTAATCCCAGCACTTTGGGAGGCCAAGGCAGGTGGATCACCTTAGGTCAGGAGTTCCAGACCAGCCTGACCAACATGGAGAAACCCCGCGTCTACTAAAAATACAAAATTAGCCCGGTGTGGTGGCATATGCCTGTAATCCCAGCTACCTGGGAGGCTGAGGCGGGAGAATCACTTGAACCCAGGAGGCAGAGGTTGTGGTGAGCCGAGATCGCACCTTTGCACTCCAGCCTGGGCAACAAGAGTGAAACGCCGTCTCCAAAAATAAAATAAAATAAAATACAAAAGAAAAGAAAAAGAAAACTCCAGTAGCTGTTGGTGGATGCTATGCGCAAGTACCGACAATGCACCGTGTGATAGCAGTATATTGCTCTGGGCTGGGAACAAAGGTGACAGCCTAATATTTTGGGTAGGGAACAGCAAAGTGCTCTAATAATGAGGAAGGGAGGGCTGAGTTTGGTTTGGTCTGCAGAACAGGCATGGATTCAGGTAGTAACGTGAATGTTCACCCACGTTCTGTAATTTAGTGGCTACTGAATTTGCTTGCCTGGGAAGTGGTTCTGGGTGGTCTAAGGGTGGAGGACATGACTTCACACACACAGGATAGACCAAGGGTGGTTCCTGAGAATTGAAGTGAAAATCTCAGATGCCATCTCCACGTAAAGGGGAAATCATGGGATTTTTTTTCTACCAGGTTGTAATTCACCAGATGACATAAAACTATATTAATTTTTACCAGATTCTCTTTGAGGCCAGGAACCATGTTTTACAAATCTTGAAAACTAGCAATGTGATCACTCGGCACGTAGTAGATGCTCAGTAAAGATTTCATTTTTTCATTCTTTGACTGGCATACACTAGATGGTAGAAAATAGATTACTGCCTGGTGTGGGGTGTGGGCTGATGACCTGACATGGAATAGAATGTTTTCTCTCTTTCTTTCTTTCTTTTTTTGTAGACAGGGTCTCGCTATGTTGTTCAGGCTGCCCTCAAACTCCTGGACTGAAACGATCCTCTCATCTCAGCCTCCAAAAGTGCTGGCATTACAGGTATGAGTCACTGTGCCCCACTAAGATGAGTGTTTTCTATTGTTTAATTAATTTATGTTTTGAGACAGAGTTTCACTCTGTTGCCCAGGCTGGAGTGCAGTGGCACGATTTCAGCTCACTGCAACCTCTGCCTCCCAGGGTTCAAGCAATTCTCCTGTCTCAGCCTCCCGAGTAGCTGGGACTGCAGGCCTGCACCACCACACCTGGCTAAGTTTTGTATTTTCAGTAGAGAAGGGGTTTCACTATGTTGGCCAGGCTGGTCTCGAACTCCTGACCTCAGGTGATCCGCCTGCCTCGGCCTCCCAAAGTGCTGGGATTACAGGTGTGAGCCACTGCGCCCAGCCTATTTATTTATTTACTTATTTATTTACTTTATATATTTTTTGGAGACAGAGTGTGGCTCTGTTGCCCAGGCTGGAGTGCAGTGGTGCAATCTCTGCTCACTGCAACTTCTGCCTCCCGGGTTCAAGCGATTCTCGTGCCTCAGCCTCCCTAGTAGCTGGGACTACAGGTGTGTGCCATGATGCCCAGCTGATTTTTGTATTTTTAGTAGAGAGGGGTTTCACCATGTTGGCTAGGCTGGTCTCGAACTCTTGGGCTCAAGTGATCCACCCGCCTCGGCCTCCCAAAATGCTGAGATTACAGACCTGAGCTACTGTCCCCAGCCAGAAGACATAACTTTTAGAGGCTACAGGATCTGGGTACAGAGTGAGAGTGGCAAAAGGCAGGGCAGGGGTTTGGGAGAGGGTTGCAGAGAACCCCGAGGGAGAAGCTGAATAAGAGAAGGGGAGACTGGGCCTGCATCGGGGAGGGAGGAGGGAATTCCCAGCTCCAGCCTGGTCTGCCTGGCTCCAGTGAAGCCGGCTGTTTCCTGCCCTCGGTGACCGGCCCACCCCCCCCAACCCGGGCGCAGGACCCAGGCAGAACAGCAAGGAAGGGCAGGGGTGTGGGGAACACCTCTTGCAGCAGGAAGATAAGTAAGCCGGGACAAGAGGTTATCACAGGCCCGGCTGTCCTTTCTGGGACGTAAGGGCGCTTGGCAGCCCCCCAAGCATCCTGGACTCCAACGTCTCTCTTGCTGGGCTCCAACGTCTCTCTTGCTGGGCTCCTCAAGATTCTGTCCTCCGGCTGGGCGCGGTGGCTAACGTCTGTAATCCCAGCACTTTGGGAGGCCAAGGTGGGTGGATCACTTTAGGTCAGGAGTTCGAGACCAGCCTGGCCAACATGGCGAAACCCTGTCTCTACTAAAAATACGAAAACTAGCCGGGGTTGGTGCCCTGTGCCTGTAATCCCAGCTACTCGGGAGGCTGAGGCAGGAGAATCGCTTGAACCTGGGAGGCGGAGGTTGCAGTGAGCCCAGATCACGCCACTGCACTCCAGCCTGGGAAATAGAGGGAGACTCTGTCTCAAAAAAAAAAAAAAAATCTGTCCCCGCTAATTACTGTGGGAGTCTAAGTCCTTTCCTTCTGCCCCTTGGAGGGGCTGACTCCTGGAGCAGCACCCCCTCCAATCCATCTATCCAGTAACCCATACTGTTAAGTTCCCTGAAGTAGAAGGGGGTTGGTGGGAGGAGCACGGCTGTGCTGGACCCTCCCCGCTAACTGATGGGAGGGTGAGGGGAGTTGGCAGTGAGAGGAAGGGCCCCTCCCAGCCATCCCGAGGGCCCCCAGGAGCCAGACAGGAAACAGCTCAGGAAAGACAGCAGCCGCAGCCGCAGCCCCAGCCTCAGGGGTCATGGCTGCGGGCGGCGGGGAAGCCCCCCCAAAACACGAGAGTGAGAGTGAGAAGGGCGATTTGGAGATCTAGCCGGACCCCTCACCCTCTCGGACACACCCACCTTTTTTTTTTTTTTTTTTTTTTTTGAGATTTCGTCTCACTCTGTAGCCCAGGCTGGAGTGCAGTGGCGCGATCTCAGCTCCCAGCTCACTGCAACCTCCGCCTCCTAGGTCCCGGTTCAAGCAATTCTCCTGCCTCAGCCTCCCGAGTAGCTAGGATTACAGGCGCGCGCCACCATGCCCAGCTAATTTTTGTATTTTTAGTAGAGACGGGGTTTCATCATGTTGGCCAGGCTGGTCTTGAACTCCTGACCTCAAATGATCCGCCTGCCTCTGCCTCCCAAAATGCTGGGACTACAGGCGTGAGCCACCGCGCCCGCCACACCCACCTTTTCTTTACCGTTGTTTCCTCGATTTTTCTCTACTCCCTAGCGCAGCTTAGTGCGCGCCTCCTCTGGACATTTTTCAGGGCTTGGTTGCGCGCACAGTAGGTCCCCAACACTGAATGTTTATGGGGTGACTGTGTGAACGTTCGCTGCAAGGCTATCCAAACTGGGATTGCTCCTTGAGGCCCCCTGGGCGGCCGTCAATTCTCCAAAGCTTCTACTCCCTTTTCCTTCCTTTTCCCCCAAAACGCAGTCCCTGCGCCCACTAGAGGGTGGTGGGCGCATCCAAGAGCGGCATCTAGAGTCCGCAGCAAGGTCAGAGCGGGCTTTGTGTGCGCGGTGAACATTTACGTGCACGCCTGGGCGGCCCTCCGTGTTGCTGCTGGGTGTGTGTTTTCTCTGCTCCCTGGTGCCAGCCGGGTTCGGGCCTGTCCCGGGGGTCCCTGGGCCCCAGCCCCGACATGCTCGGTCCTGGACAGCGCGCACCGCCACGGCGCACATCTGGGCGGTCCCGGGGTTCCTCACCCGCCGCCCCTCCCCCTTCTCCAAACTTTCTCTCAACTTCCCGACCTGCTCCACTCGGTGCCCCTCTCCGCTTCCCTCATGAATTATTCAGTAGCGTGAGCTCCAATCAGCGCGCCCGGGGCTCACTCGCGGAGCCCCCGCGTTGGGAGAGCTGCCCCCGCCCCCCGCGCGCCCCTCCCTCCCGGGCCCGGCGCCGCCCGGCCCAGTTCCAGCGCAGCTCAGCCCCTGCCCGGCCCGGCCCGCCCGGCTCCGCGCCGCAGTCTCCCTCCCTCCCGCTCCGTCCCCGCTCGGGCTCCCACCATCCCCGCCCGCGAGGAGAGCACTCGGCCCGGCGGCGCGAGCAGAGCCACTCCAGGGAGGGGGGGAGACCGCGAGCGGCCGGCTCAGCCCCCGCCACCCGGGGCGGGACCCCGAGGCCCCGGAGGGACCCCAACTCCAGCCACGTCTTGCTGCGCGCCCGCCCGGCGCGGCCACTGCCAGCACGCTCCGGGCCCGCCGCCCGCGCGCGCGGCACAGACGCGGGGCCACACTTGGCGCCGCCGCCCGGTGCCCCGCACGCTCGCATGGGCCCGCGCTGAGGGCCCCGACGAGGAGTCCCGCGCGGAGTATCGGCGTCCACCCGCCCAGGGAGAGTCAGACCTGGGGGGGCGAGGGCCCCCCAAACTCAGTTCGGATCCTACCCGAGTGAGGCGGCGCCATGGAGCTCCGGGTGCTGCTCTGCTGGGCTTCGTTGGCCGCAGCTTTGGAAGGTGAGTTTCCTTGCGGGGGGGGGCGCACCCCGTCACTCCTGGGACCTCCCCCCCAACATCTGGGCCTCGGAGTGGAGGGGCCGGCCTCTGACTACCCCTACCCGGGCACTGCAGTCCCAAACACTTCGGACCGATAGTGCTGGAACGGGAGGGGGGCGGGGAAGAGGCGCCCGACGGGTAGTGGAGTTTTCTTTTGTTTGGGAAAGAGATGGAGTCTGGCTACGACCCGGGACATTCCCCTGCCCGGGCTCCCCGAACTCTCACTGCTGATTACATACGCCCCTGGCTGCCTTTCCTTTCCTCCCTACCCCACTATTCAAAACTATCTGCAAAGTTTCTGTCCCAGTCCCACCTCCCGCCGTACATGAGGGAAGGTTTCTGGAGAAGCAACAGCAGACAAGGCACAACTTTTCGTGCTAGGCCCTAAAACGACCCCCAGCGCCAATTCCTTAGCGATCACACCTTGATCCTCCAGTTCCACACTCCTGCAACAGGATGGCCTCCTTTGCATTCACACAGCAAACCCCCAAACCGCTCTCCCGCCCACTGCTCCTGCCCCTGGTATAGGGTGGCTCCTTGGTTTCTACAGGCTGCACCCCATCCCTTTAAATGCGGTCTAGACCCCGGCCCCAGGTGAGTCCCGGGCTTCCCTTGAGACCTAGGAGCGGGTAGAAACTGACCTACACAGCCCCCAGGTAGAAACTGACCTACACAGCCCCCACATCGCCCTAACTAACCCAGTCTATCTCCCACCTCCTGGTCTCTCCAAGCATTTCTTTGGCCATGGATCGCTGTCCCTCCTGGTCCCCTAAAGGGGGAGCCAAGAGCCCTAGAAACTCTCCTGTGTCCCTAATGTCCTTTCAGTGAGCTGCCAACACCCCCCTTTCTCTGTCTGGTATGAAAGTGGTTATGGGGCGGTAGGCTATGAGGGACTCCCAAAGGGAAGGATTCAGCGGCGTTAGAAAAACCCTCTCCCCCTGGCTGGGCAGGACTGCCCTGGGCTGGGGATCAAAGGCTAGGTGTGGGGTTGGGAGTGAGGGGAGGCTTGCCCAGCTCAGAGAACGGAGAAGGGGGAACAAAAACCATGAACGAGGGGAAGAGGAAGGCCAAAGGGGTGGAAAAACCACGAGGACGAGGTGTGGTGAGAAGGAAAGACGCAAAGAGGAAATGGTGATTGTGACACCTATTACCTGAGTGTTTCCAAGCACCAGGCCTGTGCTGAGCGCCTTACAAATATTAATTTCACCCATCCAGCAACGCTAAGGGTGGTGCTATTATTGCCCCCATTTTTCAGATGAGGAGGCTGGGGCTTAGTTAAGGTTAAGTAGTTTATCCAAGGCCCTGTGCCGCGAGGAACAGCGAGAAGTGGAGGCCGAAAGCGAAGGAGAGATAGTGACTGTCAGAAAGAGAAACGGAGGTGGACAGAGAGTGGAGGAGAGATAGGTGAGAGACATGCGAACTGACAGATCAAAGCGTGGCTGCAGCTGAGCTGGGACGCAGAAAGGGAGCCTGCGCTTGCTCTGGGCTGCGGACAGCCCGAGGCAGAGACAGTGTGTAAATTGGAGACAGGAAAACACTATCCCGGCTGGAACAATGGAGGGTGGAGACGGCAGCCTCTATCCACCCCCTTCCCAGAACCCGGGCATCCTGTCCCCAGTGAGCAGGGCTGTCTCTTGCCACCCATGGGGACCTTGCGCCTCTCACCTCAGGCTGGCTGGCTTCCCATCTGACCCCTAGCTGGAGGACATCATTTGGTCCCCAGGAAGAGGCTGCCTCACCCACCCTCTTTCTCTTCTCTCCTGCAGCTCCCATGGGGTGGGAGCCAGGTGTTCTGGCTCCCCTCTCCACCCTTCCCAGCGCCCAATGCCCCCCACATTGCCGGCCCCCGAGGGGATTCCTGTACCCTCCCTCCTCCACTCTCCACTGCCAGGGGCTGTGCAGTTTTTCCTAATCCCCCCCCTTCCTCCAGTGCCTGTCCCCTCCCCCGATGATCCGAGCCAAGCCAGGTGTGTTCACCCCTCCCATTCATACCGCCCCCCAGAATCTCCTCCCCTCTGCCTTCCCATAACCAAATCCAGATGTGAGGCCTCGGCGGGAGCCTGGGAACCCTAGCATCCCGACCTCCAGTGCTTCCTGATCAGGGCACTCGTGGGGAGGGAGGTACTGGGATGGGGGCCAGGGCTATGCCCCAGGCACGGAGCGCTCCCTTCAAGGAGGGAAGGACGGGGTGTTTGGTCTGAAAGCAGAGAGGGGTCTTGGACAGGGAATGAAATTGTGGGGTAGAGAGGCTGATTCTGGGACTTAGGGGAGGAAACGTGGAGGCTGAGACAAGAGGTTCCCCTCCCACACCAGCAGCCTCTGCTCGTGGGGGTCAGGACCAGGGCGCAGCTCTCATTTTAACCCTTTCTGAGCTGCCGCCCCTTCTCCCCGTACATTTTGATCTCCCTCCCTCCTCCAGGGAGGCCTAGATCTGGGGTATCCCAAGGGAGCCCCATGCCTACCAGATGTTGGGGGTGGGGTTGGCACTTAGCAGAAGAGGCCAGAAATCAGGCGGGTGCAGAGGGCAGGGCTTGCTCCCCTCTTGGCCCCCCAACTCCTCTAGCTCAGAGCTAAGAGGATCCACCTGCCTCGGTTCCCAGGGATCTGGTCTTCCTGACCTCCCTCCCCCACCCCAGGCACTGACTCTGTCTCTCTGTCTGTCTCAGAGACCCTGCTGAACACAAAATTGGAAACTGCTGATCTGAAGTGGGTGACATTCCCTCAGGTGGACGGGCAGGTGAGAGCTGCACCCAGGAGCTGGAGCTCTGGAGGGAAACTGAGGGAGGAGAGGGCGCCTGTGCCGCCTGCTTTCTGTGTGCCACTCCTCTCCCCTGTCCCCCCAGATGACAGCAGCCCCAGCAGTGTCGTCTGAGCCCTTCTCAGAGGCGCCCTCCTCGCAGTACCAGCAGCCCCCCTTTCTCAGTCCCTCTCACTTTATAGGATTCACCCCATGCAGCCCTCTCCCTGGCGGCTCCCCAGCCCCCTTGCTGACCTCCTTCTCTGCACAGTGGGAGGAACTGAGCGGCCTGGATGAGGAACAGCACAGCGTGCGCACCTACGAAGTGTGTGACGTGCAGCGTGCCCCGGGCCAGGCCCACTGGCTTCGCACAGGTTGGGTCCCACGGCGGGGCGCCGTCCACGTGTACGCCACGCTGCGCTTCACCATGCTCGAGTGCCTGTCCCTGCCTCGGGCTGGGCGCTCCTGCAAGGAGACCTTCACCGTCTTCTACTATGAGAGCGATGCGGACACGGCCACGGCCCTCACGCCAGCCTGGATGGAGAACCCCTACATCAAGGTACCTGGGTGCCCCCAGGGCTCAGCCACAGCCAAGGTGGGATTCCAGCCAGCAGGCCCGTGGCCTGGAGGGCAGCCGATGTAGTTGCGAGGCCTCTGGCCCGCGCGCTGGGGGCTGGAAGCAGGAGGCTTAGGTCTGGGGAGGGAAGGGGGTGATCTTCTGGGCGGAGGAGCAGAATATACGGGGGCTGCCTGGCCCGGCCCCCAGGGAGGCCCAAGGGTCAGGCTTCTCCTCCAGTCACCTCAACCACCCTACCCCACTGTGCTCCAGCCACACTGAGTTTCTCCCATTCCCTGACTGCACCTGGCTGGTTTCCAGCTCAAGACTTTGCAGCGGTGATGTCTCCACCTGGGGGCCTCTCTGCCTCTCACACCCCTACTTGTCTTCGGAGTTCCAGCTCCCGAGATCTTGCCTGTGCCACCTTGGCTGACTCTCTCCTCCCTACAATCCTGCATACCTCTGTCCACCTGCCTGTCTCGGCACTCATTTTACTTTATTTATTTTTCTTTTATATCTATATTTTTAAAGCGGGGTCTTCTACGTTACCCAGGCTGGTCTCTAACTCCTGGGCTCAAGAGATTTCTCCCACCTCGGCCTCCTAAAGTGCTGGGATTATAGGCATGAGGCACTACGCCCGGCCTCATGGTACTTTATAACTTCCCCAGGATTCATTCATCGCTGTCTCCTTGACTCTGAGGTCAAGGCCTGGCATGGCGTCAGTGTCAGTAAATGTTTGTAGAACGAGTGAATAAAAAGGGGGAGAGGTGCAGGCCAGAGGCCGGGCATATCGCAGGAGCTTTGCAAGGCTGAATGGACAGTGTGGGGGCCTGCAGAAAGTGTGCCCTGGGGAAGGTGGAGGGAAGATTCTGGAACGGGAACCAAGGAGGTCCGGGAGGGTGAGCTGGGAAGAACACAACAGTCCGCTGGGTCCTCAGGGAGTGGGGACAGCAGCGGTGTGCCTCCCCCCCGCCGGCAGGTGGACACGGTGGCCGCGGAGCATCTCACCCGGAAGCGCCCTGGGGCCGAGGCCACCGGGAAGGTGAATGTCAAGACGCTGCGTCTGGGACCGCTCAGCAAGGCTGGCTTCTACCTGGCCTTCCAGGACCAGGGTGCCTGCATGGCCCTGCTATCCCTGCACCTCTTCTACAAAAAGTGCGCCCAGCTGACTGTGAACCTGACTCGATTCCCGGAGACTGTGCCTCGGGAGCTGGTTGTGCCCGTGGCCGGTAGCTGCGTGGTGGATGCCGTCCCCGCCCCTGGCCCCAGCCCCAGCCTCTACTGCCGTGAGGATGGCCAGTGGGCCGAACAGCCGGTCACGGGCTGCAGCTGTGCTCCGGGGTTCGAGGCAGCTGAGGGGAACACCAAGTGCCGAGGTGAGAGCTGGAGCTTCCCCTGCGACTGCTGCTCATCCGGGGGAGAGTCCTGAACTCCACTCAGGACCCACTTCTTAAGTTTCCATTTTGTATAGTTAGATGTTGAAATGGAGGCTTGCTCTGTCACCCAGGCTGGAGTGCAGTGGCACAATCTCTGCTCAACTGCAACCTTTGCCTCCCGGGTCCCTGTTCAAGCAGTTCTCCTGCCTCAGCCTCGTGAGTAGCTGGGACTACAGGCACACGCCACCACGCCCGGCTAATTTTTGTATTTTAGTAGAGACGGGGTTTCGCCATGTTGGCCAGGCTGGTCTCGAACTCCTGACCTGAAGTGATTTGCCCGCCTCGGCCTCCCAAAGTGCTGGGATTACAGGCGTGCGTCACCACACCCAGCTGGAAAAAAAAAAGACTTTATTTTCACCTGAAATTCATTAATTTCCACTTGAAATTCCACCTGCAGTTGTAGCAGGACCTGACACTTGGGCCCCATGGAAATCACAGGTATTGCCTGACACAGTGGTTCATGCCCATAGTGCCAGCACTTTGAGATGCCAAGGTGGGAGGATCACTTGAGCCCAGGAGTTCGAGATCAGCCTGGGTGACAGAGCAAGACCCCGTCTCTAAAAAAAATTTTTTTTTTTTTTTCAAGACAGAGTCTTGCTCTGTCGCCCAGGCTGGAGTGCAGTGGTGCGATCTCGGCTCACTGCAAGCTCCGCCTCCCAAGTTAACACCATTCTCCTGCCTCAGCCTCCCGAGTAGCTGGGACTACAGGCCCCGCCACCACGCCCGGCTAATTTCTTGTATTTTTAGTAGAGATGGAGTTTCACCGTGTTAGCCAGGATGGTCTCGATCTCCTGACCTCATGATCTGCCCGCCTTGGCCTCCCAAAGTGCTGGGATTACAGGTGTGAGCCACCACACCCGGATTACAAAAACTTTTTAGATAATTATCTGGGCGACCTGCCTGACCAACATGGAGAAACCCTGTCTCTACTAAAAATACAAAATTAGCCGGACATGGTGGCGCATGCCTGTAATCCCAGCTACTTGGGAGGCTGAGGCAGGAGAATCATTTGAACCCAGGAAGCAGAGGTTGCGGTAAGCCGAGATCATGCCACTGCACTCCGGTCTGGGAGTGCACTCCAACAAGAAGGAGTTTCGCTCTTTTTGCCCAGGCTGGAGTGCAGTGGTGGGATCTCAGCTCACCGCAACCTCCACCTCCCGGGTTCAGGCGATTCTCCTGCCTCAGCCTCCCAAGGAGTAGCTGGGATTATAGGTATGCATCGTCACACCCGGCTACTTTTGTATTTTTAGTAGAGGCAGGTTTCCACCATGTTGGCCAGGCTGGTCTTGAACTCAAGTGATCTGCCCTCTTTGGCCTCCTTCTCAGGAAAAAAAAAAAATCACAGGTATTTACAGGCCATTCCAAGTGCCAAAAGATTGTTTTTGCTCATGGTGACTTCAGTATCACAGATGTTAGGAGACTTGCTGCTATATGTTAAGAAAGAAGCACAAATGTTGCTGTAGCCCAAACTTTTTTCCTCATGTTTCATTGCATTTCAGCTTAATTGGTTTCCCTGGTATTCCTATGTATTTTGTGGAGTGCTTTTAAAATCATAAGTTGGAGTAGAGGTCTTTCTGTGGGCTTCACCAGACTGCCGAGATCAGGGTCGAAACAGGTGAGGACCCCTTCTCTGGAGAGAGTCTCCTTTCTCCTCTAAGAGGAAAGGTTTTGAGATCTTTTGTCCATTTTCCCACCTTAGCACTTCATCAGCCTTAAAAGAAGCTGGAATTTTTTTTTTTTTTTTTGGAGATGGGATCTCGATATGTTGCCCAGGCTGGTCTTGAACCCCTTGGCTCAAGCGATCCTCCAGCCTCAGCCTCCCAAAGTGCTGGGATTCGAGGCATGAGCCACCGAGCCCACCGTGCAGATGGATGTTTTTGTGCATGCTTTTGATGAATGCTTTCTCTCTCTCAGCCTGTGCCCAGGGCACCTTCAAGCCCCTGTCAGGAGAAGGGTCCTGCCAGCCATGCCCAGCCAATAGCCACTCTAACACCATTGGATCAGCCGTCTGCCAGTGCCGCGTCGGGTACTTCCGGGCACGCACAGACCCCCGGGGTGCACCCTGCACCAGTAAGTGACCAGCACCCAGGTGCAGTTCACTGGGGAGGGGTCACAGACCTCTGAGGTGGACCCTCACATGGCCCCCATCCTCCCTGGGCTTCTTCCCTTTGTCCCTGGCATGCTTGTCCCTAGCCCGGAGGAACATGTGGAGCCCACTGTCTCCAAGGCAAGAGTCCAGCATGGCTGCTGGTGCCTCCATTGCCCTCTCCCCACCACCGCAGAGCAGGTCGGCCTCTGCCTGACTCCCTGGTCTCCTGCAGCCCCTCCTTCGGCTCCGCGGAGCGTGGTTTCCCGCCTGAACGGCTCCTCCCTGCACCTGGAATGGAGTGCCCCCCTGGAGTCTGGTGGCCGAGAGGACCTCACCTACGCCCTCCGCTGCCGGGAGTGCCGACCCGGAGGCTCCTGTGCGCCCTGCGGGGGAGACCTGACTTTTGACCCCGGCCCCCGGGACCTGGTGGAGCCCTGGGTGGTGGTTCGAGGGCTACGTCCTGACTTCACCTATACCTTTGAGGTCACTGCATTGAACGGGGTATCCTCCTTAGCCACGGGGCCCGTCCCATTTGAGCCTGTCAATGTCACCACTGACCGAGAGGGTGAGACTTGGGGGCTGGGGCGGCTGGTGGTCTGGCGGGAGAGATGTCACTGAGGGCCTGAAGGGGAGAGGCAGGGGCTGTGAAGTTGGGTACCCCGGAAGTGTGAGGGGCTAAGGCTTTGGGGGCAAGAGGCAGAAAGAGGGCAATGGCTGGGCGCAGTGGCTCACGCCTGTAATCCCAGCACTTTCAGAGGCTGAGACAGGCGGATCACTTGAGCCCTGGAGTTCAAGACCAGCCTGGGTAACATAGGAAGATCTCTCTACAAAAAATAAAAATATTAGCCAGGCGAGGTGGTGCATGCCTGTGGTCCCAGCTACTCAAGAGGCTGAGGCAGGAGGATTGCTTGAGCCCAGGAGTCGGAGGCTGCAGTGAGCTATGATCGCACCGCTGCATGCCAGCCTGGGTGACAGAGCAGTGTGAGATCCTCTCTCAAAATAAATGAATAAGAAAGAGAGGGTGAGGAGCTCGTAAAGCTGGGCTGGAGAGTTAAGTACAGGAAGGCCCCCAGTGGGACTGGGGCCAGAGAGAATCAGAAGGAATTCTCGAAACAGCCAGGGGGAAATTGAGACAAGTGTAGCCAGCAGAGGAAGTGTTGGAAAAGATAAGGGACATGGCCAGGCTGATCACAAGGTCAGGAGTTCAAGACTAGCCTGGCCAACGTGGTGAAACCCCATGTCTACTAAAAATAAAAAAATTAGCCAGGCATGGTGGTGGGCACCTGTAATCCACTTGGGAAGCAACCAGAAGAATTGCTTGAACCCAGGAGGCGGAGGTTGCAGTAAGCTGAGACTGCGCCACTGCACTCCAGCCTGGGTGATAGAGCACGACTCCGTCTCGAAAAAAAAAATTTTTTTTAAGTTAAGGGACAGAGCTACCATGCACAAGGGTTCCCTGTGTCTCTGCCTCTCACAGTACCTCCTGCAGTGTCTGACATCCGGGTGACGCGGTCCTCACCCAGCAGCTTGAGCCTGGCCTGGGCTGTTCCCCGGGCACCCAGTGGGGCTGTGCTGGACTACGAGGTCAAATACCATGAGAAGGTAAGGCCATCCCCCAGCCCTGGGGTGGGTGGGCAATGGGTTGTGCTCTCCTGGCTGGGACACCTGGGTTGCAGGCACCTGGCAGGCATTTGAATTCCAGCTCTGCCATGGATTCCCTGGGCAGCCTTGGGTAAGCCCCTTGGCCTGTCTGAGCCTCAGACTCTTCATCTATAAAATAGTTACTGTAATAGTTACCAGCAGCTGGACACAGTGGCTGAGGTTGGGTGCGGTGGCTCACGCCTGTAATACCAAGCACTTTGGGAGGCTGAGGCGGGCAGAATGCTTGAGCCTAGGAGTTTGAGACCAGCCTGGGCAACATGGTGAAACTTCATCTCTATAAAAAACTTAAAATGGGCCGGGCGCGGTAGCTTACGCCTGTAATCCCAGCACTTTGGGAGGCCGAGGTGGGCGGATCACAAGGTCAGGAGTATCGAGACCATCCTGGCTAACACGGTGAAACCCCATCTCTACTAAAAATACAAAAAATTAGCCAGGCGCGGTGGCAGGCGCCTGTAGTCCCAGCTACTCGGGAGGCTGAGGCAGGAGAATGGCGTGAACCCAGGAGGCGGAGCTTGCAGTGAGCCGAGATAGCGCCACTGCAGTCCGGCCTGGGCGAAAGAACAAGACTCTGTCTCCAAAAAAAAAAAAAAAAAAAAAAAACGCAAAAAATACTTAAAATGAAAAAAATTAGACTGGGCACAGTGGCTCATGCCTGTAATCCCGGCACTTTGGGAGGCCGAGGTGGGTAGAACACCTGGGGTGAAGAGTTCGAGACCAGCCTGGCCAACAAGGTGAAATCCCCGTCTCTACTACAAATAGCAAAATCAGCTGAGTGTGTTGGCGGGCCCCTGTAATCCCAGCTACTCAGGAGGCTGAGACAGGAGAATCACTGGAACCCAAGTGATTCTCGACTTGAGGTCGAGGCTGCAGTGAGTCGTGTTTGCACCATTGCATTCCAGCCTGAGAAAGTGAGACCTTGTCTTAAAAAAAAGGAATGATATTATGAATACAGCACATGGCTTGCATGCGTAAGTTCTCCCAAAGGCCTCACCAGTTGCAAGGCAGGCTAGTGATGGGAGTGGAGGGCGAGGGAAGGAGGCAGGAAGAGCAACAGGAACTTGGGTTCCCGGGTGACGGCCACCCCACTACCTCTCCCGGACAGGGCGCCGAGGGTCCCAGCAGCGTGCGGTTCCTGAAGACGTCAGAAAACCGGGCAGAGCTGCGGGGGCTGAAGCGGGGAGCCAGCTACCTGGTGCAGGTACGGGCGCGCTCTGAGGCCGGCTACGGGCCCTTCGGCCAGGAACATCACAGCCAGACCCAACTGGATGGTGAGCCTGGGGAAGGGGGTGAGGGTGGGGGTTGGAAAGACCCCCAAAGTTCCTGGGAAGACCCCAGGTCTCCAAAGTCCCATCATCTTTTTTTTTTTTTTTTTTTTTTGAGATGGAGTCTTGCTCTGTCCCTCAGGCTGGAGTGCAGTGGCACCATCTCCGCTCACTGCAACCTCCGCCTCCCGGATTCAAGCCATTCTCCTGCCTCAGCCTCCCGAGTAGCTGGGATTACAGGCGCCTGCCACCGCGCCTGGCCGATTTTTTGTATTTTTAGTAGAGACGGGGCTTCACCGCGTTGGCCAGGCTGGTCTCGAACTCCTGACCTTGTGATTCGCCCGCCTCGGCCTCCCGAAGTGCTGGGATTACAGGCATGAGCCACTGCACCCGGTCAAAGTCCTATCTTCATGTCCTTCTTCCTGTGGATCACATGGCATGCCCTAGAGAGGAGAGAACGTAAGATGTCGAAACCAAAACCAACAGCTGAGTTTTGTGAAGTCTGGCCTGCTTCACTCTGTACCCCCAGGCTGGAGCGCAGTTGCTCGATCAAAGCTCACTGCACAGCCAGGCACAGTGGCTCACCCTGTAACCCCAGCACTTTGGGAGGCTGAAGCAGGAGGATCACTTGAGGTCAGGAGTTCGAGACCAGTCTGACCAGCATGGTGAAACCGCGTCTCTACTAAAAATATAGAAGTTAGCTGAGCGTGGTGGTGCACACCTGTAATCCCAGCTACTCGGGAGGCTGAGGCAGGAGAATCGCTTGAACCTGGGAGGTGGAGGTTGCAGTGAGCTGAGATTGTGCCAGTGCACTCCAGCCTGGGCAACAGAGCAAGACTCTGTCTCAAAAAAAAAAAAGCTCACCGCAGGCTTGACTTTTAGCAACAACCTGACCCCTGAGCTCCCCATTCCCCATCCAACAAAATGGGAATATCATGAAGCTTCCTGCAGGGCTTTGAGGATTGGAGGTAACAGGTTATTTTTAATATGCTAGGCCAGTGGCTTTCTTTTTTCTTTCACATTTTTTTTTTTGAGACGGAGTCTCACTCTGTTGCCCAGGCTGGAGTGCGGTGGCGCGATCTCAGCTCACCGCAAGCTCCACCTCCTGGTCTCGATCTGCTGACCTCCTGATCCACCCGCCTCGGCTTCCCGAAATGCTGGGACTGCTGGCGTGAGCCACCACGCCCGGCCTAACTTTTTCTTTTTTTTAAGAGACACGGTCTTTTTTATCACCCAGGCTGGAGTGCGGTGGCACCATCATAGCTCATTGCAGCCTACAACTCCCGAGCTCAACCAATCCTTCCACCTTAGCCTCCCAAGTAGCTGGGGCTATAGGCATGTGCTACCGTGCTCAACTAAATTTTTTTTTATGTTTTGTTGAGACAGTTTCCCTATGTTGCCCAGGCTGGTCTCAAATTCCTGACCTCGAGCAATCCTCCCGCATCGGCCTCCCAAAGTGCTGGGATTACAGGCATGAGCCGCCACACCCAGCATTGGACCAGTGGCTTTCTAAACCTTGTAATTTTCTGTAATAGCTTTACTGAAATACAGTTCCCCTGCCATACAATTTGCCTGTTCAAAGTGTACAATCGATGACTTTTGATACATTCACAGAATTGTGCAGTCACCACCACAAGTAATTTTGGGACATTTTCAGCACCCTCAAAAGAGACCCTATAGCCCTTAGCCATCACCCCCCACCCAGATCTTTCTGTTGCCTTAGTCCCTGGCAAGCACTAACCCACTTTCTGTCTTGAAATCTTCCAGTGTGGTCTTTTGTGACTGTTCACCGAGCAGAATGTTTTCAAGGTTTATGTATGTTGTAGTATATATCCGTGGGTTTTTTTGGTTGTGGTTTGTTTTTTGTTTGTTTTGGAAACAGGGTCTCGCTCTGTCACCCAGGCTGGAGTGCAGTGGTTCAATTACAGCTCACTGCAGCCTCAACCTCCCAGGCTCAAGTGATCCTCCCACCTCAGCCTCCCAAGCAGCTGGGACTGTAGGCATGAGCCACCATGCCCAGCTAATTTTTTTTGGTATTTTTTGTAAAGACAGGGTTTCACCATGTTTCCCAGGCTGGTCTCGAACTCCTGAGCTCAGGCAATCCACCCACCTCAGCCTCCCAAAGTGCTGTGATTACAGGCATGAGCCACTGGACCTGGCCTGTTTTTTGTTTTTGTTTTGAACACACGATTTTGCTTTGTCACCCAGGCTGGAATGTAATGGTCTGATCATAGTGCATTGCAGCCTCAAACTCCTGGGCTCAAGCGATCCTCCTACCTCAGCCTCCTGAGTATCTGGGACCACACGTGCTCACCACCATGCTTGGCTAATTATTATTATTTTTTGATAGAGACGGGGTCTTGCTATGTTTCCCAGGCTGGTCTTGAACACCTGGCCTCACACAATCCTCCCACCTCAGTATCTCAGAGTGCTGGGATTACAGGCATGAGCCACTGCTCCTGGCCAATATTTCATTTCTTTTTATGGAGACGTAATAATCAGTTGTATGGAAATAGCTGATTTTGTTTTTTATTGTATCTTTTGGTGAACATTTCAATTGTATCGACTTTTTGGATAAAAACCTGAAAATGTTTCACCTTTAGAACGTTTCATTGAATGGAGATTTTTTTGTGGACTCTGGTATTTATACTAGAACCAAATCAAAACCACTCTGGCGGCTGGGCATGCCTAGGCTGGTTTGAGACTAGCCTGTCCAACCTGGTGAAAGCCCATCTCTACTAAAAATACACAAATTAGCCGAGCATGGTGGTACACACCTGTAATCCCAGCTACTCAGGAGGCTGAGGCAGGAGAATCGCAGAACCCGGGAGGCGGAGATTGCAGTGAGCTGAGATTGCGCCACTGCACTCCAGCCTGGGCGACAGAGTGAGACTGCGTCTCAAAAAAACAAACAAAAAATTACTCTGGCAGTAAGAAAAGATTTCGAAACTTCCTCCCTTGCCCTGAGGTACTTCAGAGGAGCCTGCTGGCCCCTGGGGGAGAGTTTGAAACCCACTGTTTGTTCCCTGACCTTGCCTGCTTGTGTCCTCTCCCTCCACCTGTCCCCTGTACTGGGGACCTGTTCTCAGGAGATCACAGTTCATTGCTCAAAGCCGGGGCTGGGGCCTCCTACAGGACCATCAGTTTCTCCTGATCAGCAGCCTTTCCTTCCGCAGAGAGCGAGGGCTGGCGGGAGCAGCTGGCCCTGATTGCGGGCACGGCAGTCGTGGGTGTGGTCCTGGTCCTGGTGGTCATTGTGGTCGCAGTTCTCTGCCTCAGGTAAGGGCTCTGACACCCAGAGGCCCCTGGAAGCCCTCAGTTGATGGCCACCTGCCTGGGTGCTACAGGACAAGCCTTTCTGGCTGTCCCCAGCCTCTTTTTACTTGAAATCTTCTCCAATCCCTGCTCCTTCCTTTGGTGTGTGTGCCTCATAAAGATGTGTGACTCAGTTTACCTTTTGTTCCTTTCCCATCGGCTACAGGAAGCAGAGCAATGGGAGAGAAGCAGAATATTCGGACAAACACGGACAGTATCTCATCGGACATGGTGGGTTGCCCTAATTTGATGGGAATAGGGGCTTGGGGCCGGGTGTGGTGGCTCCTATCTATAATCCCAGCACTTTGGGAGGCAGAGGTGGGCAGATCACTTGAGGTCAGGAGTTCGAGACCAGCCTGGCCAACATGTTGAAACTCCATCTCTATAAAAAATACATCAGTCAGCCAGGCATGGTGGTGGGCACCTGTAATCCCAGCTACTCAGGAGGCTGAGGCAGAAGAATCATTTTAACCCGGGAGGCGGAGATTGCAGTGAGCCAAGATCGCGCCACTGCGCTCCAGGCCTGGGTGACAGAGCGAGACTCCATCTCAGGAAAAAAAAAAAAAAAAAAAAAAACCACGGAGACAGGGGTTTGGGGCTAAAAGCTATGAGCCGAGCCTCCGAGTCCAGTGGGAGTTAATTCCCAGCTGACGGGGCCCTGCCTGATTTCTCAGGTACTAAGGTCTACATCGACCCCTTCACTTATGAAGACCCTAATGAGGCTGTGAGGGAATTTGCAAAAGAGATCGATGTCTCCTACGTCAAGATTGAAGAGGTGATTGGTGCAGGTGAGAGCCGAAGGCTGCCCGGGCACCTGGGAACGAAGCGGGGGTGGGCAGGGCCACACTGGAGCGGGAGAGCTGATGACCTCTGCGTCCTTGTTTGAAGGTGAGTTTGGCGAGGTGTGCCGGGGGCGGCTCAAGGCCCCAGGGAAGAAGGAGAGCTGTGTGGCAATCAAGACCCTGAAGGGTGGCTACACGGAGCGGCAGCGGCGTGAGTTTCTGAGCGAGGCCTCCATCATGGGCCAGTTCGAGCACCCCAATATCATCCGCCTGGAGGGCGTGGTCACCAACAGCATGCCCGTCATGATTCTCACAGAGTTCATGGAGAACGGCGCCCTGGACTCCTTCCTGCGGGTGAGCACCCTCCCTGGCTTCTGCGGCCACCCGGAGTTCCCACTTACACCCAGAGGCCACTTGGGTTAAGAAGCCAGGACAGACAGTGGGTCCCAGGTCACCTCCTCCAGCCTTTTCCTCTTGGGCTAAGCCCTGGTCCTCTGCCTTTTCTTTTTTTTAAGACAGAGCCTCGCTCTGTCGCCCAGGCTGGAGTGCAGTGGCGCGATCTCGGCTCATTGCTGTCTCCACCTCCAGGGTTCAAGCGATTCTCCTGCCTCAGTCTCCCAAGTAGCTGGTACTATAGGCATGCACCACCATGCTGACTAATTTTTGTATTTTTAGTAGACACAGGGTTTCACCATGTAGGCCAGGCTGGTATCAAACTCCTGACCTCAAGTGATCTCCCCACCTCAGCCTCCCAAAGTGCTGGTATTACAGGTGTGAGGCACCACGCCTGGCCAGCCCTCTGCCTTTAATTTTCCCTCTGGGAAAGGCTGGGCTCCTGGGACCTTCCTTTCCCACTGCCCCATACAGCTGAAGGTTGTCATTCCTTCTTTTTTTTTTTAATTTTGTTTTAATTGAATTTTTTTTTTTTGAGATGGAGTTTCACTCTTGTTGCCCAGGCCGGAGTGCAATGGCAAGATCTTGGCTCACCGCAACCTCCGCCTCCCAGGTTCAAGCGATTCTCCTGCCTTAGCCTCCCCAGTAGCTGGGATTATAGGCATGTGCCACCACGCTTGACTAATTTTGTATTTTTAGTAGAGACGGGGGTTTCTCTGTGTTGGTCAGGCTGGTCTCGAACTCCCGACCTCAGGTGATCCGCCTGCCTCGGCCTCCCAAAGTGCTGGGATTACAGACGTGAGCCACCGCGCCCGGCCAATTTTTTTTTTTTTTTTTTAAGACAGAGTCTCACTCTGTCCTCTAGGCTGGAGTGCAGTGGTGCATTCATAGCTCACTGTAGCCTTGACCTCCTGGGCTCAAGTGATCCTCCCGCCTCAGCCTCCTGAGTAGCTGGAACTACACTCATGTACCACCATGCTCAGCAAATTTTTAAAATTTTTTGTAGAGACAGGATCTCGATAGGTTGCCCAGGCTGGTCTGAACTCCTGGCCTCAAGCGAGCCTCCCTCCTCAGCCTCCCACAGCACTGGGATTGCAGGCATGAGCCACTGTGCCTGGCCTGTCATTCCTTCTTTTGACAAATATTTACTGAGTGCTTTCTACGCACCGGTCATCCTCCCAGTCCCCAGGAATAAAGCTATACACACGGCAAACTGGATTTCTCCTCTTGGGGAGCAGAGGGTCTAATGGGGCAGGGGGACTGAAAATTAGCAAGTAAATAGACAGGCTTTTTAAAAAAGTAAACAAATCATTTCAAATGTGAAAAAAAGCAAACGGGGTCCTTCATGCAGATGTGGCTAGAGAGGAAAGAGAACTGCTTAATTTATTTGGTCACTTTACCAGATTTTACTGACTTTTTTTTTTTTTTTAACTTTATTAAGCTTTTCTTTTTTCTTGAGATGGAGTTTCCATCTGTCACCCAGGCTGGAGTGCAGTGGTGCGTTCTTGGCTCACCGCAACGTCCACCTCCTGGGTTCAAGTGATTCTCCTGCCTCAGCCTCCTGAGTAGCTTGGAATTGCATGGCATGCACCACCATACCCAGCTGATGTTTGTATTTTTAGTAGAGACAGGGTTTCATCATGTTGCCCAGGCTGGTCTTGAACTCCTGGGCTCAAGTGATCCACCCATCTCGGCCCCTCAAAGTGCTGGGATTACAGGCATGAGCCACCATGCCTGGCCTAGGCATCTTTTTAAAAAAATCAAAACATTTTTCTATGTAGCAAAATAACATTGCATTGAACAGAGTTATAGCGATTCCCTAGCGTCATTGAATACCCAGTTGATTTTCACGTTTCTCTAGTTGTTCTAAAGATGTCCTTCACTGCTGCTTTATTCCAACCAGGATCCAGTTCAAGACCGGGCTTTGTACCTGGTTATTATATATATTTTATTTATTTATTTTAGAAACAAGGTCTTGCCCTTTCGCCCAGTTTAGAGTGCAGTGGTGCAATCATAGCTCACTGCAGCCTCCAAACTCCTTGGCTCAGGTGATCCTCCTGCCTCAGCCTCCTGGGTAGCTGGAACTACAGGTGCACACCACCACACCTGGCTAATTTTTAAATTTTTTACGGAGATGGGGGTCTCGCTATGTTGCCCAGGCTGGTCTCAAACTCCTGGACTCAAGCGATCCTCCCTCCTTAACCTCTCAAAGTGCTGGGATTACAGGCGTGAGCCACCACGCCTGCTGATTATTATATTTTCGAGCCTCTCTAAATCTTGAGCAGTTCCTCATGATGACACTGACACACTGAAGGGTTAGGTCCCTTGTCCGCCTGAATGTCTTGATTTCTGGATTTATGAAATTCTTCTTATGGGATCATTTAGCTTGTCTCTCTGTATTTCCTGTAAGAGAAGCTCTATCTGATGTGGGGTTTTTTTGGTTTTGTTTGTTTGTTTTTTGAGATGGAGTCCTGCTGTCGCCCAGGCTGGAGTGCAGTGGCACAATCTCGGCTCACTGCAACCTCCGCCTCCTGGGTTCAAGAGATTCTTCTGCCTCAGCCTCCTGAGTAGCTGGGACTACAGGCGAGTGCCACCATGCCCAGCTAATTTTTGTATTTTTAGTAGAGACAGGGTTTCACCATATTGGCCAGGATGGTCTCGAACTTCTGACCTCGTGATCTGCCCACCACCTCAGCCTCCCACAGTGCTGGGATTACAGGCATGAGCCACTATGCCCGGCTAATTTTTGTATTTTTAGTAGAGACAGGGCTTCGCCATGTTGGCCAGGCTGATCTGAAACCCCTGGCCTCAAGCCATCCACCCTCCTTGGCCTCCCAAAGTGCTGGGATTAAACGCGTGAGCCACCGTGCCTGGTCGAAGAGACAGAAAGGGTCTTAAAGGTTCAGTGACACACACCTGTAATCCCAGCACTTTGGGAAGCTGAGGCTGGTGGATCACTCGAGGCCAGGAGTTAGAGATCACCCTGGGCAACATGGTGAAACCCCGTCTCTACACAAAATACAAAAATGGGCAGAGCATGATGGTGCATATCTGTAGTCCCAGCTACTCGGGAGGCTGAGGCGGGAGGATCACTTAAGCCTGGGAGATCGAGGCTGTAGTGAGCCATCATTGCACTACTGCATTCCAGCCTGGGCGATCCCATCTCTTAAAAAGAGAGAGAGATGGGAAGACCAGCACAGGTGAAACTGGTGAACAGAGGAGAGATGGTAGATGCTGCATTGGGCAGTGTGACGGGAACCCGCTGGAGGGCTTTGGCAGGAGAGTAGTTTAAGAGGATCCCAGCTGGGCACAGTGGCTCACACTTGTGATCCCAGCACTTGGGGAGGCCGGGGCAGGTGGATCACTTGAGGTCAGGAGTTCGAGACCAGCCTGGCCAACATGGTGAAACCCTGTCTGTACTAAAAATACAAAAACCAGCCAGGCATGGTGGTGCACCCCTGTAATCCCAGCTACTCAGGAGACTAAGACAGGAGAATCGCTTGAACTCAGGAGGCAGAGGTTGCAGTGAGCCAAGATCACGCCACTTTACTCCAGCCTGGGCAGTAGAGCGAGACTCCATCTCAAAAAAATAAATAAATAAAAAGACCTCTTTGCTGGGTGCTAGGGAGCAAGAGCAGGAGCTGGGAGAGGCCTGCAGCAGAAGCCTGTTGCCAGCATCCAGGCCGTGGGGTGAAGGGAAGGGTTTGGATTTGGGACATGTCTTGGAAGCATCACCAGCAGAACTTGCTGATGGATTGGAAGTGGCTGGTGAGGGAGAAAAGGGGGTCAAAGGAAACTCTGAGGTCTATACCCTGACCATCTGGCAAGTGGTGGTGTTGCCACAAACTGAGCGGGGAGTAGGGCAGGTGCAGGTCTGGAGGATGGATTCAAAATTCAGTTTTTGGAGTCTATGTCCCTGGTTCTGTAGGGCTGCAGATGGTCTGCCAAATCTTAGCGGAACCCAGAATACGGGATTTGTTTACTGTCTGTGACTTGTTGGTTTCCCTGGTGAGAGCAAACTCTTTAAAGGTCAAGGTTGGGCTTCAGACCTTGGTTTTTGCACCGATCATTGGTCATACTGCAGTTCCTCACTCTTCTCTTGCAAATCCATACACAGCTAGTCCAAGAGAGCTGAACAGCTTTGTGGTTGGATCAGCACCAATGTATCTCCACCTGTAGACGGGTTGCTCAGGTGACTCATGCCTGTAATCCCAGCACCTTGGGAGGCCAAGGTGGGAAGATTGCTTGAGGCCAGGAGTTGGAGACAAGCCTGGGAAACACAGTGAGACCCCATATCTACCAAAAAAACCCCTTTGTTTTAATTAGCCAGGTGCAGTGGTGTGCACCTATAGTCCCAGCTACTAAGGAGGCTGAGGCAGAAGGATCATTTGAGCCCAGGAGTTTAAGGCTGCGGTGAACCATGATCGTGCCACTGCACTCCAACCTGGGGGAAAGAAAGAGACCTTGTCTCTAAAAAAACTAAAAAACAGAAAAGCATTTGTTGAGTATTTCCTGGGTATAAAGCAGTGTACCAGGTTAAATGGAAGGAAAAGTTGAAATAATTTTTCAACTCATAATCCGATTGGGAGAGACTGAATGCTTACCATTGAAGCAGGAACCATTGTAAGCAATGTGTTGTGATACTGTAGCAAGAGCTGAGAAAACTTGGGAAAAGAGAAAGGAGGAAGGCTCACCTGAGGGAGTTGGGGGGCTTGCCCTACAGGTGAGTTGTGAGGTGGGTCTGGAAGTGACAGATGCAGTTTAGGAAGTGGACGGGAGGCTGGGTACGGTGACTCAACATCTGTAATCCCAGTGCTTTGGGAGACCCAGGCGGAAGGATCGCTTCAGGCCAGGAGTTAAAGACCAGCCTGGGCAACATAGTGGGAACCTATCTCTACTAAAAATTAAAAAATTATCCAGGCATAATGGCACATGCCTATTGTTCCAGCTACTCAGGAGGCTTGCCTGAGCCCAGGAGGTTGAGGCTGCAGTGAGCTATGATGGCACCACTGCACTCCAGCCTGGGCGACAGAACAAGACCCTGTCTCTAAAAAAAAAAGATGTGGATGGGAGGGGGAACGGTGGGTGGGCTGTCCTCACCAAGCCCCCACCCTATCTGCTCTCCAGCTAAACGACGGACAGTTCACAGTCATCCAGCTCGTGGGCATGCTGCGGGGCATCGCCTCGGGCATGCGGTACCTTGCCGAGATGAGCTACGTCCACCGAGACCTGGCTGCTCGCAACATCCTAGTCAACAGCAACCTCGTCTGCAAAGTGTCTGACTTTGGCCTTTCCCGATTCCTGGAGGAGAACTCTTCCGATCCCACCTACACGAGCTCCCTGGTAATGCTGGGGGTAATACTGGGTGTGAGCTTCTTAGGGCCAGGTGGGCAGGGCAGGTTGGAAAGGTGGGAGGCTGAGGGTTTGGCAGCCCTGCTCCAGGGAGAGGATACAGGAGCAGGCTGTGGGTGGGGGGACAGTCAGCTCCAGGAAGCCGACTTCCAGATGTCTAGGAAAATAACAGTTGGATAACCTGGGCAACATAGCAAGACCCCATCTCTACAAAAAAATTAAAAGATTAGCCAGGCGCAGTGGCATGCACCTGTAGTCCCAGCTACTTGGGAGGTTGAGGCAGGAGGATTGCTTAAGCCCAGGAGTTGGAGGCTGCAGTGAGCTATGAATGTGCCACTGTACTGCAGACTGGGCGACAGAGCAAGACCCTGTCTCAAAAGAACAGTGGCCAGGTGTGGTGGCTCACGCCTGTAAATCCAGCACTTTGGGAGGCTGAGGCAGGAGGATCGCCTGAGGTCAGGAGTTCGAGACCAGCCTGGCCAACATGGGAAAACCCTGTCGCTACTAAAAATACAAAATTAGCTGAGGGTGGTGGTACACGCCTGTAATCCGAGCTACTCAGGAGGCTGAGGTAGGAGAACCAGTTGAACCCGGGAGGCGGAGTTTCAGTGAGCCAAGATCGCACCACTGCACTCCAACCTGGGCAAACAGAGTTGGAGAGTAGGAGGCTTGGGGCCTGAGCTAGGGGGAAAAAGCAGAGGCAGGTGGGGGACTGGGGGGCAGTGTGCTGGGTCTGGTGAGTCCCTCAGTGAGTCCCCCAGCTCACCTTTTCTCCTTTTTCTGCAGGGAGGAAAGATTCCCATCCGATGGACTGCCCCGGAGGCCATTGCCTTCCGGAAGTTCACTTCCGCCAGTGATGCCTGGAGTTACGGGATTGTGATGTGGGAGGTGATGTCATTTGGGGAGAGGCCGTACTGGGACATGAGCAATCAGGACGTAAGTGTCCCGTGGTCCTACCAAGCTTTCCTCGAGTGTTCTCTCACCTGGGATTTGGGGTGAAGGGTGGGTTCCCAGAGAGTCATCACTGCTGGGTTCTTGAGACCATGGAGATGACAAAAAGGAGAATTGATCTTTGTATCAAAGAGTTGAGATACAGGGCCAGGCCTAGTGGCTCAAGCCTGTAATCCCAGCACTTTGGGAGGCCAAGGTGGGCAGATCACCTAAGGTTAGGAGTTCAAGACCAGCCTGGCCAACATGGTGAAACCCCGTCTCTAAAAAAATACAAAAAATTAGCCCAGCATGATGGGCGGGTGCCTGTAATCCCAGCTACTCAGGAGGCTGAGACAGGATAATCGCTTGAACCCAGGAACAGAGGTTGCAGTGAGCTGAGATCACGCCATTGCTTTCCAGCCTGGGCAACTGAGCGAGACTCTGTCTTAATAAATAAATAAAAGAGTTGGGTACAGCATATTTGGGTCGCAGAAGGATGCAGAGATGGAGGGCAGGGTTGAGAGGTAACATGTCTGTATCATAGCCCAAGAGCTGCTGGGGCCTTCAGCCACAGAGAGCTTCAACTCCGGCTAGGAGGATTCCTGGATCTGTTATTTTTTGGGGGGCTGTGGCTCCTATCCTACCATCTTCCAAGTCACCATTTCCTGGGCCTGTTAGCATCTTTGCTTTTCCTGGACAGCCTCACCCAGAGCTTCTTCCCCTCTTTCCAGGTGATCAATGCCATTGAACAGGACTACCGGCTGCCCCCGCCCCCAGACTGTCCCACCTCCCTCCACCAGCTCATGCTGGACTGTTGGCAGAAAGACCGGAATGCCCGGCCCCGCTTCCCCCAGGTGGTCAGCGCCCTGGACAAGATGATCCGGAACCCCGCCAGCCTCAAAATCGTGGCCCGGGAGAATGGCGGGTGAGGACTGCAGAGAATGGGCCCTCCTTCCCGCTCTCTGCCCCCACTCCTTGCCCAGAAGTGTCCGTTCATTGGTGTTGGGTGGGAGGGCCTCTGTCCGCCTCTGCAAGGCTGGGTTCCACCTCCTCCCCCGGACCTGGGCCTGGTACTCAGCATTCCTCCCCATCCTTGCCCCCTAGGGCCTCACACCCTCTCCTGGACCAGCGGCAGCCTCACTACTCAGCTTTTGGCTCTGTGGGCGAGTGGCTTCGGGCCATCAAAATGGGAAGATACGAAGAAAGTTTCGCAGCCGCTGGCTTTGGCTCCTTCGAGCTGGTCAGCCAGATCTCTGCTGAGTAAGCAGTGGCAGGAGCTGGAGTGGGGCTGGGAGAGCGGGGCAGCTGGAGTCAGGCCCACGGGGTCTCCAGGGGCTTTTGGGGTCAGCTTCGGGTGCCAATGCTGTCTTCTTGCACTGCGCTCATGCCATGCCTAGAAGGGCCCCAGAGGAGCAGTCACAGCCCCATGGAGCTGAGGACCCAAGGACTCTTTGGGGCCAGCCTGCCCGCCTCACCTCCTCCTGCCATCACAGCCCTGGGCCATCGCGCTTCCGCCTCTCACTTCTAGCTATCTTTGTGCATCTATCTGCATTCCAGGCCCGGCTCTCACGGTAACAATGTGTCAACTCGGGTTCTCTTTTTCCAACCATAAAAGGAGAAGATTGGGCTAGGTTTTGGAGATCCTCTTCAGCTTTTATGTGAAATGGTTTTATGATTCCTTGCCTCCCAAAGGCTGCGTATCCCCACTTGGCCTTTGTCTGCTACTCCCCCTTTCTGCCTTCCCGTTCCTCTCCCAAGATCTCCTCTCACCCCAGGTTGAATAACAGAAATAGAAGGAATAGAAATCTGAAGGCCGGGCATGGTGGCTCATGCCTGTAATGCCAGCACTTTGGGAGGCCGAGGTGGGCAGATCACTTGAGGTTAGGAGTTCGAGACCATTGTGGACAACTTGGTGAAACCTTATGTCTACTAAAAATACAAAAATTAGCTGGGCATGGTGGTGCGTGCCTGTAATACCAGCTACTGAGGAGGCTGAGGCAGGAGAATCGCTTGAACCCGGGAGGTGGAGGTTGCAGTGAGCCGAGATCGCACCACTGCACTCCAGCCTGGATGACAGAGTGAAATTCCATCTCAAAAAAAAAAAAAAAAAAAAAAAAGAAATGTGAAGGCCAGGTGGTGGCTCACGCCTGTAATCTCAGCACTTTGGGAGGCTCAGGTGGACCGATTGCTTGAGCCCAGGAGTTTGAGAGCAGCCTGGCCAAAATAGCAAAACCCCATCTCTACAAAACAAAAACAAAAAAATTAGCTGGGCATGGTGGTGCGTGCCTGTGGTCCCAGCTACTCAGGAGGCTAGAGCCAGAGGGTCTCAGGCCAGTCTGCCCCTGCCCCACGGGGCCTGGGCACATCCCTCCCTAATTCTTCCCAGCCTCTCTCTGACCCAGGGGGCCTCCTCTCCCTTTTTTCCCCTTATCTCAGCCTCCAGCCATCAGCAACCTCCTCTTCCTCTCCACCCAGCTCTTCCTCTCCCACTTCGGCCTTTTCTTTCTCACACTCCATTTCCCTCTACGGCAATCTGTGCAGCCTCTTCCCCCAGTCTCATTTTGCGGGCTTTTCTCTCTTTTCTTTCCTTCCCTGGCACCCAAGCCAAAGGCCCTGCCTCTGGCCTCCAGCCCTACCCCCTTCTGCGGTTGCACAGAAGGATGGCTGCCCAGCTCTTAAAAAAACTGCCCGGGAACTGTTGACATCTGTTCTCCCTCCCCCGCTGGCTTTTCTGATTGGCTTACAATCCTGAGGCTAGGACCGTCTCAGGAGCCAAGAGAGGAGAGCGGCCACAGGGAACCTAGGGTCTCACCAAGCTCTCCTTTCCTTCTGCAGGGACCTGCTCCGAATCGGAGTCACTCTGGCGGGACACCAGAAGAAAATCTTGGCCAGTGTCCAGCACATGAAGTCCCAGGCCAAGCCGGGAACCCCGGGTGGGACAGGAGGACCGGCCCCGCAGTACTGACCTGCAGGAACTCCCCACCCCAGGGACACCGCCTCCCCATTTTCCGGGGCAGAGTGGGGACTCACAGAGGCCCCCAGCCCTGTGCCCCGCTGGATTGCACTTTGAGCCCGTGGGGTGAGGAGTTGGCAATTTGGAGAGACAGGATTTGGGGGTTCTGCCATAATAGGAGGGGAAAATCACCCCCCAGCCACCTCGGGGAACTCCAGACCAAGGGTGAGGGCGCCTTTCCCTCAGGACTGGGTGTGACCAGAGGAAAAGGAAGTGCCCAACATCTCCCAGCCTCCCCAGGTGCCCCCCTCACCTTGATGGGTGCGTTCCCGCAGACCAAAGAGAGTGTGACTCCCTTGCCAGCTCCAGAGTGGGGGGGCTGTCCCAGGGGGCAAGAAGGGGTGTCAGGGCCCAGTGACAAAATCATTGGGGTTTGTAGTCCCAACTTGCTGCTGTCACCACCAAACTCAATCATTTTTTTCCCTTGTAAATGCCCCTCCCCCAGCTGCTGCCTTCATATTGAAGGTTTTTGAGTTTTGTTTTTGGTCTTAATTTTTCTCCCCGTTCCCTTTTTGTTTCTTCGTTTTGTTTTTCTACCGTCCTTGTCATAACTTTGTGTTGGAGGGAACCTGTTTCACTATGGCCTCCTTTGCCCAAGTTGAAACAGGGGCCCATCATCATGTCTGTTTCCAGAACAGTGCCTTGGTCATCCCACATCCCCGGACCCCGCCTGGGACCCCCAAGCTGTGTCCTATGAAGGGGTGTGGGGTGAGGTAGTGAAAAGGGCGGTAGTTGGTGGTGGAACCCAGAAACGGACGCCGGTGCTTGGAGGGGTTCTTAAATTATATTTAAAAAAGTAACTTTTTGTATAAATAAAAGAAAATGGGACGTGTCCCAGCTCCAGGGGTGATGGGGGTGATGGACTAGATTTCTAAGGAGAGTGGGGCTGGGTAGGGAGGGCTTTGTGGCTGACCGAGAGGTGTCAGAGGTCTGGAGGCTGCAGGGCTGTAGGGGCTGGAACTTGGTTATCAGCCCCAGGGTATGTTTGAGGTGGTGGGGTGGGGGCCGAGCGAGATGAATCATTCGCAGCTGCTTCTAACGTCTCCAGCTGGCTCTGCCAAGAGCCTGGGGCACCTCCGGGGTGGGGCTGTCCCCTCCCTCCCCTGTCCTGGTTCCTCAGTCCTGGCCAGAGGCTGCTGCAGGAGAGGGAGGGAAGGCCTTGAGCTCCCAGCCCTGCCCGACAGCCACTGGAGAGGGAGGCTGGGGCAGGAGCTGGAGCAGGGGGTTCCGTGGATGGACACAGATGGGGGCCAGATGTTGACAGCTGGGGTAGATTTAGAGGCAGTGCGGGGAGAGTGTCTGCATTGGCTGTGGGGGAAGGGAAGAAGGGACCCCCCCACGTGTGTACACAAGCGATAAGCGCGCGCCGAGGACAATTCTCCCATTCAAGATGCTGCCCGGGCAGGTTCTCCCTGCCTCTTGGAAAGGGGAGGGGGAACCTCCTGTCTTCCCCCAACTTACCCCTCCAAATGCCCCGCTTTCTTTCTTGCCATTTTCTGTGTCCTTTTCTCCAGGGATCTTTCTGGCCTCCCCCCGGGCACCTGCAGGGGCAGGTCTTGACAAGGACCAGCCTGGCTTAACCTGGTCCATTGCTTTTTCTTTTTCTTTTTCTTTTTTTTTTTTTTTTTTTTTTTTTTTTTGAGACAGGGCCTCACTCTGTCACTCAGGCTGGAGTGCAGTGGAATGATCATAGTTCACTGTAACCTTGAACTCCTGGGCGCAAGGGATCCTCCCATCTCAGCCTCCCGAGTGGCTGGGAATCCTCCAGGCACACACTACCACACCCAGCTGATTTTTTTTATTTTTTGTAGAGACGGGTTGGGGGGGGTCTCACAATGTTGCCCAGGCTGATCTCAAACTCCTGGCCTCAAGCTATCCTCCCCTCCCAGCCTCCCAAGGTACTAGGATTACAGGCGTGAGCCACCGCGCCCAACCTTTTTCCATTTCTGCACTTGAGTCGCCCCCTGTTGACGTGTTTGGGTCAGTGCTGGACCCCAAATCACAGCTGGGGCCCTTCCCGGTCCAGGGAGGCTTGTCTCAATTTCCCACCTCTACAGCCCTCTTCTGGAGTCCCTCAGGCTCTTCTCTGTCCCCTTTCCCTTGGTGACACATCACCCATGTTTTGTACCCCTGAGGAGGTGTGGGAGGGACTCGGGGGGTCCATCCAGAGGATGTTGCCCAGGCCCACCCTCTTCCCCTGCCAACCAGACATCCGGGCTAGATAAGGTGTCCTAGAGAGCTGTAGCTGGAGAAAGAAAGGTTAATGGGCATTGCAGAGGTGCAGCAGAGAGGCCAAGAGTGAAGACCCGGTGTGGGGAGCTGGGGTCAGGGCAGGGGGCTGCAGAAGCCCCCTGAGGTCCAGCCCCAAGAGCTCCAGGCTGCCCTGAGCCTTCCTGCCACATCCAGCTCCCCACCATGAATGCTCTTCCAGCTAGGGCAAGGGAGAGTCTCGCTGGGCAGGACCCTCCCTTCCCGGGTTTGGGTCTTGCTTCATTCCCATAAAGGTGACCTCAGGGCGTGTCATCCCAGAGGATAAGCGCAGAGTATAACACATTTCTAGAACTCAGTATCCTCCCTGGTTGGTTGGTTGGTTGGTTGTTTCTTTAGAGACAGGGTCTCGTTCTGTTGCCCAGGCTGGAGTGCAGTGGTGCAGTCATAGCTCACTGCAGCTTGGAACTCCTGGGTTCAAACAATCCTCCCGCCTCAGTCACCCAATAATTCTTTACATTTTTGTAGAGACAGGGACTCGCTATGTTGCTCAAGCTGGTCTCCAACTCCTGATCTCAAGCAATTCTCCCTCCTCAGCCTCCCAAAGCACTGGGATTACAGGCGTGAGCCACCACACCCAGCCTGTCCTCCGTTTTGACATCCCCAAACCCAAATCCCCTTTGGGGTCCTACATCCTGATCTTCCCCCAGCCCAATTGGCAGCCTTCCATTCCTTCCAGTGGCACGATCTCAGCTCACTGCAAGCTCTGTCTCCCGGGTTCACGCCATTCTCCTGCCTCAGCTTCCTGAGTAGCTGGGACTACAGGCGCCAGCTGCCACACCCGGCTAATTTTTTTTTGTATTTTTAGTAGAGATGGGGTTTCACCGTGTTAGCCAGCATGGTCTCGATCTCCTGACCTCGTGATCCGCCCGCCTCGGCCTCCCAAAGTGCTGGGATTACAGGTGTGAGCCACCGCACCCAGCAAGCCTTCCTTCTTAGAGCACAAGCAAGACGTCCCAGCCCCCACTTCCAAGCAAGGACCTGCCTGATGGGAGGCAGAGGTCCCGAGGGAGGGGGCGGGATGTTTGCACCTTGGCCTCAGGCTGGGGTGAGTGGGTCACTCCTAGTAGGATAGAGGTCAGAATTCTTCAGCAACCCAGACCCCAGACCCCGCCCTCAGTAACCCCTAGCCCCTTTTGGAAAATGGAGGAATACCGGGGGTGGGGGCCTCTCCAGAGGGTCACAGGCTGATTTGCTTTTTTTGGAAAAAGCCACTTTTTTTAGCCAGGACGTGGTGACATGCGCCTATAGTCCTGGCTACTTGAGAGGCTGAGGCTTGAGCCCAAGAATTCAAGCTCCCATCTCAGCCTCCTGAGTAGTTGGGAATCCTCCAGGCGCACGCCACCATGCCCAGCTGATGTTTTATTCTTTGTAGAGACAGGGGGCCTCATAATGTTGCCCAGGTTGATCTCAAACTCCTGGCCTCAAGCAGTCCTCCCCCTCAGCCTCCCAAGGCGCTGGGATTACACCACGCCCGACCTGCTTTTTCCACTTCTGCACCTCAGTCGCCCCCTGTTGTCGTGTTTGTGTCAGTGCTGGACCCCAAATCACAGCTTGGGCCCTTCCCAGCCCAGGGAGACTTGCCCTCAATTTCTCACCTCTACAGCCCTCTTCTGGGGTCCCTCGGGCTCTTGAGTCCTCTGTCCCCTCTTCCCTTGGTGACACATCACCCATGTTTTGTTCCCTCGAGGAGGTGTGGGAGGGACTTTGGGGGGTGAACTATGATTGCGCCACTGCACTCCAGCCTGGGTAACAGAGGAAGCACCTGTCTCTAAATAAGGAAGGGAGGGACAGAGGGGAGAGAGAAAGAAAGAAAACAGAGAGAGAGAGAGAGAGAGGGAGGGAGGGAGGGAGAAAGGAAGGAAGGAAGGAAGGAAGGAAGGAAGGAAGGAAAAACGAAGGAAGGAGAGAGTAAGAGGAAGAAAAGGAAGGGAAGGAGGGAGGAAAGGATGGAGGAAGGAAGGAAGGAGGGAAGGAAGGAAGGAAGGAAAGGCGGGCAGGCCACGTTTGGCTGGGTAAGGTGGTCACGTGTATTCCTTGTACTTTGGGAGGTGGAGGCAGGCTGAGCTCTTTGAGCCCAGGAGTTCAAGACCAGTTTAGGCAACATAGTGAGACCCTATCTCTTCTAAAAAATATCAAAATTAGCCAGGCGTAGTGGTGCATGCCTGTAGTCCCAGCTACTCAGGAGGCTGAGATGGGAGGATCGTTTGAGCCCCGGGGGTCAAGGCTGCAGTGAGCTATGACTGCACCACTACACTCTAGCCTGGGCAACAGAGTGAGACCTTGTCTCTAAAAAAAAAGAAAAAGAAAAAAAAGCCACATTCCCCAACCTTAGTCTGTACTTGACATGTAAAATTTCTCAGAATCACCTTGGTGGGGAGCCAGAGGCCACGTCCTCTAAGCACTCGGATTCCTGAGGTGAAGTCTTCTCCTAAATCAGAAGCCGAGGGTCTGGGGCTGCATCCCACCCTCCATTCCCCTGCCCGCCCTGTTCCTTCTGCCCTCCCTGCTCCTTCTGTCTCCCCTAGTGATGTCAGCCTCGCCGGGACTGAATGTGCCACCCGCATGTGGCTTTCTCTAAGGGACAACACCCTCACCTCAAACCTAGGTTCCTCTCCCCTCTAGACATTTTGCACAGAACCCAGCCCTACCTAGGCCTCCACGTGCCTCTCTCCCTCATTTTCCTCCCTCCAAGACCCAACTTCCTCCACTATAATCATGTGGACATTCACGTCTCAAAAATACATAATTTTGGGCCAGGCGTGGTGGCTCATGCCTATAATCCCAGCACTTTGGGAGGCCAAGTCGGGCAGATCACTTGAGGTCAGGAGTTCGAGACCAGCTTGGCCAACATGGCGAAACCTCGTCTCTACTAAAAATACAGAAATTAGCCAGGCAAGGTGGTGTGTACTTGTAATCCCATCTACTCAGGAGGCTGAGGCAGGAGAATCGCTTGAACCCAGGAGGTGGAGGTTGCAGTGAACAGAGATCACACCACTGTACTCCAGCCTGGGAGACAGAGCGAGACTCCATCTCAACAAAAAACTGAAACAAAAATAAATAATTTTGGCCAGACACCATGGCTCATGCCTGTAATCACAGGGCTCTGGAAGGCCAAGGCGGGAGGATTGCTGGAGGCCAGGAGTTTGAGACCAGCCTGGGCTACATAGTGAGACCCGCCCCCATCTCTACAAAAACAAAAATGTTAAAATTTAGCCTTCGTGGTGACGCATGCCTGCAGTCTCAGCTACCCAGGAGGCTGAGGCAGGAGGCCCAGGAGGTTGAGGCTGCAGTGAGCTGTGATCGTGCCACTGCACTCCAGCCTGGCGACAGAGCAAGACCCTGTCTCAAATAAATAAATATATAAATTTATTTAATCTTCTTGTCTGAAGACAGCTCAAAACTGAGCAACTTAACAGGCACAGTCCAGAACAGTATCTGAGGAGAAAGCAAGAAAACCATGTATGAGAGGAGACTCAACTCTAGGCCCCGAGGTTCCGGGCTGTGGGGTTGGTTCTCACCTGTGTCCACCAGCCTGGCCAGTCTGTCTCCCTCCTGCGTTTTCTCTCTAGAAGGCATGGGGGAATAGACATGGGTCCCCAAGTGGCCCTTTACGGGCCCAGCCGCTTCCCGGTTTGCACACCCCACCCGCCCTTCCTCTCTCCTTCCCAGGACTCACCTCTTCCTCCTCGTTCTGTAAATGCACTCTCTGGTCACGGCCAGTAGTACGACCACCACAGGCACCAGCAGTCCCAGTAGGACGCCCACCAGGTTAGATGCTTCTGGGTGCGGGGAAGAGACATTAGGTCGAACGTGAGACGGGAAGGGTGGGGACTGAGGGGTACTCCCTTTTGGGGATTGCTTGCTACCCCAGGGGACCTCATCTCTCTAAATCTCTAGGTGTGTCTGCTTCTTCCTCCAGGAGGTTCTCACCTCCAGGGACTCCAAGGTCTTAGTGCCCCCTCCCCAACCCCCGCAATGTTTTCTGTTTGCCATAAGCCTTTTTAGACAGAGTCTGGCTCTATTGCTCAGGCTGGAGTGCAGTGGTGCGATCATAGCTTTCTGCAGCCTTGAACTCCTGGGCTCAAGCAATCCTCCCCCTCAGCCTGCTTTCCAAGTAGCTGGGACTATGGGCACATGCCACCACACCCGGTTAATTTTCGTGATTTTTTGTAGAGATGGGGTCTTGCTATGTTACCAGGCTGGTCTTGAACTCCTGGCTCAAGTGATCCTCCCGCCTTGGCCTCCCAAAGTCCTGAAATTACAGGCATGAACCACCACGCCTGCCCTCCCTTAAGCCTATTTAGGTGGGCAGCTGTTTCTCTTAGGTCCCCTAGAGTCCAGGTGTCATCTCAGCCAGCATTTCTCAAAGAGTAGCCCTGGAGTCACTTCCATAGTTTCCTGGGCCCTTGTTGAAAATGCAGATTCTGGTTGGGCACAAAGGCTCACGCCTGTAATCCCAGCACTTTGGGAGGCCAAGGTGGCAGGATCACCTGAGGTCAGGAGTTTCAGACCAACCTGGCCAACATGGCGAAACCCCATCCCTACTAAAAATACAAAAATAGCCGGGCGTGGTGGCCGGCGCCTGTAATCCCAGCTACTCAGGAGGCTGAGACAGGAGAATCACTTGAACCCGGGAGGTGGAGGTTGCAGTGAGCCGAGATCACGCCACTGCACTCCAGCCTGGGCAACAGACCAAGACTCAAAAAAAAAAAAAAAAAAAGCAGATTCCTGGGCCCACTCCAGACCTACCAAATCTGATCTTTCAGAGTGTGTCCTGGAATATACATGTACACAAGTTACCCCGTCTTCAATCTTAGGCAAGATAAAGCTGGAGAACCACTGGCCCAGAAGCCCATGGGAATTGTAGTTTGGGATAGGAAAGGACAATGGAAGGTGCTGGAGAGGCACAGAAGGACACAGGAGGAGGAAGCAGCAGGGGTGAGAGATACAGGTCACAGGAGTGGGGAGCTGGGCTTCAGAGAGAAGATTTCACAGTATATAGGTAGGAGATGGGCACAGGAACTAGTTTTTTGTTTTGTTTTTGGTTTTTGTTTTTTGTTTTTTTTGAGATGGAGTCTTGGTCGCCCAGGCTGGAGCGCAGTAGCGTGATCTTAGCTCACTGCAACCTCTGCCTCCCGGGTTCAAGCGGGTCTCGTGCCTCAGCCTCTGAGTAGCTGGGATTACAGCTGTGCACCACCATACCCAGCTAATTTTTTTTTATTTTTTTATTTTTTTTTAGATGGAGTCTTGCTCTGTCACCCAGGCTGGAGTGCAGTGGCTTGATCTTGGCTCACTGCAACCTCCACCTCCCAGGTTCAAGTGATTCTCCTGCCTCAGCCTCCCGAGTAGCTGGGACTACAGGCGCACACCACCACACCCGGCTAACTTTTTGTATTTTTAGTAGAGACGGGGTTTCACTTCGTTAGCCAGAATGGTCTCCATCTCCTGACCTCGTGATCCGCCCACCTCAGCCTCCCAAAGTGCTGGGATTACAGGCGTGAGCCACCATTCCCGGCCAGGACTGGTTTTTTGAGGATGCTTGTCCTGCGAATTTCTAGGGATTATATTATAATTCCTACTATAATAATATATGTAATATATAAATAGATAATTAATATACAAGATATATTAATATATTAATATCCATTATAGCTACAAATTGTTATGTTTATAATATATAATATCTGTAACATAATATTATAATACATATCATTCTATATGTGAATATAATACATATAGAATCATTCTGTGGTTGTCGGCCAGGAAGAGGTTGTGAGGGTACAGGGCCTTGGACGATGCCCTCACCTGGCTTTCTGGGAGGTGGCGCATCTCGAGGCTCCATACACAGGCCTCCCCCGTAACCAACTTCACACTCGCAGGTGAAGGTGGCTCCCTGCTCCCGACACTGCCCGTCATTCTGACAGGGGTTCTGCAGACACGGGCTTTCTGCAAGGACAGAGAGGGTTGTGGGAGGGGGGCCCTGGGAGGACACTCCCAGCTGAGGGAAGGCCTGGCTGGGGGCTGGGACGCCCGGGGAGAAAGCAGCGGCTGCCAGAGACTGGCCAGGGGTCAGCCAGCCTGGCTCCCAACCCTGCCTCACTAGCCCTGGGCTTTGGGGAAACTTCCTTCCTTTGAAACTCTTTCATCTCTTCCTTCCTCTCTTCCTTTCTTCCTCCTTTCCTCCCTCCTTCTCTCCTTCCCTCCTTCTCCCCTCCTCTCCCTTCCTCTCCTCTCCCCTCTCCTCCCTCCCTTCCTTTCCTCCCCTCCCCTGCCCTCCCCTCCTCCCTTCTCTTCTCTTCTTTTTTGAGACAAGATCTCACTCTGTCACCCAGGCTGGAGTGCAGTGGCACAATTATAGCTCACTGTAGCCTCAATTTCTTGGGCTTAAGTGATCTTCCCACCTCAGCTTCCAAGTAGCTGAGACTACAGGAGTGCACCACCACACTCAGCTCTTTTTTTCTTTAATTTTTAGTAGAGACGATGTCTCCCTATATTGCCCAGGCTGATCTTGAACTCCTGAGCTCAAAGCAATTCGCCCACCTCACCTCCAAAAATGCTGGGATTACAGGCATGAGTCACCCACGCCCAGCAGGAAACTGCTTAACCTCTCTGAACTCCATGTTTGTTATGTATAAATTAGGAGTGCTGTGCTAACCATCAGGGCTGAAGGAGATCATGGGAAGGAACGCTAGGGAAGGATTCGGTAGGTCATGGATGCTTAGGGATCGGGAGATCTTTGTCCTTTGTCCCTCCCTACAAAGGCAGGGACAGACATCCTGAAATCAATGTGGAAGAGTCCTGAGGACAAGGAGGGGACGATCCTTGGTCCATGGACGCCCCAGGGCATGGGGCAGCTTGGAACCGGGCAGGAGTGCAGGTTCACCTGGAAAGCAGCCTTGGGTGTGGTTCCCCAGGGTGCAGACCTCCCCCGCTCTGCAGCTGAAGGGCTCACACAGCAGGATCCGTGAGCTGGCACAGGTGCACCGCTGAGAGCAGTCCTCAGTCAGAAAGCTGCTGCCCAGCTAGAAAGGGGAAGGGCCAGGAGGAGACGTTCCAGTTCCATCCCTGGTCTGGCTCTCCTTGGCGCCTCTGCTCCCCAGGGCCTCCTGCTGCCAGCTCAGACCTGGTAGTAGATGCCATTGCTGGTGCAGCCACAGTCAGCCAGGGGAGGCTCTGGGTGCCACTGTAGGCATAGCCTGGGATGCTGGCGCAGCCTTCCACGCAGGGGCCCTCGCAGTCCCCGGGGTCTGCCAGGTTGGCACAGGATGCTGGGCAGGGTGTCATACAGCTCTGATATATGGTACCTGCTGGACACTCCATGGCTGCGGGGACAGTCATGGTCAGAAACTGGCTGGGGCTGGGCAGGCCAAACAGGGGCAAGGTCACCCGATAAAACTCAGAGTAGGCTGGGCACAGTGGCTCACACCTGAAATCCCAGCACTTTGGGAGGATGAGGCAGGTGGATCACCTGAAGTCAGGAGTTCAAGACCAGCCTGGCCAACATGGTGAAACCCCATCTCTGCTAAAAATACAAAAATGAGCCGGGCGTGGTGGCGGGCACCTGTAATACCAGCTACTCGGGAGGCTGAGACAAGAATCGCTTGAACCCAGGAGGCGGAGGTTGCAGTGAGCCGAGATCATGCCACTGCACTCCAGTCTGGGCAACAAAAAGCGAACTCTGTCTCAGACAACAACAACAAAAACAAAAACACTCAGCGTTGCATATAGGCAGGAAGCTAGAACGTGTTGCAGCTTCATCTAGGGTCTTTTTTTTATTTTTTATTTTTTTAAATTTTTTTTAGAGATGGAGTCACTCTGTTGCCCAGGCTGGAGTGCCCAGGCTGGCGTGATCACGGCTCACTGCAGCCTCCAACTCCTGGGTTCCAATGATCCTCCCACCTCAGCCTCCCTGGTGACTGGAGTTACAGGCATGCACCACCACACCCGGCCAATTTGTTAAGATTTTTATAGAGATGGGGTCTCACTGGTTCCCCAGGCCGGTCTCAAACTCTTGGATTCAATTGATCCTCCTGCCTCTGCCTCCCAAAGTGGTGGAACTACAGGTATGAGCTACCATGTCCAGCCTGTCTAGTCTTTTCTTTTTTTAATTTCTTTCTTTTTTTCGTTCTTTCTTTCTTTCTTTCTTTTTTTTTTTTTTTGAGATAGGATGTTGCTCTGTTGCCCAGGCTGGAGTGTGGTGGTGTGCGGTCATGGTTCACTGCAGCCTGGCTGGAACTCCTGGGCTCAAGCCATCCTCCAGCCTCAACCTCCCAAAGCACTGGGATTACAGGTGTGAACCACCACGCCCAGCCCATCCAGGGTCTGCAACATTAGAACATTTGAAGGAACTGGTTGAGCGAAGGTGGACCTTGGCAGGAAGGAGCGGGATGCGGGATGGGGTTGGGAGGCTCCCAGGCAGGGGCAGAGAAGGAGCCAGGCTGCCGGTTGTGCTGACTTGGACCTGGGACTAAGGCAGAAATTCGAGGGATGATGGGACTAAGACAGAAAGCCCGAGATGAGGCAATGGTGGGAAGAGCGTTCAGCAGAGGTGGACGGCAGAGGGGTCAGGGTCGGCACAGGGAGGGGCAACACCTCACCGCAGAGGGTGCGGTCCCGCCAGCCAGCCAGGGCAGCGCCCGCCTCCTGGCAGAGGATGGCGTACCCACTGAGGACCTGGCAACGCAGCTCCTCTTGCTCTCTTGGGTCCTGAGCAGAGCACAGATCCAGCACGCAGTGCCTGGTGCAGAGAGGGGGCAGGAAGGGCACAGTCAGTTTGGGGAGGGGAGGAGACCCACCCCTGCAGAAGAGAGCCTGGAACCCCAAACAGAAAGACATCAGTCGGTGTCCAGTGAGGGTCACAAGGAAATTAGGCCACAGGGAGAACGGAGGAGTGAACCACACAGAGCTTGGGTCAGGAAGCGGGCAGGAGGCCCCAGGGAAAGACCAGAGCAGGCACCTGGGCCATTCCCACAAGTCCTGGGCCCATGACTCACTCTTGGAAGGGCTCTGGGGCCACCGTCTGGTGACAGGCAGCAAAGGGGCCCTGGGGGTCTGCCAGCACCCTACAGGCCTGGGTGCTGTTGCTCGCCAGCTGCTCCGGGCTACATTCGGACACTTGGAGGCCCGTGCGGAGGCCCAGCTCCGCCCCTTGTCCCTCCTCCTCCGCTGGTATAGCCCTGCAGTAGAGACAGCCACGGGGTCAGGTGAGGCCCCAAGGAAGGTGAAGTGGGGGAAGAAGAAGAACTGATTAGCCGGGCATGGTGGTGGCTGCCTGGAGTCCCAGCTACCCGGGAGGCTGAGGCAGGAGGATGACTTGAGCCCAGGAGGTGGAAACTGCAGTGAGCCAAGATCACGCCACTGCACTCCAGCCTGGGTAACAGAGCACGACCCGGTCTCTAAAAAATATATTTTAAAAAAAGAAATAAGAACTACTGGGGCTGGGTGTGGTGGCTCACACCTGTAATCCCAGCACTTTGGGAGGCCTAGGTGGGCAGATCCCTTGAGGTCAGGAGTTCGAGACCAGTATGGCCAACATGGTGAAACCCTGTCTCTACTAAAAATACGAACATTAGCTGAGCGTGGTGGCCCATGCCTGTAGTCCCAGCTACTTGGGAGGCTGAGGCACGAGAATCACTTGAAACTGGGAGGCAGAGGTTGCAGTGAGCTGAGATCATGCCACTGCACTCCAGCCTGGGTGACAGAGGAAGAAGAAGTAGGAGGAGGAGAAGAAGAAGGAGGAGGAGGAGGAGAAGGAGGAGGAAGAGGAGGAGGAGGAAAGAAGGAAGAAGGAAGAAGGAAAAATAACTGGGAAGGCAGGCTGAGGGCAGGGCAGGGGCACAGAGAGAGATTTCCATTGAGCGGGAGCCCCCAGAGTCAGATGAGAGGGAATGACGGAATTGGGAGGATCCAGGCCTATCTGCACCCTCTCCCTGGAGTTTCATCCTCTCCTGAGGACAGGAGGGCTAGCGGCCACCGTGCACAGACATTGTTGTTCACCTCCCCCGCCTCATCCCTTCCAGGCCGTGCACCTGGGGAAGCGCAGGAGTGCGTCCTCGGTCTTCACCTCCCAGCTGTTGCCAAAGGTGTTGAGGTTCTGGGTCAGGGCGCCACTGGGCAGCATCATGTCATTCTTGCGGTTCTTGTCGTAGTTTCCGCACAGGCCACTCACAAGCCCCTCGTACATGCTGGGTAGGGAGATCACTGCGGGAGGAAGGGGGTCCCCAGAAGTGAGACTCCTCACTCTTTTTTTTTTTTTTTTTTTTAGACAGTCTTGCTCTGTTGCCCAGGCTGGAGTGCAGTTGTGTGATCTTGGCTCACTGCAACCTCCGCCTCCTGGTTTCAAGCAATTCCCATGGCTCAGCCTCCCGAGTAGCTGGAACTACAGGCACACACCACCATGCCTGGCTAATTTTTGTATTTTTAGTAGAGACAGTGTTTCACCATGTTGGCCAAACTGGTCTAGAATTCCTGACCTCAAGTGATCTGCCTACCTCGGCCTCTCAGAGTGCTGGGATTACAGGCATGAGCCACCGCGCCTAGCCCTCACTCTTTTTTTTAATTAACTTTTTTTTTTTTTTTTTGAGATGGAGTCTCGCTCCGTTGCCCAGGCTGGAGTGCAGCGGTGTGATCTCCGCTCACTGCAAGCTCCGCCTCCCAGGTTCACTCCATTCTCCTGCCTCAGCCTCACGAGTAGCTGGGACTATAGGTGCCCGCCAACACACCTGGCTAATTTTTAGTATTTTCAGTAGAGACAGGGTCTCACCGTGTTAGCCAGGATGGTCTCGATCTCCTGACCTCGTGATCTGCCTGCCTCGGCCTCCCAAAGTGCTGGGATTACAGGTGTGAGCCACCGTGCCCAGCCTTAATTAACTTTTTTTTAAAGCAGGGTCTTGCTCTGTTGCCCAGTCTGGAGTACAGTGGCTCAATCATGGCTCACTGCAGCCTCCAACTTCTGGGCTCAAGCGATCCTCTCTCCTCGGCCTTTCCAGTAGCTGGGATTACAGGTGTGCACCACCACATCCAGCTAATTTTTTATTTTTATTTTTTATAGAGATGGGATCTTGCTATGTTGCCCAGGCTGGTCTCGAATGCCTGGCCTCAAGCGATCCTCCCGTCTCAGCCTCTCCAGTTCCAGAAGCTGGGATTACAGGCATGCACCATCACACCTGTCTCATTTAAAAAAAAAAAATTTTTTTTGAGATGGAGTTTTGCTCTTGTCACCCAGGCTGGAGTGCAGTGGCACGATCTCAGCTCACTGCAACCTCCGCCTCCCACGTTCAAGCGATTCTCCTGCCTCAGCATCCCAAGTAGCTGGGATTACAGGCGCCCACCACCACACCCAGCTAATTTTTGTATTTTTAGTAGAGATGGGGTTTCGCCATGTTTGCCAGGCTGGTCTTGAACTCCTGACCTTAGGTGATCCACCTGCCTCAGCCTCCCAAAGTGCTGGGATTACAGGCGTGAGCCACTGTGCACGGCCTTTAAAATTTTTTTTGTAGAGACGGGGGTCTCACTATGTTCCCCAGGCTGGTCTTGAGCTTCTGACCTCAAGCGATCCTCCCACCTCAGCTTCCCGGAGCGCTGGGATTTCTGGCCAGTGCCACAGCACCCAGCCAAGACTCTGCCCTCTGCTCTCCACCTGGTCTCACCTCACCTCCTCCTGGTCCTCCTCTGAAGCTGGGTGCCCCACTACCGGGCCGAGTCTGCTCACCAGGATTTGCCTGTCTTAAATAGGATTTTCCCTCCCACTTCCCAGAAATGGCCCTTTTGCTCTTCTTTCCCCTCTCTCCATTACCTGCATTTTTCCTTCCACCAAAGCTGACGACCAGCTCAAAGTCGGTGACCAGGTAGAGCCGTTGGCCCCACAGGGTGACCCGCAGGTGTTCATTTGGCCTGTAGGGGACGGCCATCTTCTGGTTGTTGACCTAAAGAGGGAAGACAGGAGCCACAGACAGGGCTGAATCCTCCTGACCTGCTGCCATTTCCTGGCTGGGCTTCACTTTTCCCAGTCATCTCCATATGTCTCCGTGCAGAGAGTGGAATAAGATACCCCAATGGGCTTTGCTATTCACGTGGCAGAAACCTCTGTGAGGTCCGCCCCCTTCCCAGCCCAAGTCCTTCCTTGCAAAAAATTGGCTCAGTGAGGCCGGGCACAGTGGCTCACACCTGTAATTCTAGCACTTTGGGAGGCCGAGTCGGGCGGATCACTTGAGGTCAGGAGTTCCAGACCAGCCTGGCCAACATGGGGAAACCACGTCTCTACTAAAAATACAAAAATTAGCCAGACATGGTGGTGCACACCTGTAGTCCCAGCTACTAGGGAGGTTGAGGCAGGATAATCACTTGAACCTGGGAGGTGGAGGTTGCAGTGAGCCTAGATGGTGCCACTGCACTCCAGCCTGGGCGACAGAGTGAAACTCTGCCTCAAAAAATAAAAATACATTGGTGTAGTGGATGCCATTGGTTCTTCAGCCCAGGATTGACCTTCACACACCTCACGCTCTGTCCTCCTCCTCTCTTCCTCTTGTTTCTTGCCAGCCTCTGCTGCCTCCCCACATGAAGTGAGCTTGTTGCTGAATTTGTTTTTGATTTTGAGACAGTTTCTCTCTGTCACCCAGGCTAAAGTGCAGTGGCAAGATCTTGGCTCACTGCAGCCTCAAACTCCTGGGCTCAAGTGATCCTCCAGCCTAAGCCTGCCCAATAGCTGGAACTACAGGTGTGCGCCCCCATATCCAGCTCATTTTAAATTTTTTGCAGAGATGTTGCGTCTTGCTATGTTGCCCAGGCTGGTCTTGAACTCCTGGGCTCAAGTGATCCTCCCGTCTTAGCCTCCTGAGTAGCTGAGATTACAGGCGTGAACCACTGCGTCCTGCTGACTCTGATTTTACAACCAGCCCACCCCTGCCACAAACATCCCAGGGAACAGGGATCCCTGACTTCTACTCCAGGTGGCCTACCTGGTCCAGCTGCCTCCCCACACCCACCAGGCCCTGGCCCAGCTCTTACCACAAGCTCCAGACCAGCTTGGAGCTGCACTTTATAGCCGTAGACGGTGGTAATCACTTCCTGCAAGAAGATGGAGCTCCTGGGCGGATCCATCTTGTTGCGTCCTTCCACGAGGAGGGGCTCCACCCCCTCAGGCAGTACGTCCACAGTCTTGATCAGAACATAGGTCATGCGGCCTTGCAAGCGGTAGCTGAAGCCGTCAAATGTGAGGTAACGGGGGTCGCCATAGACTGAGCATTGTTCAGACTCTGCCAAGAAGTCAGACAGTGAGAAGGGGCCGGGCGCAGTGGCTCACGCCTGTAATCCCAGGACTTTGGGAGGCCAAGGCGGGTGGATGACCTGAGGTCAGGAGTTTGAGACCAGCCTGGCCAACATGGTGAAACCCTGTCTCTACTAAAAATACAAAAATTAGCCAGGTGTGGTGGTGCGTGCCTGTAATCCCAGCTACTTGGTAGGCTGAGGCAAGAGAATTGCTTGAACCCGGGAGGCAGAGGTTGTAGTGAGCGCCGAGATCGCGCCACTGCACTCCAGCCTGGGAGACAGAGTAAGACACCATCTCAAAAAAACAAAAAACAAAACAAAAGACTGAGAAGGGACCCTGCCCAGGTGTGACAGTCCCCAGAGTCCCTCCCCCACGGTGGCATCCCCTGTGGCCACCCTCTTAGGCTCAGGCTCCCTGGATCCTTTCTTTTCTTTTTTTAATTTTCTTTTTCTTTTTTTGAGACAGGGTCTTATTCTGTCACCCAGACTGGAGTACAAGTGGTACGATCATAGCTCACTGCAGCCTCCACCTCCTGGTCTCGAGTGATCCTCCTGAGTAGCTGGGACTTTAGGTGCGCACCACCACCCCTAGCTAATTTTTTTCTTTTTTTTTTAGAAATGGCCACACTACATTGCCCAGGCTGGTCTTGAACTCCTGGCCTCAAGAAATCCTCCCACCTTGGCCTCCCAAAGTCCAAAGTGCTGAGATTACAGGCATAAGCCACCAAGCCCGGTACCTAGACTTTTTTTTTTCAATACCTACTGACATTCAATTAGAGGCCCTTTATTATTATTTTTATTTTTTTATTTTTTTGAGACAAGATCTCACTCTGTGTCCCAGGCTGGAGTGCAGTGGTACAATCATAGCTCACTGCAGCCTCAAACTCCTGAGCTCAAGCAATTCTCCTGCGTCAGTCTCCTGAGTAGCTGGGACTACAGGCACAAGCCACTACACCTAACTAATTTTTTAAAATTTTAAAATTTTTTGTAGGGACAGGGTCTTCCTATGTTGGCCAGGTTGGTGTTAAATTCCTGGGCTGAAGTGATTCTTCCACCTCTGCCTCCCAAGTACTGGGATTACAGGCATGAACCACCATGCCCAGCCTCCCTGGATCCTTGATCTTCAATTTTCTCTATCTCCTGGCCTGATTAAAAACCTTAGAGGGGGCGGGCACAGTGGCTCATGCCTGTAATCCCAACACTTTAGGAGGCTGAGGCAGGAGGAACACATGAGCCCATGAGTTCAAGCCCATCTTGGGCAACATAGCAAGACCCCATCTCTAGAAAAAAAATAGCAAAATTGGCTGGGTGTGGTGGTCCATGCCTGTAGTCCCAGCTACTTGGGAGGCTGAGATGTGAGGATCACATGATTGCAGGCATTTGAGGTTGCAGCTAGCTATATGATGGTGCCAGTGCACTCCAGCCTGGGCAACAGAGCAAGACCCTATCTCAAAAAACAAACAAACAAGAAAAGAAAAACTTTGGAGGATCTCCTTGACCAGTCCCCTCTTTTTGCCCTGCAGGTGGAGGGTCCCAGAGGGGATCAGGACCTGGCACATGGCCACAGAGTTAGCAAGAGCTAAACTGGAGGCCAGGCCTCCTGATCCAGTCGCCCGCCCCAACCCCTGACTGTGCTGGGGTTCAGGCTAAGCCCCTTCCCACCCTGCCTCTTCCTCCACCTCCGCCCTGGCCACAGGTGCTCCCCTCTCCAACCTCCCCGGTCGCTCCCCTTACTGTCTGAGACACAATTGCTGTTGCTGTTGTCGGAAGTGAGCTGGCAGTGGGACCCAGAGGGGCATCGGAAGTCCCCGCACTGAATGGCTCCTCCCGTGCAGACACACTTCTCCGTGCAACCGCTGGAGACCCAGCTCTTGCCCAGCTGTAGAAGTTACAGGAAGAGAAAGAGAGTGAGGAGGGGGCTGGGCGCGGCGGCTCACGCCTGTAATCCCAACACTTTGGGAGGCCGAGACGGGTGGATCACCTGAGGTCAGGAGTTTGTGACGAGCCCAGCCAACATGGTGAAACCCTGTCTCTACTAAAAATACAAAAATTAGCCAGGTGTGGTAGCACACACTTGTAATCCCAGCTACTCAAGAGGCTGAGGCAGGAGAATTGCTTGAACCCAGGAGGCAGAGGTTGCAGTGAGCCAAGATCGCACCACTGCATTCCAGCCTGGGCAACAGAGCGAGACTCTGTCTCAAGAAAAAAAAAAAAAAGAGTGAAGAGGGGAGGGCCAGTTCTCCTTCCTCTTGCCCCAGCAGCCTGGCCCACCATCTAAATGGCTTAATTGATGCTGGCCAGAGGCAGCCACAGTGTCATTTGGTCATCCAAAAGACAACTGTGCAGGCCAAGTGTGGTGGCTCACACCTGTAATCTTAGTACTTTGGGAGGCCAAGGCGGGCAGATCACTTGAGGTCAGGAGTTCGAGACCAGCCTGGCCAACATGGTGAAACCCAATCTCTACTAAAAATTCAAAAATTAGCAGGCTGTGGTGGCGCTTGCCTGTAATCCCAGCTACACAGGAGACTGAGGCAGGAGAATGGCTTGAACCCAGGAGGCAGAGATTGCAGTGCGCAGAGATTATGCCACTGCACTCTAGCCTGCTGGATAATAGAGGGAGACTCCGTCTCAAAAAAAAAAAAAAAAAAAAAAGGCACTGTGTTTGTGCTTGGTGACTTACATATGTTGTGCAGGAGGTACTACTGAACCCATTTTACAGATGAGGAAACGGATATAACAGAGGTCATCTGACTCATCAGTGGCACCATCAGGATTCAATCCTAGGTTAGGCTGAAATGAGCCCATGGTCTTTCCACTATACCATGCCATGTGCTGCTTGTTTGGATTCCTCAGATCCAAAACCCAAACCATGTGCCATCAGCCCAGACCTGGCTGGAGATCAATGTGCCACTCACACCAGCCTTCACACCCCCGGGCCAGCTGTAAGTCATGGGTATCCCAGGCTGAGAGAGGCAGAGAAAAGGAGAAAGCACTGCCCTCAAGCTGTGTTGCCTCCAGTCCCATTTCCCATGCCCACTCACAGGGATGGAGCCACCATGGGCATCCTTGCAGCCACACTGACTTCTGGGGACACACTTGTCTTCACTCAGCACATAGCCGGGCTGACAAATGCAGCCCTCAGCGCAGGCAGAGGGGACTTTGGCGCCCTCACACCGGCCATCCAGGTCCCAGCAGGAGGGTGAGCAGGAGGGAAGGCAGTTGGTGTAGCTGCTGTAGGCAGGGCATTCCAGAGCTGTGGGTGAAGGAGACAGTGGGTCAGTGGAGAGGGTCACAGGGGGCCAAGGTGGGCAGGGGCTGTACAAACCAAGCTATGGGTGGATGACCAACAAGGCTTGGGGAGCTTTTTTTGTTCTTTTGTTATTCATTCAGCAAACATTTACTGAGTATGGGTTATGTGCCAGGCTTTGGGGGAAAGCAAGGAAAAAGCGGCTGGGCATGGTGGCTCACGCCTGTAATCCCAGCACTTTGGGAGGCTGAGGTGGGTGGATCACAAGGTCAGGAGATCGAGACCATCCTGGCCATCATGGTGAAACCCCATCTCTACTAAAAATACAACAATTAGCCAAGCGTGGTGGTGGGCGCCTGTAGTCCCAGCTACTCAGGAGGCTGAGGCAGGAGAATCACTTGAACCTGGGAGGCAGAGGTTGCATTGAGCCAAGATCACACCACTGCACTCCAGCCTGGGCAACAGAGTGAGACTGTCTCAAAAAAAAAAAAAAAAAAAGGAACAAGAATGGCTCTCCCAAGCCAGCATGAAGGACGGTGGTCAAACAGCAACGGCAGCAGGACCTTGATGTGTATGATCAGTAGGTGTGTTGACAGCAAGAGCATACAAGGCATGATGGAGGCACAGAGCAGGGAGGTATTAATTCTGTTGGGGGAGTTAAAGAAAGGCCCTTAAGCAAAAATAGTGTGAACAAATGGAAATGCATACCATGTTCATGGATAAGAAGGTTCAGCAACATGGTGATGTTAGTTCTGCCTCAGTGAATGTACACATTTAATGTGATCTCAATAAAATATACATATATATATATGTATATATATATGTGTGTATATATATATATGTGTATATATATATATATATATATTTTTTTTTTTTTTTTTTTTTTTTTTTTTTTGCGGGGGACGGGCAGGGACGGAGTCTCTCTCTGACACCCAGGAATGATCTTGGCTCACTGCAGCCTCTGCCTCCCTGGTTCCAGAGATTCTCCTACTTCAGCCTCCCAGGTAGCTGGGATTACAGGCATGTGCCACCATGCCTGGCTAATTTTTGTATTTTTAGTAGAGATGGGGTTTCACCATGTTGGCCAGGCTGGTCTCAAACTCCTGACCTCAGGTGATCCTCCCACCTTGGCCTCCCAAAGTGCTAGGATTACAGGCATGAGCCACCACACCCAGCCACCAAAAGTATTTTATATATGTGTGTGCTTTTAATAGGACAAGATGATTTCAAAGTTGAGCTGAAGACATAAGCAAACCAGAAAAGCCAGGAACTCCCTAAAAAAAAGAGCCATCAGTAGTGAATGGCCCTCCATAAGTCGTTTATTTTGTTTTATTTTATTTATTCATTTATTTATTTTTTTGAGATAGAGTTTCGCTCTTTCCGCCCTGGCTGGAGTGCAATGGCACAATCTCAGCTCACTGCAACCTCCACCTCCCAGGTTCAAGCAATTCTCCTTTCTCAGCCTCCTGAGTAGCTGGGATTACAGGCACATACTAGCACGCCCAGCTATTTTTTGTATTTTTAGTAGAGATGGGGTTTTGCCATGTTGGCCAGGCTGGTCTCAAACTCCTGACCTCAGGTGATCCGCCCACCTCGGCCTCCCAAAGTGCTGGGATTACAGGCGTAAGCCACAGCGCCCAGCCCAAAGCTCATTTTAAATTTTCAGTGATTACGACTTTGTGTTACTGCTACATGCAAATACAGATGGACCGACAGAACAGAGGAGAAAGCTCAGATATGGATCCAAATATATATGGGAATTTAGTATATGATAAATTGTGGTATCTCAGTCCCTGCGCAAAGACAGACTAGTCATTTAATAATATTGGAACAGCTGGCTAGCCTTCTGGAGAAAAACAAAAACAAAGTTGATTCATACCTCATTTTACACATCAGGATAAATCTTCATGGGTCAAAAACTTAAATACACACACACACACACACACAAAAAAAACCCACTTAAATATAAAAAAATGAAACCATAAAAGTTCTAGAGCAGGCCGGACACGGTGGCTCACGCCTGTAACCCCAGCACTTGGGGAGGACGAGGCGGGCAGATCACTTGAGGCCAGGAGTTTGAGACCAGCCTGGCCAACATGGTGAAACCCCATCTCTACTAAAAATACAAAAAAATTATCCAGGCATGGTGGTGGGTGCCTGTAATCCCAGCTACTCGGAAGGCTGAGGCAGGAGAATCGCTTGAACCCAGGAGGCAGAGGTTGCAGTGATCCGGGATCGTGCCACTGCAGCCTGGGCCACAGAGTGAGACTCTGTCTCAAACAAACAAAATTTCTAGAGCAAAGAATCAGCAAACTCTTTTGTAGCTTCTGTGGGGCTAGCATTTATAGCTATTGCTCAAGATGCAGAAGACATAAAACAAGATTAATATATTTGACCCCATAAAAATTTTTGTCCTGCATGGCAAAAAAAAAAAAAGTCAAAAGATGAAAACAAAAAGGACTGGAAAACTTTGTGTAACTCAGAGCACTAATAAAGGTCTACTTTCCATAACAGATAAAGGACTTCCATGAAATAGTTCAGTAAAGACCAACGACTCAATGGAAAAATGGTGACTGGATAAGAGCAGATAGTTTACAGAAAGGGAAATTCAAAGGGTTCCTAAGTACATGAAAAAATGTCCAATCTCACTCATAATAAAAACTCAAATTAAGTCTTGTTATTTTTCATGACCAGGTGCAGTGGCTCATGCCTGTAATCCTAGCACTTTGGGAGGCTTGAGGCAGGTGGATCACCTGAGGTGAGGAGTTCAAGACCAGCCTGGCCAATATGGTGAAACCCCGTCTCTACTAAAAATACAAAAATTAGCTGGGTGTGGTGGCACATGCCAGTAATCCCAGCTACTCGGAGGCTGAGGCAGGAGATTCACTGGAACCTGGGAGGCAGAGGTCACAGTGAGCCGAGATCATAGACTCCAGCCTGAGCTACAAAGTGAGACTCAAAAAAAAAAAAAAAAAAGTATAGCAATGTCAAATAAAAACTCAGGCTTATAGCTTCTTTCAAAAAAAAAAATCAGAGGATCTGGTCACACTGGACCCACAGTGATGCCCAGCAGCTGTGGGGCAGCTGAGCAGCGGCCCCCTTCTGCACGGGACCTGTGTGCTGCTTTCACCCTGACCCTTCAGCCAGCTCAGGCTGCTGTGCTCATGTTGCCTCCACTGGCCCTGAGAAGCTCTGCAGCACCCCCTGCACCTCTGCTTTGCTCCTGGAACGCGAGAGTGTTTTAAAGAAAAATAAACTTTCTTGGCCGGTTGAGATGTCTCACGTCTGTAATCCCAGCACTTTGGGAGGCCAAGGCAGGCAGATCACAAGGTCAAGAGATCGAGACCAACCTGGCCAACATGGTGAAACCCTGTCTCTACTAAAAATACAAAAATTACCTGGGTGTGGTGGTGCGTGCCTGCAGTCCCAGCTACTTGGGAGGCTGAGGCAGGAGAATCTCTTGAACCCAGAAGGTGGAAGTTGCAGTGAGCCAAGGTCACACCACTGCACTCCAGCCTGGTGACAGAGCGAGATTCTGTCTCAAAAAATATATATAAAATAAAAAAATAAATAAAATAAACCTTCTTATGAAACACTGGCAAAAAAATAATAAGACGTTGTTTTTCAATTCTCAGATTGGCAAAACTCCAAAAGCACAGAGCATATAGTTTTCTTGTCTTTTGTTTTTTTAATTTTTTTGTAGCGATGCGGGGGTCTCATTATATTGCCCAGGTTGGTCTCAAACTCCTGGCCTCAAGCAATCCTCCCTTCTTGGACTCCCAAAGTGCTTGGATTACGGGTGTCAGTCACTGCACCCAGCCACGAATATAAATTTGAATTTGTTTATATATGCATAAATAAGTGGTCTTGGGAAAAATACTGAGACATGAACCAGGCCCATGGGGTGAGGGTGGGAGGGAGACGGTACACTGGTATCTTTTTTTGTTTTTTGGGGAGAATTTTTTTTTTTCTGAGAGTCTCACTCTGTCACCCAGACTTGAGTGCAGGGATGCAATCACAGTTCACTGCCGGGCTCAAGTGATCCTCCCACCTCACCCCCACAAGTAGCTGGGACCACAGGCATGCACCACCATACCCAGCTAGTTTGGTAATTTTTTGTAGAGATTGGGTCTCACTATGTTGCCCAGGCTGGTCTCGAACTCCTGGTTTCAAGCAATCCACCCACCTCAGCCTCCCAAATTGCTGAGATTATAGGCATGAGCCATCACACCCAACCTACTGGGTATCTTTTAATACTTTAAAAGTATTTTAAATTTTTTAATACTTTATACGTTTTTGAATCCTGCAAATGTGTTACCTATTAAAAAAAACTCTATTGAATTCCTGTTTTAAATTGTAAAAGTTTCTGGCGTTATATAGTAGTGATGGTTGCACAACTTTATCAAGATACTAAAAGACACTTTTTTTTTTTTTTGAGATGGAGTGTTGCTCTTTTTGCCCAGGCTGGAGTGCAACGGCGCGATCTCGGCTCACTACAACCTCCGCCTCCCAGGTTCAAGCAATTCTCCTGCCTCAGCCTCCCGAGTAGCTGGGATTACAGGCATGTGCCACCACACCCGGCTAATTTTGTATTTTTAGTAGGATGGGGTTTCACCATGTTGGCCAGGCTGGTCTCGAACTCCTGACCTCAGGTGATCCACCCACCTTGGCCTCCCCAAGTGCTGGGATTATAGGCGTGAGCCACCACACCCAGCAAAAAAAATTTTATATAAAAATTAAAAAATAGTCCTTGTCAAAGAAACAATGAGGGCTGAGTTAGTCAGGAACGAACAGGAAGGAGAGTGAGGGAGCTCTCAGGGAAGCAGAGAGGGAAAGGGGGTTTGGGAGGGGTTTGGGGTGACAGCAGGGCACACTCACGGCAGAAGCTGCTGTTTCTCCAGAGTGGGGGCTTGAGCCCCTGGCTCTGGCAGGTGGCCCCGAAGGCTTGCAGAGCCTGGCAGAGGGCCTGGTAGAGACCTCCGAACTCACAGAGGGTGTTTGCACAGTCCACCAGGAAGGGCGTGAGGTCTATGCGGGAGGCGCACTGGGCCCACACAGGAGCCCGGAGCGCTGCCTCGCACTTTTCCCGCGCCCTGCGGAGGTCGGCCGCCCTGCAGTTTCCACTCGGGTTCTCCTGCTGTTCCGCTGGAATCTGCTGCTCATCTACCAGGAGACTCTGACAACTGGGAAGGGAAAAGAATCAGCCTAGGGACAGCCGTCCCCCTACTATGACACAAAATTTTTTTTTCTTTAGGGGGAGTCTTGCTCTGTCACCCAGGCTGGAGTGCAATGCAACAGTCTCAGCTCACTGCAACCTCTGCCTTCCCTCCCATGTTCAAGCGATTCTCCTGTCTCACTCAGCCTTCCGAGTTGCTGAGACTACAGGCACCCACCACCACGCCCGACCAATTTTTTTTTTTTTTTTGGAGACAGAGTCTCACTCTGTCACCCAGGCTGGAGTGCAGTAGTGCAATCTTGGCTCACTGAGACCTCCGCCTCCCGGGTTCAAGCGATTCTCCTGCCTCAGCCTCCCGAGTAGCCGGGATTACAGCCACCCGGCACCATGCCTAGCTAATTTTTGGTTTTGGTTTATCTGGAGACAAGGTCCCACTGTATCGCCCAGGCTGGAGTTCAGTGGTGTGATCTTGGCTCACTGCAACCTCTACGTCTCAGGTTAAAGCGATTCTCCTGCCTTAGCCTTTTGAGTAGCTGGGATTACAGGCACCCGCCACCATGACCGGCTAGTTTTTGTATTTTTAATAGAGACGAGGTTTCACCATGTTGGCAAGGCTGGTCTTGAACTCCTGGCCTCAAGTGATCCACCCGCCTCGGCCTCGCGAAGTGCTGAGATATCAGGCCTGAGCCACCACGCCTGGCCCTATGACAATGATCTGGTGCTCCCAAATGACCCAGAGAGACCTCTCAGGGATTCCCCACCCTCCTAACCCTTCTGGTGTTCACAGGGAAGCTGGTCTGAGCTCTGGCCAATCTTCCATCGGCCTCGTCTTCTCTCAGATTTCCTTTTTTGCTTCCCAATCTGTCGCCCAGTCTGGAGTACAGTGGTGTGATCAAGGCTCACTGCAACTTCAATCTCCCAGGCCCAAGGGATCGTCCCACCTCAGCCTTGTGAGTAGCTGGGACTAACCACACCTGGTTATTTTTCTTTCTTTTCTTTTTTTTTTTTTTCTGTAGAGATGAGGTCTTGCTATGTTGCCCAGGCTGGTCTCAAACTCCTAGGCTCAAGCAATCCTCCCACATTGGCCTCACGAAGTGTTGGGATTAGAGGCGTGAGCCACTGCACCCGGCTGTTTTTAAACTTTTTAAGACAGCATCTTGCTCTGTCATCCAGGCTGGAGTGCAGTGATGCAATCATAGCTCACTGTAGCCTTCAAATCTCGGACTCAACCAATCTTCCTGCTGAAGCCTCCCAAATAGCTGGGACTACAGGCATGTGCCACCATGGCTGGCTAATTTTTGTTTTTAATTTTTTTGTAAAGATGGGGTCTTGCTATGCTGCCTAGGCTGGTCTCAAACTCCTGGCCTCAAGTGATCCTCCAGTCTTGGCCTCCCAAAGTGCTGGAATCACAGGCATGAGCCTCTGCTCCTGCTCCTCCTCCAAGGTTTCTAAGCGAGGAAAGGAAGCTTTCACATTTCCTCAAGTGGGTTCTAGCAGCCTTGAGATGGATCAATTACACACATCGCCCCAGAATGCCCAGAAGTCATCGCCCTCAAATCACACACACAAAGCAACATTCTGGCCTGTAATCCCAGCACTTTGGGGGGCCGAGGCGGGAGGATCATTTGAGCCCAGGAGTTTGAGACCAGCCTGGGCAAAAGTGGCAAGACCCTGTCTCTACAAAAAATTTAAAAATTGAAGAAGAAAAAAGGAACATTCTGGTCTTCCTGCCCCAGGTGTGCCCTACAGTCTGGCTCCCTAGCTCATGTTGCTATGAAAAGCTGGAGGGGTGGCCAGGCACAGTGGCTCATGCCTGTAATCCTAGCACTTTGGGAGGCTGAGTGGGGCGGATCACTTGAGGTCAGGAGTTCAAGGCCAGCCTGACCAACATGATGAAACTCCGTCTCTACCTAAAATACACAAATTAGCCAGACGTGGGGCGTGGTGGTGTGCACCTGTAATCCCAGCTACTCGGGAGGTTGAGGCACGAGAATTGCTTGAACCCCGGAAGCAGAGGTTGCAGTGAGCCAAGATTGCGCCACTGCACTCCAGCCTGGGTGACAGAGCAAAACTCCATCTCAAAAAGAAAAAGAAAAAAAGAAAAGCTAGAGGGTCCAGGTGCAGTCGCTCATGATTACCCAGCACTTCGGGAGGCCAAGGCGGCCACATTGCCTGAGGTCAGGAGCTCGAGACCAGCCTGGCCAATATGGTGAAACCCCGTCTCTGCTAAAAACTACAAAAAGTAGCCAGGCGTGGTGGCGGGTGCCTGTAATCCCAGCTACTTGGGAGGCTGAGGCAGGAGTATCACTTGAGCCCGGGAGGCGGAGGTTGCAGTGAGCCGAGATCATACCACTGCACTCCAGCCTGGGTGACAGAGCAAGATTCTGTCTCAGAAAAAAAAAGAACGAAAGAAAGGAGAGGGGCCGGGCGCGGTGGCTCACGCCTGTAATCCCAGCACTTTGGGAGGCCGAGGCGGGTGGATCACGAGGTCAGAAGATCGAGACCATCCTGGCTAACAAGGTGAAACCCCGTCTCTACTAAAAATACAAAAAATTAGCCGGGCGCGGTGGCGGGCGCCTGTAGTCCCAGCTACTCGGGAGGCTGAGGCAGGAGAATGGCGTGAACCCGGGAAGCAGAGCTTGCAGTGAGCCGAGATTGCGCCACTGCAGTCCGCAGTCCGGCCTGGGCGACAGAGCAAGACTCCGTCTCAAAAAAAAAAAAAAAAAAAAAAAAAGAAAGGAGAGGAAGAAAAGAAAGAGAAAGAGAGAAAGGAAGAAAGGAAGGAAGGGGAGGGGAGGGGAGGGGAGGGAAGGGAAGGGAAGGCAGAAAGAAAGAAAGACAAAGAAAGAAAAAGAAAGAAAACCTAGAGGGTCTTAGGGGACCACTACCTTGGGTCAATGTCCTTATCTTTCCAACTGTTCACAAATTCACTGTCACTATTTGCTACTTCATCGCTGGGCATCATTAGTTCGTCCTCTTCCTCATCATTGAAGTTCCCACACATGCCGCAGACCTGGCGGGGGAGAGTGGTTTTTCGGTGCTGGGGAAGCACGAGAACAGTTTTTCTCCCTTCCTTCCTTCTTTCCTTCCCTCACGAGAGCAGTTTTCCTCCCTCCCTCCCTCCCTCCCTCCCTTCCTTCAAGTTTCACTCTTGTCACCCAGCCTGGAGTGCAGTGGCATGATCTCAGCTCACTTCACTATCCGCCTCCCAGGTTCAAGCAACCCTCCTGCCTCAGCCTCCCGAGCAGCTGGGATTACAGGTGGGCACCACCACCCCCAACTAATTTTTTTTTTTATTTTTAATAGAGACGGGGTTTCACCATGTTGGCCAGGCTGGTCTCGACCTCCTGACCTCAGGTGACCCACCTGCCTCGGCCTCCCAGAGTGCTGAGATTACAGGCATGAGCCACCATGCCCGGGCAGAATGGTTTTTCCTGTTTTTTCCTGGAAACACTCTTGTCCACCCTACACAGAAAGGCGCACTCCTCCACTGCCCTGCTCCATCCTGAGGAGTGGCCTCTTTGGGCAGGCACGATGCGAACACTGCCCCCCATCCCTGCCGGCCACCAATCTCCCTGGGGCTGCCTCCCCAGCGAGAAGAGCCAGATGTTTTCCTCACCTTTCCATAGTAGGTTGTGGGGATTTCAATCTCTAAGAGATGATTCCCGTCAAACTTGACTTGCACCCCGATCTTGATGTTAACAATGCTGTAGATGCTGCTGGACTTGACACTGACCCCAGGGATCTGGGAGATGGCGGGGAGGGTGACCTGTTTGCTGTTGATCTAAACAGGAGGACAGTGACGGTGAGTAGGAGCAGGGACAAGAGTCCCCTCCCCAGCACTCCCTCCCAGCCCCGGTCACCACACCCAGCTCACTAGCACACGGTGGCCCTTCTGCAGGGTGACCTGGGCATCGTAGATGTCAATGTAGACCTCATGAAGGCGGAAAGCCTCAGTTCCACCTTCCTCCTTCTCATGCTTGGCACTGATCTTGAAGAAGGGCAAGGCCATGGCGGGGTGGCACACTTTCACCAGGACAAGAGTGCAGGCGTCCGGGATAGAATGGTTACTACCATCAAAGCTCACGTAGTGGGACTCCCCTGGGAGCTGACACACTCCCACACCTGGGAGGACAGAGAGACAGCTGGGCTATGACGCTCCTCTGGCAGGTACAGGGTCCCTGGGAAACTAGTCCTGGGTTCTCCCTGCCTTCCAGAAAAGAGTCAAGACCCCAGGTCCGGCTGTGCGCAGTGGCTCATGCCTGTAATCCCAGCACTTTGGGAGGCCAAGGTGGGCTGGTTTGATACCAGCCTGACCAACATGGTAAAAACCCGTCTCTACTAAAAAAAATACAAAAAAATTAGGGTGTGGTGACGTGTGCCTGTAATCTCAGCTACTTGGAAGGCTGAGGCAGGAGAATCGCTTGAACCAGGGAGATGGAGGTTGCAGTGAGCCGAGATTGCACCACTGCACTCCAGCCCAGGCAACAGAGACACTGCATCAAAAACAAACAAACAAACAAACAAACAAAAAACCCCAGGGCCAGGGCTAGGAGGCGTGGTGAGGTTTACGGGTGGAGGAGGGGCATGATTCTTTGGAGGAAGGATTTTTTTTTTTTTTATTTGAGACATGGTCTCTCTCTGTCACCCAGGCTGGAATGCAATGGCATATGGTCATAGCTCACTGCAGCCTCAAACTCCTGGGCTCAAGTGGTCCTCCTACCTCAGCCTCCAGAGTATCTGGGACTACAGGCATAAAGTACCCTATTCAACTAATTAAAAAAAATTTTTTTTAGAGACAGGGTCTTGTTCTGTTACCCAGGCTGGCATGCAGACTCTAATTCCTGGGCTCAAGAGATCCTCCTACCTCAGCCTCCCAAGTAGCAGGGACTACAGGTGCAATGTCTTTAATTTTACTTTTTAACTTTTTAGCTTTTATTTTTTTGTAGAGATGGGGTCTCACTATGTTGCCCAGGCTGGTCTTGAACTACTAGCCTCAAGTGATTCTCCCACTTCAGCTTCCCAAACCACTGGGATTACAGGCATGAGCCACCATGCCTGGCCTCCAGGAAAAGATTTATTTATTTAGAGACGGAGTTTTGTCGCCCAGGCTGGAGTGCAATGGCACGATCTCTGCTCACTGCAACCTCTGCCTCCTGGGTTCAAGCAATTCTCCTGCCTCAGCCTCTCGAGTAGCTGGGATTATAGGCTAATTTTTGTATTTTTAGTAGAGACGGGGTTTAGCCATGTTGGTCAGGCTGGTCTTGAACTTCTGGTCTCAAGTGATCCACCCGCCTTGGCCTTCCAAAGTGCTGAGATTACAAGTGTGAGCCATGGCGTCTGGCCCCAGGGAAGGATTTATAATATCCCATCTAAGTTGGTGGCCGCTACAGGAGAAGGATGGGTGAGCCCCAAGGTTCCCTTCTCAGCAGTTGGAGGTCATCTTACCCACCAGAAGCTCTTGGTTGCAGCAGAGTTACCAGTCAAAACCTGAAACCCAGTGCTACAGGCAGCAGGGAGTCTGTTGGGGAGTTGGGAGAGTGGGCCTCAGGGCTGTGGAGTCCCCCCATCACCGTGGTCCTCCTACCTGAGGCCCGACAATGGAGCAGCCCATCCAGGGCCCAGCATATCTGGTTGGGTTTGCAGGTGCTCTGGAAGCAGGTGATGTTGTTGTGGACGGAGCAGGTGCAGAGCCTGGTGCAGGTGTTCTCTGTGTACCAGCGCTCCCCGACCTGTGGGCCACAGGGATCAGCTGAGCCAACAGAAAGTTGGAATTGGGAGATGGGCCAACGCCCCAGTTGAAGCTGGGTGCAGCATCTGCCCTTCCTCCTCGCCCCCCAGCCTTGGCCAGCCCTGCCCCTCCCAGGTTCTGAGCCTTCCTCCTGCCTCTCCTGAGCTTGCCCTGACCCCAAACATGTGGGCCTGGAAAGGGCGGGGCCCCTCCTAGCTGGCCTCTCACCGGGTGGTAGGAGCCCGCTGGGTCAGTGCAGCCACACTGGCCAAGGGGCACGCAGGAGGTTCCACTCAAGATGTGGCCTTTCTGACATTCACAGCTCTCAGCACAGGGCAGTGCTTTGGGGCAGTCCCTCGGGTTGTTTATGCTGCTGCAGGTGTCTGGGCAGGGGCTGCTGCAGGGGCTGTAGCTGCTGCCAGGTGGGCACCTCATAGCTAAAGAAAATGAGAGCATTAGGAAGAGTGGGGTGGCATGTCCAGCCCCCAAACCTTGGGGCATCAAAAGCTCCTAGTAGTGGCCAGGAGCGGTAGCTCGCACATGTAATCCCAGCACTTTGGGAGGCCGAGGCAGGTGGATCACCTGAGGTCAGGAGTTCGAGAACAGGCTGGCCAACATGGTGAAAAACCGACTCTACTAAAAATACAAAAATTAGCCAGGCGTGGTGGCACACGCCTGTAGTCCCAGCTACTTGGGGTGGCACACGCCTGTAGTCCCAGCTACTTGGGTGGCTGAGACACGAGAATCTCTTGAACCTGAGAGGCAGAGGTTGCAATGAGGCGAGGTCAGACCACTGCACTCCAGCCTGGGCGACAGCGAGACTCTCAAAAGCAAAAAAAAAAAAAAACAAACAAAAAAAAAACAGACATAAAATCTACAATTTTAACAATTTTTTTTTTCTTGTAGACAGTCTCGCTCTGTCGCCCAGGCTGGAGTGCAGTGGCATGATCTTGGGTCACTGCAAGCTCCACCTCCCAGATTCACGCCATTCTCCTGCTTCAGCCTCCCGAGTAGCTGGGACTACAGGCGCCCACCACCACGCCTGGCTAATTTTTTGTATTTTTGGTAGAGACGGGGTTTCTCCGTGTTAGCCAGGATGGTCTCGATCTCCTGACCTCGTGATCCACCTGCCTCGGCCTCCCAAAGTGCTGGGATTACAGGCATGAGCCACCGCGCCCGGCAACAATTTTTTAAATGTACACTTCAACAGCACTAAGTACAGTCACATTGTCGTGCTGCCATTACCACCATCTACTGCCAGAACTTTTTGTTTTGTTTTGTTTTTCACTCTTGTTTTTTGTTTCACTCTTGTTGCCCAGGCTGGAGTGCAGTGGTGTGATCTCGGCTCACTGCAACCTCTGCCTCCCAGGTTCAAGCGATTCTCCCACCTCAGCCTCTTGAGTAGCTGATTACAGGTGCTTGCCACCACACCTGGCCAAGTTTTGTATTTTTAATAGAGACGGGGTTTCACCATGTTGACCAGGCTGGTCTCCAACTCCTGACCTCAGGTGATTCACCCATCTTGGCTTGAACACAGGAGGTAGAGGTTGCAGTGAGCCGAGATTGCGCCACTGCACTCCAGCCTGGGCAACAGAGTGAGACTCCGTCTCAAAAAAAAAAAAAAGAATTTAGAGGAAGAAAGGGAGGGCAGAATTCTGGAGGGTGCCTATGGGCTGTGGGAACAGGTGGCCAGTCACTCACGGCAGAAGGTTCTGTTCCGCCAGGCAGGGGCCTGGCCAGCCTGGGCACACAGGGACGCGTAGGCCTGCAGGGAGCGGCACAGGGCTGTGGTGTCGCCCTTGGTCCCACACTGACCATGCACGCAACTGGCAAAGCTGGACTGGGGAGGCACCACCTGGTGACATTGAGAGAAGGGTCCTGCAGGAAGAGAGAAGGCAGATGAGCCAGGGGAGGGGCCGGGAAGGAACAGGGCCATGTGGCTTCCCTGGGGCTGATTCGACATCCACTTCAGTCAAAACCTGGATTTTCCCGCCAGGCACAGTGGCTCACACCTGTAATCCCAGCACTTTGGGAGGCCGAGGTGGGCAGATCACTTGAGGTCAGGAGTTTGAGACCAGCCTGACCATCATGGTGAAACCCAATCTCTACTAAAAATACAAAAATTAGCAGGGCATAGTAGAGGGCACCTGTAGTCCAGGCAACTCGGGAGGTTGGGGCAGGAGAATCTCTTGAACCCAGGAGGCAAAGGTGGCAGTGAGCTGAGATTGTGCCATTGCACTCCAGCCTGGGCAACAGATCAAGACTCCGTCTCAAAAAAAAAAAACAAAAAAAAAACCTCCTGGATTTTCCAGCCTGAGCAATACAGTGAAACTGTGTCTGTACAAAAATTAGCCGGCCATGGTGGTGCACACCTGTAGTCCCAGCTACTCAGCAGGCTGAGGCAGGAGGATGAGCTATGATTGTGCCATTGCACTCCAACCTGGGTAACAGAGAATATAAACAAAACAAACAAACAAAACCCAGATTTGTGTGGTGGCTCCCGCCTATAACCTCAGCACTTTAGGAGGGCAAAGCAGGAGAATCACTTGAGCCCAGGAGTTCAAGACCAGCCTGGGCTGCATAGCAAGACCTCATCTCCAGAAAATATTTAAAAATTAGGCCAGGCATGATGGCTCATGCCTTTAATACCAGCACTTTGGGAGGCCAAGGCAGGTGGATCATTTGAGGTCAGGAGTTCAAGATCAGCCTGGCCAACATGGTGAAATGTTGTCTCTACTAAAGATACAAAAACTAGCCGGGTGTGGTGGCACAGGCCTGTAATCCCAGCTACTTGGGAAGCTGAGGTGGGAAAATAGCTTGCGCCTGGGAGGCAGAGGTTGCAGTGAGCTGAGATCACACCATTGCACTCCAGCCTGGGCAACAGAGTGAGAAAAAAAAAATTAGTTGGGCATGGTGGTGCATGCCTGTGGTCCCAGCTACTCTGAAGGCTGAGGCGGGAGGATTACTTGAGCCCAGGAGTTCAAGCCTGCAGTGAGCTGTGATCGTGCCACTGCACTCCAGCCTGGGCAACAGAGTGAGACCTTGTCTCTAAAAAACAAGAAAAAAGAAAAAACGGCCAGGCGTGGTGGCTTATGCCTGTCATCCCAACTACTTGGGAGGCCAAGGGGGAGGATCCCTTGGGGTCCATAGTTCGAGAACAGCCTGGGCTACATAGTGAGACTCCCCCATCTCTATTAAACTTTTTTTTTTTTTTTTTTGAGACAGAGTCTCACTCTGTCGCCCAGGCTGGAGTGCAGTGGCGAAATCTCGGCTCACTGCAACCTCTGCCTCCCAGGTTAAAGCGATTCTTCTGCCTCAGCCTCCCAAGTAGCTGGGACTACAGGTGCCCGTCACCAGGCCCAGCTAATTTTTTGTATTTTTAGTAGAGACGGGGTTTCACCATGCTAGCCAGGCTGGTCTCGAACTCCTGACCTCGGGATCTGCCCTCCTCGGCCTCCCAAAGTACTGGGATTACAGGCATGAGCCACTGCGCCCAGCCTATTAAAACATTTTTAATAGGAAAAAAAAAAAGAAATCCCGGATTTATCTACTGCCTGAGACACAAATACAGACCCATCAGTCATAGGTCCCAAGAAGGTGACTGCTGGCTGGCCCTGTGTTCCCATTTGCCTTCCTCATGCTTTTCCATCTGTTTCTGGTCTTGTTGTTTCTCCCTCCCTGACTAGACTCCCTCCCCAGCCTCCTGTCCTTCAGGGAGGAAAAAGGGCCAGCAGGGACATGTCTTACCCTGAGGGTTTATTAAGATCGCACAGTTCTTGTTCCAGGCGTCTGCCATGCTGTTCTCCTGGCAGCTGGAGGGCTTGCCACCCACAAGGAAACAGCTAAATGAGAGAGAATAGAAACTGAGGGCTACAGGTTGGGTGCAGTGGCTCATGCCTATAATCCCAGCACTTTGGGAAGCCAAGGCAGGAGGATCGCTTGAGACCAGAAGTTCAAGACCAGCCTGGGCAACATAGTGAGATCCTATCTCTACACAAAATTTTTAAAAATTAGCCGGGCGTGGTGGCATGTGCCTATAGTCCCAGCTACTCAGGAGGCTGTGGTGGGAGGATGGCTTGAGCCCAGCAGTTGGAGGCTTCAGTGAGCTATGATTGCACCACTGCACTCCAGCCTGGGCAACAGAGCAAGACCCTGTCTCAAGAAAAGAAAAGAAAAAAAGGAAAGGAAAGGAAAGGAAGAAGGAAGAAAGGAAGGAAGAAAGGGAAGAGAAGGAAAGGAAAGGAAAGAAAAGAAAAGAAAAAAAAAGACAAGACAAGACCTGAGGGCCTGAGGAACCATCTCCCAAACCGAAGCAAAAGTGGACAGGGGGCTGTGTGCAGTGGCTCACACCTGTAATCCCAGCACTTTGGGAGGCCAAGGCAGGCAGATCACCTGAGGTCAGGAGTTTGAGACTAGCCTGGCCAACACGGAGAAGCGCTGTCTCAAATAAAAATACAAAAATTAGCCGGGCGTGGTGGCGAGTGCCTGTAATCCCAGCTACTTGGGAGGCTGAGGCAGGATAATCACTTGAACCTGGGAGGCGGAAGTTGCAGCGAGCTGAGATCGTGCCACTGCACTCCAGCCTGGGTGACAGAGCGTGACTCTGTCTCAAAAACAACAAAACAAAACAAAACAAAAAGTGGACAGGGAAAGAGAGAGGGATACAGGAGAAGAGGACAAAACGGTGCCCTCAAGTAGCAAGGCAAGGAGATGCAGCAGGAAGGAAAAAGGCTAGACCTCAGGGTGAACTTCCCAAGTGGGCCCTCCAAAGAGATCACTAAGCATGGGAGAAATCAGCAGGCGTGGGCGTGGGAAGTCAGAACAGCTTCTTACCAACTCCAATCTTGGAGAGTCTAAACAGGAGAGATTGCCAGTTTCCTGCCAGTTGGGAGGTACAGCACAGAGGGAGTGGGGACACACAGAGGACACTTCCAAGCTGCCCCCCGAGGCCCTTCCCAGGCCCAGCCCCTCCTGCCTGGCTCCCCTGACCCCCAGCTCACCCAGGTTCAGAGGATTCAGGTAACTTCCAGGCGGCCCCCAGCTGCATGGAATCGCCTGCAAGCTTTCTGTCGGGGCGCAGGTTGTCATCCAAGCTGTTGTTGTTGTAGTTCCCTAGAGGAGGGAGTCATTAAAACAGGCAAGAAGGGGCCCCCCAGCAGGCCAGGCCCCAGGGCCACCATCCTCCTGGCACCCTCACTTTTCATTCTACATAGCAAGGTTAACCCTTTCTGTCTCTTTTTCTTCTTTTTTGAGATGGAGTCTTGCTCTGACACCCAGGCTGGAGTGCAGTGGCGCGATCTCAGCTCACTGCAACGTCCACCTCCCAGGTTCAAGCGATTCTCCCGCGTCAGCCTCCCAAATAGCTGGGATTAAAGGCATGCACCACCATGCCTGGCTAATTTTTGTATTTTTAGTAGAGACAGGTTTTTGCCATGTTGGCCAGGCTGGTCTCGAACCCTTGACCTCAAGTGATCCACCCTCCTCGGGCTCTCAAAGTGTTGCATTTACAGGTATGAGCCACCGCGCCTGGCCCCTTTCTGTCTCTTCATCTCCGTCTTCCCTTAACTCCTACCTTCATGCCTAATGTCCTCAACGAATTAGTCAGTTGACAAGTACTTAGAACACCTCACAGAGATGTTGGGGGAGCTGGGACCAGGTCACACGCCTACTCATTGTCCCAGCTTTCCCCGCAGGTGCCCAGGAAACTCACCACACAGCCCACAGAGCTGGCCGCCATAGGAGGAGGGGACTGTCACTTCCACCAAGTGGCTCCCGTCGTAGCGAACTTGGAGCCCAAAGTTCGTGTAGAGGAGGACGAGGTTGCTGCTGAGCCTTATGGTCACCCGGCCTTGTGCAAGCCACACAGGTAGGGCCACCCGATGGCCATTCAGCTGCAGAGGCAGGGAGGACGTAGAAAGGAGAGTCAGGAAAGAACTCGGGATAAAGGCAAGGACGGGGGCTCATGCCTGCAAACCCAGCACTTTGGGAGGCCGAGGCGGAGGATCGCTTGAGCCCAGGATCTCGAGATCAGCCTGGGCAACATGGAGAAAGCCCGTCTCTACAAAAAGTGAAAAAAAAAATTAGCCGTGCAGGTGGTGCATGCCTATAGTTGCAGCTACTTAGGAGGCCGAGGTGGGAGGATCACTTGAGCCCAGGGGGTCAAGGCCACAATAAGCTATGATCGCACCACTGCACTCCAGCCTGGGTGATAGAGCAAGACCCTGTCTCAAAAAAAAAAAAAAAAAAAAAAAAAACGGCAAAAAACTGGGAGCAGGAGGGGCTGGTGCTGGTGGGTATTTCACAGAGGGAGGAGGGAGTCCAGAGAAGAGGGTCTGGGTCAGCTGCAGGTGCTTCCCAGGTGCTCTAAGGAGCCAGAGAGGTGGGCATCCGGGCAAGGAGGGGCACAGGAGAGAAGCAAGCAGGCTGGGTGTTCAGGGTCCAGGAGGCAGGAGGAAGACACCCACCATGACCTTACAGCCTCTGAGCAGTGAGATGCTGAGGTCAAAGACTGTCACGTGGACGGCTTTGATGTAGGAGACCTCCAGGATCCCCCCGCGGTTCTCGTTGGTGGCGCTCACAACAAAATAGCTGTCTTGGGACCTGGACCAGCAAGGCCGGGTCAGGACATAGGTGCAGGTGCCCATGAAGTGGTGCAAGGCGCCATCGAAGGTCAGGTAGTGGGGGTCACCCGAGGCTGTGCAGGTGGCGGCACCTGTGGAGAAGAAGATGGAGTTCACAGTCTCACTCCTCCATGCCCCGGAAGCTTTGACTCAGAGCTGCCATCCTGGAGAGCCCACATTGGCATGGTCCCCACGGCCCACCCACAGATGTGGTGTTTCCCTAGGAAGTGTGGTTGGCTTGGCTTGGAGCTGCCTAAGAGAAACACTGACGTCCCCAACCTCACCCTTTGGGTCCCTGAAAATGCTGCCCCTGCTGCCCCTCCCAGGCCCTGGTGGAGACTCAGCTGTCTGGGGAAGCTGCTTTGGGCAGGACCCATCACCTTGCCTGGTGTTGCCTGGGCAGCCCCCAGCTCACCTTCCACCCTGATGGCTCACCTTGGGCATGGCAGCCATAGATACCATCCTGTTGGCCACAGAACTCCTGGGCCCTACACCTCCAGGGCTGGCAGCGAATTCTGTTGTTGCTTTCACAGACGCACAACTCTTTGCAGCCTGGCTTGTACCACCGCTCCCCTACCTGGGGAAGACAGCAGGGAAGGAAGAGAAAGTGTTTTTTTTTGCTTTGTTTTGTTTTTTCCCAGATCTGACACCAGAGCTCACCAGAGCTGTTCAGATCACTGGCTTAATAGTGGGGAGACATCCTCTCTTCCTGAAGCTCCGAGATTCGCTGCAAAAGCTTGGCATCCATTCGTTTTTTCAGTCACTACATCATTTCTGGGTCTGTTCATCATTTCAACCAAAATTGATCTATCCGAGGCCAGGTGTGGCGGCTCACGCCTGTGATCCCAGCACTTTGGGAGGCCAAGGCGGGTGGATCACTTGAGGTCAGGAGTTTGAGACCAGCCTGGCCAACATGGAGAAACCCCATCTGTACTAAAAATACAAAAATTAGCCTGGCGTGGTAGTGCACGCCTGTAATCCCAGCTACTTGGGAGGCTTAGGCGGGAGAATCGCTTGAACCTGGGAGGCGGAGGTTGCAGTGAGCTGAGACCGTGCCACTGCACTCCAGCCCGGACAACAGATCGAGACTCTGTCTCAAAAAAAAAACAAAAACCAAAAACAACAACAAAAAACCAAAAAACAAGGGCCAGGCATGGTGGCTCATGCCTGTAATCCCAGCACTTTGGGAGGCCCAGGTGGGCAGATCACAAGGTCAAGAGATCAAGACCATCCTGGCCAACATGGTGAAACCGCCCCCTACCCCGTCTCTACTAAAAATACAAGAATTAGCTGGGCATGGTGGTGCATGCCTGTAGTCCCAGCTACTCGGGAGGCTGAGGCAGGAGAATCACTTGAACCCAGGAGGCGGAAGTTGCAGTGAGCCGAGATCGTGCCACTGCACTCCAGCCTGGCGACAGAGCAAAACTCCGTCTCAAAAACAAAACAAAACAAGAAACGAAAAGAAAAGAAAGAGCTTGCAGGGGGTGTGAGAGCAGGGAGCAGGCCCTTTCTAGCTGCAGGGCTGAGAGGTCCACGCAGCCGCTCACCTTGAAGTAGCTGCCTGCAGGGTGGAGGCACCCACACTGGGAGCGAGGTATGCACTCGAGGCCACTGAGGACGAAGCCCGGATTGCATTCACAGGCCTCCACGCACCGGTCTGAGCAGAACATGCCGGAGAATCCTGAATGGCAGGTGTCAGGGCATGGCTTCGCACACAGGGAGTACTTGCTGTTGGGCGGGCAGGCCATTGCTGGTGGAGGGAGAAGCTTGGGTGAGAAGGAGACGAACAAGCCACGGGGCTGGGTGGGAAACAGGAAGGACACGTTCGGAAGGGCCCCAGCTCCAGGCTTCTGGCCAATCTCGAGAAGAGAGAGTGACTGTGAGAAGCTTCCCCAAGGAGCCTGGCTGGCTCCCTGGGGCTGCAGGGCCAGCACTAAGGCGCCGGCCCTGAGAGACTTAGATAGACCTATGGTGGGAGCAGATGGACCCACCACTGGCAGCGCTGCTGTGTAGACATGCCCCAGGTGAGCTGTTGGCCCGCAGGGGACCGGGGCCACCTGTGAGGTCTGAGTCAGGGGATAGGCCTGCCCTAAAGCAGCTTCCCCAAAGAGCTGGGCCACACCAGGAGCTGGGAGGCAGCCTCGTTGCCTCCCCTGCCTAGGGCCTGTACCGTGTGCCTGCGTGTGATGACTTGGGCTGCACAGAAACACTTTTTTTTTTTTAAAGACAGAGTTTCGCTCTCACTGCCCAGGCTGTAGTGCAGTGGCGCAATCTCTGCTTACTGCAACCTCCACCTCCCGGGTTCAAGCGATTTTCCTGCCTCAGCCTCCCAAGTAGCTGGGATTACAGGCGCCCGTTGCCACACACAGCTAATTTTTGTATATTTATTTATTTATTATTTTTATTATTTTTTGAGATGGAGTCTCATTCTGTCACCCAGGCTGGAGTGCAGTGGTGCAATCTCGGCTCACTGCAACCTCCGCCTCCCAGGTTCAAGCAATTCTCCTGCCTCAGCCTCCAAGTAGCTGGGATTACAGGTACCCGTTGCCACACACAGCTAATTTCTGTATTTTTATTTATTTATTTATTTATTTTATTTTATTTTTTGAGATGGAGTCTCACTCTGTCGCCCAGGCTGGAGTGCAGTGGCGCAATCTCGGCTCACTGCAACCTCTGCCTCCCGGGTTCAAGCGATTCTCCTGCCTCAGCCTCCAGTGTAGCTGGGACTACAGGCATATGCCACCATGCCTGGCTAATTTTGGTATGTTTAGTAGAGACGGGGTGTTGGCCAGGCTGGTCCCAAACTCCTGATCTCATGATCCACCTGCCTCGGACTCCCAAAGTGCTGGGATTATAGGTGTGAGCCACCGTGCCCGGCCTCTCCTCTGAGTTTGGCACAACTCACGGCAGAAGTGGGGTTCCCTCCAGGGCTTCACAGCGTGGCCTGCGTCCTGGCAGGTGGTGGTCATGGTGGACATGTGTGTGCACAGCAGGTGCTGCAGCCCCTGGAATCCGCACATATCAAGCATGCAGCTGTCGAAGAAGGAAGCGGCCTTCACGTGCAGCAGGCATGTCCTGAGGGGAGTGACCAAGTCAGGGGGAATGCAGTGGAAGGGGGTAGAGCCTTGGAGGAGCCCAGGTGCCAAGCATCGCCCCTGTGCGACCCTGCCTGCCCTCCTTCATACTCAAATGGGCCATGAGTGTCGACCAGCCGTCCACAGAACCCTGGCCCCGACATGCTGCTCTGCAGAGATGAATCACAAGACGGGGAATTCACCACCTGGTACTTCTGACACCTGCAAGAGACCCACCCCAAACTCCCTAAAGACAAAGCTCGCTTCCAGCTCATCCCTAACCCAGCAGGCAGCAAGGCTGGCAGGCCGGGACCGGCAAACCAGCCTGTCAGCTGGGAAACCCCTCCCAGAGGATGTTTGACCACTGAGCCCTGGCCAGGCACTGTGGGAGGCCGAGGCAGGGAGAATTGCTTGAGCCCAGGAGTTCCAGGCCAGCCTGGGTAACACACTGAGATCCCATCTCTTTAAAAATAAATATGAAATTATTTATTTCATATTTCATATGGCGCACGTCCATAGCCCCAGCTACTCAGGAGGCTGAGGTGAGAGAATCTGTTGAGCCCAGGAGTTGGAGCCTGCAGTGAGCTGTGATTGAACCACTGCACTCCAGCCTGGGCGACAGAGCAAGGCCCTGTCTCTAAAAACAAACAAACAAACAAACAAAAAAGAATATTGAGCAACTGAAAGAACAACTTGAAGTCTCCAGGGTAGAGAGGAGAAAGGGGCAATGCCAGTCATTTTTTAAAGGGAGGGCACAGGCTGGGTGTGGTGGTGATGCCTGTAATCCCGGCATTTTGCATTTTGGGAGGCCAGGGCAGGTGAATCACCTGAGGTCAGGAGTTCGAAACCAGCCTGGCCAACATGATGAAACCCCGTCTCTACTAAAAATACAAAAATCAGACAGGTGTGGTGGCATGTGCCTATAATCTCATTGGGATTGAGGCGTGAGAATCACTTGAGCCCAGGAGGCAGAGGTTTCAGTGAGCTGAGATTGCACAACTACACTCTAGCCTGGGTGACACAGCAAGACTCCATCTCAAAAAAAAAAAAAAAAACCGTTGGGGAGGGCCAGCAGCCTGGTCAACCCCCCATCTGGTGAGAACCCCATGTCTACCAAAAAATTTTGTTAAAGTTAGCTGGGCATGGTGTAGTCCAAGCTACTTGGGAGGCAGAGAAGGGAGGATTGCTTGAGCTCAGGAGTTTGAGGCTGCAGTAAGCCACGATCGTGCCATTGCACTCCAGCTTGGAAGACAGAGGGAGATCCCATCTCAAAAAAAAAAAAAGGGCGGGTGGAGGGCTGGACGTGGTGGTGTGGTGGCTCACACCTGTAATCCCAGAACTTTGAGAGGCCAAGGCAGGTGGATCACTTGAGGCCAGGAGTTTGAGACCAGCCTGGCCAGCATGGTGAAACCCCATCTCTACAAAAATACTAAAATTAGCTGTGTGTGGTGGCAGGTGCCTGTAATCCCAGCTACTCGGGAGACTGAGGCAGGATAATTGCTTGAGCCTGGGAGGCGGAGGTTGCAGTGAGCTGAGATCGCACCACTGCACTCCAGCCTAAGCGACAGAAGGAGACTCCATCTCAAAAAAAAAAAAAAAAAAAAAAAAGAGAGTTCCAGGAAGGGGACGGAACCTTCCCAGGGCCCCGGTGGGAGGGCTCCTTGCTCACTCCTGGTCCTCGTCCTGGTCCGTCTGCCAGCTGTTCCCCAGCTCCTCCTTGTCTCCTGCTGGGCTGCCGTCCAACTTCAGGTGGTCATTGTCACTGTTGCCGTCATAGTTCCCACACAAACCACAGAGTTTGCCAGAGTATGTGCTAGGGGAACAGGAGAGGAGCTGGCGTTAATGGAGAGAAGCAGCCTCGGTCCTCGAGGGGCAGTGGCAGAGAAGGCAAGGAGCTGGGATCCTAAAACAGAGGGCGTGAGGAGGATGAAGAGGTGCGGACTGGACAAGAGGACCCCATGGCCCTCCCCCAAGCCTCCTTCCCCTCTGTTCATTGTCCAGCCACAGCAAACCCCTTGCTGGCCCTAAAACACTCCCACTTTATTTATTTATTTATTTATTTATTTATTTATTTATTTATCCTTTTTTTCAGATGGAGTCTCTCTCCGTCACCTAGGCTAGAGGGCAGTGGTGCAACCTCGGCTCACTGCAACCTCCACCTCCCGGGTTCTAGTGATTCTCCTGCCTCAGCCTTCCGAGTAGCTGGGATTACAGGCACACACCACCACGCCCAGCTAATTTTTTTGTATTTTTAGTAGAGATGGGGTTTCACCATGTTGGCCAGGCTGGTCTCAAACTCCTAATCTGCCTGCCTTGGCCTCCCAGAGTGCTGGGATTACAGGTGTCAGCCACCGTGCCTGGCCAAATTATTTATTTATTTTTTTATTTATTTTAGAGATAGGGTCACCCTCTGTGGCTCAGGCTGGAGCACAGTGGTGCAATCTCGGCTCACTGCAGCCTCCAACTCCTGGGTTCAAGCGATTCTCCCACCTCAGCCTCCTGAGTAGCTGAGACTACAGGCAAGTACCACCACGAGAAGCTAATTTTTTTTTAAGAGACAGGATCTCACTATGTTGTCCAGGCTGGTCTGGAACTCCTGGCCTCAAGTGATCCTCTTGCTTCGGCCTCCCAGCATGCTGAGATTATAGGTGCAGGCCACTACGCCTGGCTAATATTTAAATTTTTTTGTGGAGATATGGTCTCACTATGTTGCCCAGGCTGGTCTGGAATTCCTGGCCCCAAGGGATTCTCCCGTCTCAGCCTCCCAAAGTTCAGGGCTACAGGCGGGAACCCCTGCACCTGGCCTCTATAAAGTATTTTTATAAAGTCTTTCTTTCGCCGGGCACAGTGGCTCCCCTGTAATTCCAAGACTTTGGGAGGCCGAGGCAGGAGGATCGCCTGAAGTCAGGAGTTCGAGACAAGCCTGGGCAACATGATGAAATCCCATCTCTACTAAAAACAAAAATTAGCTGGGCATGGTGGTGTGCGCCTGTAATCCCAGCTACTTGGGAGGCTGAGGCAGGAGAATTGCTGAACCTGGGAGGCAGAGGTTGCAGTGAGCCGAGATAGCACCACTGCACTCCAGCCTAGGGAACAGAGCGAGAGATCCTGTCTCAAAAAAAAGAAGAAGAAGAATCTTGCTTTCCCTTGTTTTGTCCATCTGGGGAGCCACTCTTCCTTCGAGAATGGGACCAGGTGACTGCCCTTCAGAAAGCCTCCAGAACTCACTAGTGCTCCTTCTAGCACATTCCCAAAGCATGTACATCCATCCTGCTATCTATCACATGCCCCGAAACCATTTTCTCCTGTCTCCTGGTCCAAAGGGATCCCTGCCACTTAAGCAGGGTGCTTCCCATCCGTGAATGCATAAAGGATCAAGTAGTGGTGCCAGGGATGGAAGGGGAGTGGGCAGGGTGGGCAGCAGGAAGAAGAGGCAGCAGGAAGAGGCAGCAGGAAGAAGTGGCAGCTGCCTGGCTGGGACACTGCCTTACCTGGACACAGTAACATACAGCTGCTGGTCACCATCCCATCTCACCCGCAAACCGAACTCCGTCTGCAGCTCCACAAACCGCCCGCTTGCACCCAGGAAGACGCCTTTAGAGGGTATGGCTGGGAGAGTAACTTGCTGACCCCCAACCTGGAAGGCAGGGCAGAGGCAAGAGACAGACAGAGCTGGGGGTCAAGGAGGACCCCAGCAGACTTTCATTTCCATAGCTGGGAGGCAGGACACCATCCACAGCGGCCTAACAATCTCATCCACCAGGAGTGGACTGGAGCTTCCTCACCACTGTTTTGTTTTTGTTTTTGTTTTTAGGAGACAGTGTCTTACTATGTTGCCTAGGCTGGAGTGCAATGGTGCAATCACAGCTCACTGCAGCCTCGACCTCCCAGGCTCCAGCAATCCTCCCACCTCAGCCTCTGGAGTAGAGGGGACAACAGGCAAGTGCCACCACACCAGGCTAATTTTTTCTATTTTTTAAGAGACAGGGTCTTGCTATCTTGCCCAGGCTGGCTTCAAACTCCTGGCCTCAAGCAATCCTCCCACTTTAGCCTCCCAAGGAGCTGGGATTGCAGGTCACTGTCTTGTTGAACCCCATCCGTGGAAAGGTTCAGGGATTGGAAGGGTTGGCCAGGACACACAGTCAGACCCTGCAAGGATGGTGGGGGTGGAATGGGGCTCACCAGAGTGCGTCTGCCCTTAAGCAGGGTGACGGTGCTCTCGGGCAGGGTCACGTAGACTTTGCTCAGGCAGGACACGCCTTCCTGTCCCTGCTCCTCATTCTTGGCTGTCACCCTGAAGAATGGGTCTGGGTAGGGAGAGGAATGAAGAGAGCCCAGTGGCTCATTTCTGAACATCTGCCGCGAGCAGTGCCCTGAGCCTGGCGCCGCAGGGAGAGATGAGCGCCACCGAGACACCAGCCCCAAAGTCCAGTAGGGGAGGCCGGATCCACACAGGAGCAGACCACGACTGCCTCTTCCAGAAGAGCCTGCAGCCGCAGCGTGTCTGTCTCCACTCAGTGGCTGGAACATCCTCCAGGGCGTCTGTGCTCCCTAACCACTACCACTGCCTTCTTTGCTTTTTTGTTTTTAACTTCATTTATGTGTGTATTTATTTATTTTTCGAGACAAGATCTCACTTTGCTACCCAGGCTGGAGTGCAGTGGTGTGATCATAGCTCACTGCAGCCTCCAACTCTTGGGCTCAAGCGATCCTCCTGCCTCATCCTCCCGACTAGCTGGGACTATAGGTGTGTCCCACCATACCCAGCTGATTTTTTAATTTTTTTTTTTTTCTGAGACAGAGTTTTGCTCTTGCTGCTTAGGCTAGAGTGCAGGAGTGCAGTGGCTCGATCTTGGCTCACTGCAACCTCCGCCTCCCAGGTTCAAGCAATTCTCCTGCCTCAGCCTCCCAAGTAGCTGGGATTACAGGTGCCTGCCACCAAGCCTGGCTAATTTTTTATATTTTTAGTAGAGACGGGGTTTCACCATGTTGACCAGGCTGGTCTCAAACTCCTGACCTCAGGTGAACCCCCCACCTCGGCTTCCCAAAGTGTTGGGGTTACAGGCGTGAGCCACTGAGCCCGGCCTGATTTTTAATTTTTTTTTTCATGGAGATGAGAGTCCTGCTGTGTTGCCTAGGCTGGTCTCAATCTCCTGGATTCAAGTGATCCTCCTGCCTCAGCCTCCCAAAGTGCTGAGGTTACCAGTGTGAGTCACTGTGCCTGGCCTTCAACCCTCACCTTACAGAAGAACTTGCTCCTATCTTGCCTCTTCCCCCATCTGTGCCCTGCCCCTTCCTGCCACCCACCATGCCCCATGCCTAGCAGCGCTGCCCACAGACCCTCCCCCCAGGCCGCAGTGGCATCTCCAGGGCCTACCTGTTGAGTTGCCACAGGGCTGGGCCAAGATGTAAGTGCACTTGCCCATGAAGCCAAAGTGCCTCCCGTCAAAGGTGACATAATGAGGGTCTCCGTAGACCAAGCAGGTGGCAGTGCCTGCTGGGAGGGGGAAGGAGAACAGGCGAAGCTGCTTCTGTGGCTCCTCCAGGCTGGACCGCACATGCTGGCCCACCCGCTGCCCGGTGGCAGGCCCCCAATCCTCTGCTCAAGCGAGGGATTGGGATCCTGGCGTCACGTCTACTCCAACTGGCTGGCAGGCAGGGACAGCATGGGGAGGGGCTCTCACCGTAGGGGTGGCATCCATACTGGCCATTCTTAAGCTGGCACACGGTGTGTGTCCCACACTGAGAGATCTGGCACTCGACCCGACTGCCGGGCCAGCAGCGGCAATGTTCTGTGCAGTTGGGGCTGAACCACTCTGCCCCAGGCTGGGAGAAAGGGATGTGAGGTCACACAGTCATATAGCTCCTAGAGTACTTCTCCCTTTGCCTTTCTTTTTCATTTATTTATTTATTTATTTATTTATTTATTTATTTATTTATTTGTGATGGAGTCTTGCTCTGTTGCCCAAGCTGGAGTGCAGTGGCGCAATCATGGCTCACTGCAGCCTTGACCCCCTGGGCTCAAACCATCCTCCTGCCTCAACCTCCCAAGTATCTGGGACTACAGGCACATGCCACCATGCCCGACTTTTTTTTTTTTTTTTTTTTAACGTTTTGGAGAGATGGAGTCTTGCTGTGTTGCCTAGGCTGGTGTTGAATTCCTGAGCTCAAGTGACCCTCCTGCCTTGGCCTCCCAAAATGCTGGTATTACAGGCGTGAGCCACTGCACCCAGCCTTATGTCTGTCTGTTTTTTTGTTTTTTTTTTTTTTTTTGAGACGGAGTCTCACTCTGTCACCCAGGCTGGAGTGAAGTGGCGTGATCTTGGCTCACTGCAACCTCCGCCTTCAGCGTTCAAGCGATTCTCCTGCCTCAGCCTCCAGAGTAGCTGGGATTACAGGCACCCGCCACGACGCCCGGCTAATTTTTGTATTTTTAGTAGAGACTTGGTTTCTCCATGTTGGCCAGGCTGGTCTCGAACTCCTGACCTCAGGTGATCCGCCCGCCTTGGCCTCCCAAAGTGCTAGGATTACAGGCATGAGCCACTGCACCCAGCCAATATCTGTCTTTACCCAACATCTTAGCCCTCCCATGAGTGCTCTCATTCAGTAAATACTTGCTGAATGAAGGAGTAAACCAAGACCCCATGTGTCTCTCTGAATCTGAGGGCATTATGAGGGCAAGGACCACAGCCTATTCGTGGCGACCCCAGTGCCAGCAGAGTAGAAAGTACTAAGTAGGCTGGGTGTGGTGGTTCACCACTGTAATCCCAGCACTTTGGGAGGCTGAGGTGGGAGGATGGGTTGAGCCCAGGAGTTCATAGACCAGCCTGGGCAACAGAGCCAGACCCCATCTCTACCAAAAAAAAAACCCCAAAAAACAAACCAAAAAAACACACCTTTGAAGAAAGTACTAAATAAACATTTGTTGAATGCATAAATGAATCTATTAGAAGTGAATACAGCCAGGCGCGGTGGCTCACGCCTGTAATCCCAACACTTTGGAAGGCTGAGGCGGGCGGATCGCCTGAGGTCGGGAGTTCAAGACCAGCCTTACTAACATGAAGAAACCCCATCTCTACCAAAAATACAAAATTAGCTGGGCGTGGTGGCGCATGCCCGTAATCCCAGGTACTCCGGAGTCTGAGGCAGGAGAATCGCTTGAACCTGGGAAGCGGAGGTTGCAGTGAGCGGAGATGGCACCATTGCACTCCAGCGTGGGCAACAAGAGCGAAACTCTGTCTCAAAAACAAACAGACAAACAAACACGGCTAGAATGGTTTTTGCATCAATAGAGAACTGTGAGTGAATAGTTTGTCAAAAAAAAAAAAACAAAAGTGAATACATGCCTCCTAGGGCAGAGGGAAGAGCTTCTTGGTGCCAATGGTTGTGACAGATCTTTCTGCCCAGGCTGTGGCTGAAGCTAATCTCAGCAGCAACTCAGAGAGACCCAGGAGACTGGTTAAAGGAGGCAGGGGAAAGAAATAATAGTCCCAAAAGGGACAAGCAGAAGCTCTGATGTCAATGGGAAGAACACCTGCAGCTGGGAAGAGGCTCTGCACATTAATGAATAGCTTAATGCACTTTTCTTTTTTTTTTTTTGAGACAGGGTGTCACTCTGTCGCCCAGGCTGGAGTGCAGTGGCACAATCATAGCTCACTGCAGCGTCAGACTCCTGGGCTCAACCAATCCCTCCACTTCGGCCTGCTAAAGTGTTGGGATTACAGCTGTGAGTCACCACGCTGGGCCCTTTAATGCACTTTTAATTAATAGGTTGCATATATTTATCATAAATTGCTAATGATAATAATTAACACTTATTAAGTAATTGTATGTGTTAGGACTTAATTTCATCTTTACAATAATCTTATATGAGGTAGAAAATCTTACTGTGTACACTTTATAAATATGGATAAAAGATTTAAAGACGTAAAGAATATATGGTGAAACCCTATCTCTACTAAAAATACAAAAATTAGCCAGGGTGGTGGCGTGAGCCTGTTATCCCAGCTACTTGCGGGGCTGAGGCAGAGAATTGCTTGAACCCGGGAGGTGGAGGTTGTAGTGAGCTAAGATCGTGCCACTGCACTCCAGCCTGGGTGACAGAGCTAGACTCTGCCTCAAAAAAAATAAAATAAAATAAAAAAAGAAATGTGCCCAGCCAGACACGGTGACTTATGCCTATAATCCCAGCACTTTGGGAGGCTGAGGCAGGAGGATTGCTTGAACTCAGGATTTCAAGACCAGCCTGGGCAACGTGGTGAAACCCTGTCTCTACCAAAAATACAAAAATTAGCTGGGCATGGTGGCATGTGCCTGCAGTCCCAGCTACTTGGGAGGCTGAGGTGGGAGGATCACTGGAGCCCGGGAAGTGGAGGCTGCAGTGAGCCACTATGATGCCACTACTCTCCAGCCTGAGCGACAAAGCGAGACCCTGTCTCAAAAAAAAAGAAAAGATTGAATGAATAACTTCGCCATCATGTAACCATTGCTTCTGAGCTGACCCCTTGGGACTATCCGGTGATCCCTGTTGCCTTCACATGGGGAGCAGATGGAGCTGGAACCCAGGTGTTCTGCCATCAATCTCCCTCATGGGACCCCAGCATCCCGGGGGGCTTACCTCATAGTAGTCGTTGTTGTAGAAGCAATTGCAGGAAGAGGCCTGGATGCAGTGGTTGTCACTAAACAAAAAGCCAGGGTTGCAGACACAGCCCTCCCGACAGAGGGGCCCACAGCTAGGCCTGGGGCTCTTGCACGAAGCAGGACAAGCACAGGATTCGTAGCGGGCATTTGGAGGGCAGCGCTCTAAGGGGAAAACAGCCTCTGTCATGCTTTCATTCCATGGCTTTCTCAGGGAGTCTCCCTGTCTCTCCTCTACCCCCAAACTCAAGTTCTTCTCTAGGAAACAGGACCATATTATTTAGCCATAAAAAGGCCTGAAGGCTGGGTGCGGTGGCTCACACCTATAATCCCAGCACTTTGGGAGGCTGAGGCAGGAGGACTGTTTGAGGCCAAGAGTTTGAGACCAGGCTGTGCAACGTAGTGAGACCCCATCCCTACAAAACAAATTTAAAAATAAAACAATTTTAGGCTAGGCACGGTGGCTCACGCCTGTAATCCCAGCACTTTGGTAAACCGAGGCGGACAGATCACTTGAGGCCAGGAGTTCAAGAACAGCCTGGCTAACAGGGCGAAACCCTAGAGCCGGGCACAGTGGCTCACCCCTGTAATCCCAAGACTTTGGGAGGCCGAGGCTGAGGCGTAATTACAGGATTACACCCCTGTAATCCCAAGACTTTGGGAGGTCAAGACCATCCTGGCCAACATGGTGAAACCCCGTTTCTACTAAAAATACAAAAATTAGCCAGTCGTGGTGGTGCAGGCCTGTGGCCCCAGCTACTCAGGAGGCTGAGGCAGGATAGTTGCTTGAGCCCCAGAGGCAGAGGTTGCAGTGAGCCGAGATCACACCTCTGCACTCCAGCCTGGGTGACAGAGCGAGACCCTGTCTCAAAAATATAAAAAATAAGAAATACTCCATTTATTTATTTATTTATTTTTATTTTTAATTTTTTGAGACGGAGTCTCACTTTATCACCCAGGCTGGAGTGCGGTGGCATGATCTCGGCTCACTGCAAGCTCTGCCTCCCGGGTTCACGCCATTCTCCTGCCTCAGCCTCCGGAGTAGCTGGGACTACAGGCACCCACCACCACGCTCAGCTAATTTTTTTGTATTTTCAGTAGAGACGGGGTTTCACTGTGTTAGCCAGGATGGTCTCGATCTCCTGACCTTGTGATCTGCCCGCCTCAGCCTCCCAAAGTGTTGGGATTACAGGCGTGAGCCACCGTGCCTGGCCAGAAATACTTTTTTTAAAGGAATGAAGTCCTGATGCATGCTACAGTATGGATGGCCCGGAAAACATTACACTCAGTGAAAGAAGCCAAACACAAAGGCTCACATGTTGCATGATTCCATTTGTATGAACTGTCCAGAACTGGCAAATCCATGGATATAGGAAAGAAATGTGTGGTTGCCAGGGGCTGGGGGAAGGCGGAGTGGGGAGTGGCTGCTAATAGGTATAGGATTTCTTTTTGGAGTGATGAAAGTGTTTGGATTAGAAAGTGATGATGGTTGCACAACCTTAGGAATATACTAAAACCCACAGAATTGCTTTTGCTTTTTTTTTTTTTTTTTTTTTTTAGGACGATGTCTTGCTCTGTTGCCCAAGCTGAAGTGCAGTGACACAATCATGGCTCACTACAGCCTCAGCCTCCTAGGCTCAAGTGATCCTCCCACCTCAGCCTCCCGAGTAGCTGGGACTACAGGCGTGCGCCACCACACCCAGCTAATTTTTTTTTTTTTTTAATTTTAAAGTGGAGACAGGGTCTCACTATGTTGCCTAGGCTGGTCTCAAACTCCTGAGCTCAAGCAACCCTCTCGCCTTGGCCCCCCAAAGTGCTGGGATTACAGGTTTGAGCTACCGTGCCCGGCCTAGAATTGTACACTTTAAAAGGGTGAATTTTATGAAATATGGATTATATCTCAATAACAAACAACGAGAAGGAAGCCTCGTGGTTCAGTCCTGACACCCCCACCCACTCCAGCCCTGCCATCCCTCTCGCTCTGGGCAGTCCTCCCCATTTCCTCTGAAGTCGCCATGGACTACTTCAGCTCTCCTCTGAGAGTACTAGAAGCATCTAGAAGCAACTAGAAGGCTTCTACCAGAAGCATCCCTTTCCCTGACTGTCTCCTAGTCATTGTCTCTGACTTTCAGCCTTGGCCCACGCTCCATCCACCTCATACCTGTACTGGATCTGGAGGTTGTGGTAGTGCCCAGAATCACACTGGTCATAGGGGTACTTGGAGCATGTGGAGACATCACCAAGGCTGCCAGCCCAGTGGCTGTGGGGCTGGGATGGGGTGGCCTCAGGGCTGTGAGCTTCTCTGTGGGAATGGTGGGTTTTTCTGTGGGGATGGTGGGTTTTTCCGTGGGGATGGTAAGTTTTTCCGTGGGGATGGTGGGTTTTTCCGTGGAGATGGTGGGTTTTTCTGTGGGGATGGTGAGTTTTTCTGGGGAGATGGTGGGTTTTTCTGTGGGGATGGTGAGTTTTTCTGTGGAGATGGTAGTCTCTTCAGTGGGGATGGTGGGTTTTTCCGTGGGGATGGTGGGTTTTTCCGTGGAGATGGTGGGTTTTTCTGGGGAGATGGTGGGTTTTTCTGTGGGGATGGTGAGTTTTTCTGTGGAGATGGTAGTCTCTTCAATGGGGATGGTGGGTTTTTCCGTGGGGATGGTGAGTTTTTCCGTGGGGATGGTGAGTTTTTCTGGGGAGATGGTGGGTTTTTCTGTGGGGATGGTGGGTTTTTCTGTGGAGATGGTGGGTTTTTCCATGGGGATGGTGAGTTTTTCTGTAGAGATGGTAGTCTCTTCAACAGAGGTGGTGGTTTCTTCAGTGGGGAGAGTGGGTTTTTCCATGGGGATGCTGGGTTTTTCTGTGGAGATGGTGGTCTCCTCAGTGGGGGTGGTGGGCTCTTCTGTGGAGATGGTGGGTTTTTCTGTGGGAATGGTGGGTTTTTCTGTGGGGATGGTGGGTTTTTCTGTGGGGATGGTGAGTTTTTCTGGGGAGATGGTGGGTTTTTCTGTGGGGGTGGTGGGTTTTTCTGGGGAGATGGTGGGTTTTTCTGTGGGGATGGTGGGTTTTTCTGTGGGGGTGGTGGGTTTTTCTGGGGAGATGGTGGATTTTTCTGTGGGGATGGTGGGTTTTTCTGTGGGGATGGTGGGTTTTTCTGGGGAGATGGTGGGTTTTTCTGTGGAGATGATAGTCTCTTCCATGGAGATGGTGGGTTTTTCCGTGGGGATGCTGGGTTTTTCTGTAGGGATGCTGGGTTTTTCTGTAGGGATGACAGGCTCTTCCATGGAGGTGGTGGTCTCCTCAGTGGGGGTGGTGGGCTCTTCTGTGGGGACGGTGGGTTTTTCTGTGGAAATGGTGGGTTTTTCTGAGGGAATGGTGGGTTTTTCTGAGGGAATGGTGGGTTTTTCTGTGAGGATGGTGGGTTTTTCTGAGGGAATGGTGGGTTTTTCTGAGGGCATGTTGGGTTTTTCTGAAGGAATGGTGGGTTTTTCTGTGGAGATGGTGGGTTTTTCTGTGGGAATGGTGGGCTTTTCTTTGGGGACTGTGGGCTTTTCTGTGGTGACACTGGGTTTTTCTATGGAAACTGTAGGTTTCTTGGTGGAGATTGTAGGGTTTTCTGTGAGGCCAGTGGTTTCAGAAGGGCCAGTGGAAGAAACTGGAGATACGGGAGGAAGCTCTGGTAGCACTTTTACTGCAAAGAAAAATAAGAATCCCTGGAGTTTAGTCAAAACCATACCACCACCCTCTTTACTGCCATCTAACTGGAGTGGGCTCCCATGGGTGGCTTATTCACACCTCTCTTTCTACTCCCAAACCCCAACCTTCATCCACTCAACGAACACTAATATATGTCAGATATTATGCCAGAAATGAATAGGATATGGGTCCAGCCTTCAAGACTGCAGAGGAAGGAGTTCTGGATCCAGCCCCCAAAATCCATGGTATCGAAGCCACATTCACCCAGGCAAACATCTTGAAGTGCAGGGGAAGGAGAGGTGTGTTGAAGATGGAAAACAAAGCCAGCTGGGTGAGAATTCGGGCTCCAGGGAGGACTCACATTTTAAGCAGTTCATAGAGAGAACTCCAGGGAACCTCAGGGCACCGCCCCCTTCCTGGAGCCTGGGCTTTGGTCTTACCTGGACAAGTCCCAGGATTGATCAAGATGAAACCCATAGCAACCACAGAGGCCGTGTTGCTTCCCTGGATGCCCTTGAAAATAAGCTAAAGGCGACAAGGGAGAGAGACGGAGAGAGAAACAAAAATGAATCTCCAGCAACTCTGTGATTCCACTGGGCATAGAATCTGTTCTCTGCCAAAATGTCGCCTTGTTCCAGCCTCAACAGTCCAGCCCCATCCCGGCCCCTTTCTCACTTTCTGTAACACGAAGTTCCCCTTTTCTCGGCTCTCTTTCCAGCTTTCCACCTCTTCAGCACTGGTGGCGCCCCCAGATCCCAGGCATTGGCCCTCTCACCTCACACAGACAGGACCCCCGCCTCCGTCTCTCACCTGCATGGGCTGTTGGTGTCCTGAGGGGACGGTGACGGAGGTGTTCTGCCAGTAAGGGCGCTGAGACCCCACGCGTTTCCAGAGAGGAATCGGGGGACTCCCCGCAGGACTTCCCAGGAGGAGTTCGAGCATAGTACCCTCCCCAAGGCCATACATGTGGTATGCGAACTCCACGCAGATGTCACCTGGGGCGCAGAAGGGCCGGCTCACCAGTCTGACTGACTGGCCTGCCTGGGAGAACTCGTCAGCCTCAAGGTAGATATAGTGACCCCCTAGGCAAAGGAAGGGAACAGGCAAGGTAAGAAGCCTGCACAGGACATGCCAACTGCTGCTTTAGCAAAGCTTTGCTTTCTGAACGGGAATCTGAGCAAACACTCAAATTTCCCAGGTCGTAGCATTATTTTTTCTGCTCATTTTAGACATCTAACTAAAGAAGGTGGGATCACAAAGAAAGGGAAAAGCGGCCAGGCACGGTGGCTCATGCCTGTAATCCCAGCACTTTGGGAGGCCGAGGCTGGCGGATCACGAGGTCAAGAGATCAAGGCCATCCTGGCCAACATGGTGAAACCCCGTCTCCACTAAAAATACAAAAATTAGCTGGGCGTGGTGGCCCGTGCCTGGAGTCCCAGCTACTCGGGAGTCTGAGGCAGGAGAATTGCTTGAACTCCGGAGGTGGAGGTTGCAGTGAGCCAAGATCACGTCACTGCACTCCAGCCTGGCAACAGAGCAAGACTCCATCTCAAAAAAGAAAAAAAGGGAATAACAAACCAGCAACCTAGATTACATTCATTAATGTCGTGTGTGTGTGTGTGTGTGTGTGTGTGTGTGTGTGTGTGTTGTTTTTTTGAGATGGAGTCTCGCTCTGTTGCCCAGGCTGGAGTGCAGTGACACGATCTCAGCTCACTACAACCTCCACCTCCCAGGTTCAAGCGATTGTCCTGCCTCAGCCTCCCAAGTAGCTGGGATTACAGGTGTGTACCACCATGTCTGGCTAATTTTTGTGTTTTTAGTAGAGGTGGGGTTTCACCATGTTGGCCAGGCTAGTCTTGAACTTTCGGCCTCAAGTGATCCACCCGTCTCAGCCTCCCAAAGCATTGGGATTACAGGTGTGAGCCACTGCACCCCACCCTCATTATTGTCTTTTTAAAAAATTATTTCTTTATATATATATATGTGTGTGTGTGTATATATATATGTGTGTATATATATGTGTGTGTGTGTATATATATATATATATATATATATTTTTTTTTTTTTGAGACGGAGTCTCACTCTGTCACCCAGGCTGGAGTACAATGGCGTGATCTCGGCTCACTGCAAGCTCTGCCTCCCGGGCTCACGCCATTCTCCTGCCTCAGCCTCCCGAGTAGCTGGGACTACAGGCGCCCACCACCATGCCTGGCTAATTTTTTGTGTTTTTAGTAGGGACGGGGTTTCACCGTGTTAGCCAGGATGGTCTCGATCTCCTGACCTTGTGATCCGCCCTCCTTGGCCTCCCAAAGTGCTGGGATTACAGGTGTGAGCCACTGCGCCCAGCCTCTTTTTATATATTTTTAAGACAGAATCTTACTCTGTTGCCCCGGATGGAGTGCAGTGGTGCGATCTCAGCTCACTGCAGTCTCCACCTCCTGGGGTCAGGCAGTTCTCCTGCCTCAGCCTCCTGAGTAGCTGGGACTACAGGTGCACGCCACCACTCCCGGCTAATTTTTACATTTTTTTTAGTGGAGTCAGGGTTTCACTATGTTGCCCAGCTGGTCTCGAACTCCTGACCTCAAGTGATCCACCTGCCTCGGCCTCCCAAAGTGCTGGAATTAAAGGCGTGAGCCACCATGCCTGGCCTATTTTTTTATTTTTAATTTTTAGAGACAAGGTCTTGCTCTGTTGCCCAGGCTGGAGTGCACTGGTTCAATCATAGCTCACTGCAGCCTTGACTTCTGAGCTGAAGCGATCCTCCCACATCAGCCTCGCAAGTAGGTGGGACCACAAGCACACACCACCACATCTAGCTAATTAAAAAAAAATTTTTTTTTCTAGAGATGGGGTTCTCACTATGTTGCCCAGGCTGAGCTCAGACTCCTGGGCTCAAGCAATCTTCCCGTCTCGGCCTCTCAAAGTGCTGGAATTGCAGGCATGAGCCACTCATAAACGTCTAGACTGAAAATGAGGTGGTGGGTTTTGAAGCTTTGGGCTCCATGAAGTGAGATGCCTGGGTTTTCTCAGGATTTCAGTGACCCCCCAGCCCTGAGAATCTTTAAGTTACTCTGCTATCTCCACAATTCCAGTACCATGGAAACTTCCGAAAAAACACCTGTGGACTGATCTTCCCACTGCCTGAAACAACGTCTCCCATCAGTCACAGCAGCCAGCCTGCTACCTGGGAGCAGACTGAGTGATTTCTTGGCGTGAGCGCTCCTCAATCTCCTCACCTGCATTAGGGAAACCTCCCGCAGGGCCCATGCCATGGACGGGTCCATTTTTATGTCCGAGGGCCCAGTGTCCACCATCCCCGGAAGTCTGGACCCAGTCACAGAAGGGATGGGCGTTGTCTTCAAAGTCACACTGAGGAAAACCCTCTGGGGGATCAAAATAGGATATTTGAGCAAGTTGAGTGACGCTCTCCAGCCCTCCCCCAGCCCACCCCGGATTCTGAGAGATCCGGGCCTCTCAGGGCCTGCTCTCACCCCCACAAGGAGCAATGCTGGTTGCATCAACTGCCACAGCTGGCTCTGGGGTCTTTCCAAAAACGCCTACCACGGCAAACTGGAGAGAAAGGGAGATGGAGCAGGAGTGAGCACACAGCCCACACCCCCAAGCCCCTGATCTAACTCGACTCCATTCCAGGACCCAGAATCCCTACTCCCTGTGCCCAGACCCTCAATTCAGTTCTTTCTTTCTTTTTTTTTTTTTTTCAGAGTCTTGCTCTATTGCCCAGGCTGGAGTACAGTGGTGTGATCATAGCTCACTGCAGCCTTGACCTCCAGGGCTCAAGTGATCCTCCCACCTCAGGCTCCCTAGTAGCTGGGACTACAGGCACACATCACTGTGCCCGCCTAATTTTTGTATTTTTTTGTAGAGATGGGGTCTTTCTATGTTGCCCAGGCTGGTCTTGAACTCCTGTCCTGAAGCGATCCTCCCTCCTCAGCCTCCCAAAGTATTGGGAATACAGGCATGAGCCACAGCACCAGGCCCCTCAATTTATTTCAACATTGGGTGTGCCTACCATGTGCAAGGACCTGACCCCTTGCTTCTCTGTACCTGTATCCGTCCCACGGCTGTGTAATTGACAGAAACAGCCTGCCAGTTGGGCCCAGGTTGTCCTGAGAAGAGAGTGTGTTTCCGGATACTCCCTGCAGTGAAAGGAATTGGAAGGAGAAGTGAGCTTAAGGGGACTGGGAAACGACTTTGAACTATACCTAGGAGGATGAGGAGCAGAGGGCATAGCTGGGGACGATTACCACCAAATGAAAGCACAATCTTCTTTTTTATTTTATTTATTCATTATTTTTTTTTGAGATGGAGTATTGCTCTGTTGCCCAGGCTGGAGTGCAGTGGCACTATCTTGGCTCACTGCAACTTCTGTCTCCCAGGTTCAAGCGATTCTCCTGCCTCAGCCTCTTGAGTAGCTGAGATTACAGGCGTGTGCCACCACACCTGGCTAATTTTTGTATTTTTAGTAGAGACAAGGTTTCTCTATGTTGGCCAGGCTGGTCTCGAACTCCTGACCTCAGGTGATCCACCAGCCTCACCCTCCCAACGTGCTAGGATTACAAGCATAAGCCACTGTGCCAGGCCAGCACAACTTTCTTTTTTATTTGAGAGGGAGTCTTGCTCTGTCACCAGGCCGGAGTGCAGTGGCGCGATCTCGGCTCACTGCAACCTCCGCCTCCCGGGTTCAAGCGATTCTCCTGCCTCAGCCTCCCGTGTAGCTGGGACTACAGGCAGCTAATTTTTGTATTTTTAGTATGGACGGGGTTTCACCATGTTAGCCAGGATGGTCTCGATCTCCTGACCTCGTGATCCGCCTGCCTCGGCCTCCCAAAGTGCCCTCCCAGCCATGATTTCCACTTCATGGAATAGTCTCGCACATATTCCAGACCTCCCTAGACCCTGAGGGATGCCCCATGTTTCCCCATCAAGCCAACCCTGGGAGATGCGCCCAGATCAGTGTAAATCCCATTAATTCTCCGCTCTAACCCAAGACTGAAGCATAAATGTGGAGGGCTGCACCAGGAGACTGGCCCCGGAGGATGTAGTGGAAGGAAAAGCTCAGACAGCCAGAGGACAGGCTCACGGGGCTCAGGAGGACAGCTTTCTGCCCAGGTCTTGCATTCTTGGGGTCCAGGAGCATGTAGCAGCCACCTGTGAAGCAAAAGGCCAGGGAACTGGGGTGGATGGAATTGAGGGAAGATGGCAGCAGAGATAGGGCCCTGAGGAGGCTGTGGACTTGTCTCTGGGGATCCCCAACAGCAGCCTAGAATCAGGCAGCACTGAGGTGGTCCTATCCCAACTGACTGAGGTCTTCAACTTTTCCTAGAAATGCTTGGGCTGGGTAAGGACCCGGCGCTGCCATGGGAAGCGGCGGACACCTTCTCCAAAGCAGCAACTAGAACTTTGACCTTTGGGTGCTAACTCTTTGTTGTTGTTGTTTTGTTTTTGTTTTTGAGACAGTCTCACTCTGTCGCCCAGTCTGGAGTGCAGTGGCGCAATCATGGCTCTCATGGTTCACTGCAGACTCAACCTCCCCGGGCTCAGGTGATCCTCCCGCCTCAGCCTCCTTAAGTAGCTGGGACTACAGGTGTGCGCCACCACGCCCTGCTAATTTTTGCATTTTTTTTTGAAAAGATAGGGTTTCACCACATTGCCCAGGCTGGTCTTGAACTCCTAGGTTCAAATGATCCACGCACCTTGGCTTCCCAAAGTGCTGGGATTACAGACATGAGCCATCACATCTGGCCTGGGTGCTAACTCTTAAGGTCCACTAGAGTCATAGCCTGTTCCTTTTCTTTTTTCCTTTTTCTTTTTTGAGACAAGGTATGGTTCTGTTGCCCAGGCTAAAGTGCAGTGGCACAGGTCTCAAACTCCTAGGCTCAAGCAATCCTTTTGCCACAGCCTCCTGAGTAGCTGGGACTCCAGGTGCGGACCTGGAGTCCGCCCAGCTAATTTTTTTTTTTTTAAGAGATGGGCGGTCTCACGATGTTGCCCAGGCTGGTCTTGAACTCCTGGCCTCAAGCAATCCTCCCGCCTTGGCCTCCCAAAGTGCTGGGATTACAGGCTTGAGCCACTACACCCGATTGCCTCTTCCTTTTCTTTACCCGCTGGACATAACCTATTCACGCAAACTGGCGAGAGATACAGCGGCTCTGACACAGAGGAGCAAGAGGCAAACCCCCTCTCACCCAACACCACCTCGGCCCCCAGCTCAGACAGCCAATCAGCGTGGACCTCGCTAGGTGACGCAACTGGTAGCGAAAAAGAAAATGTAAGCGGCTGCCACTCGTGGGGAGCGCGCTCGCGTGCGTGCTCACGCCCGAGTCCAAGGGAGTCTTGCCTGGCGCGCGCTCACTCCTGCCGAAGGTGGGATCCTGAGCGGCGGCGAAGAGGCTGGAATGGCGGGAATGGGCGGGAGGAAGGAGAAGAAAGGAAACAACCGGGAAGGAAGAGGGAAGGGAAAGGAAAGGAAGTGGGAAAATGATGAAAGAGAAATCAAGGACACGGGCTGGCGCGGTGGCTCACGCCTGTAATCCCAGCACTTTGGGAGACCGAGGCGGGCGGATCACCTGAGGTCAGGGGTTCTAGACCAGCTTGGCCAACATGGCGAAATCCCGTCTCTACTAAAAGTACAAAAATTAGCCGGGCGTGGTGGCGGGCATCTGTAATCCCAGCTACTCGGGAGGCTGAGGCAGGAGAATCGCTTAAACCCGGGAGGCGGAGGTTGCAGTGAGCTGAGATCGCGTCACCGCACTCCAGCCTGGGCGACAGAGCGAGACTGTCTCAAAAAACAAACAAACAACAACAACAAAAAAAAAACCAAGGAGACCTATGAGAAACAGAAGAGGAGAAATGGGAGAAAAAGAAGTGAAAGGTGAAGAAAATATAAGGAAGCGAGCAAGATGGAAAAGGAAAGGGAAAGAAAGGAAAAATAAAAAGCCAACCAGCATTTACTGAAGCTGCTGGGCGCGGTACACGGTGCTAAATGCTGAGGGGTTGCAGAGAGGGCTGGTCGGCTTTCAGTGAAGGTGGGGCCAGGGCTTCTTAAGGCCTTATTTATTTATGTACGTATTTATTTATTTATTTTTATTGAGATGGAGTCTCACTCTGTTGCCCAGGCTGGAGTGCAGTGGCGCTATCTCGGCTCACTGCAACCTCCGCCTCCCAGGTTCAAACAATTCTCCTGCCTCAGCCTCCCGAGTGTTGGGATTACAGGTGCACACCACCAAGCCCAGCTAATTTTTTGTATTTTTAGTAGAGACGGGTTTCGCTATGTTGGCCAGGCTGGTCTCGGACTCCTGACCTCTGGTGATCCACCTGCCTCCGCCTCCCAAAGTGCTGGGATTACAGGCATGAGCCACCACGCCTGGCCAGGGCCCTTCTAGAAAACAAAGTTTAGGCAGCAGGAAAGATCAGAGACAGGAGTGCAGGAGTCCAAGTGGACACTGATGGAGTGGAGAGAGGAAAAGATGGGGAAAAACAGAAAAGAAAATACGGCAGAGGCAGGAGGATCACTTGAGGCCAGGAGTCCGAGACCAGCCTGGGCAACATAGCAAGACCCCATCTTTACAAATAAAGAAAATAAAATAAAGTGTGGAAATGGTAAAGTGGAAGGGAGGAAATGGATTGAGAAAGGATAAGTATTAAGGGAAAAGAAGAACAAAGAGATATAGGCTGGGCGTGGCAGCTCACACCTGTACTTCAAGCACTTTGGGAGGCCGAAGCAGGAAGATGGCTTGAGGCCCAGAGTTTGAGACCAGCCTGGGCAATGTAGCAAGACCCCATCTCTATTTTTATTTATTTATTTATTTTGAGACACAATCTCACTCTGTCGCCCAGGCTGGAGTGCAGTAGTGCGATCACAGCTCACTGCCACCTCCACCTCCCAGGCTCAATCAGTCCTCCCACGTCAGCCTCCCGAGTATCTGGGACTACAGGTGTGTGCCACCACACTGGGCTAATTTTTGTATTTTTTGTAGAGACAAGATCTCACTATATGTTCCAGGCTGGTCTTGAACTCGTGGCCTCAAGTGATCTGCCCACCTCGGCCTCCCAAAGTGCTGGGATTACAGGCATGAGCTACTGCACCTGGCCTAGTTTTTAAAAACATTTTTTTAAATTCAAAAATAAGAATTATAAACTCAGGAAATTAGGGAGCAGAACCCTCTATGCTTGACCTACAGTGCTTGGCTCAGTGAGGGGTTGAAATGTGGGCTGTGTGAGAAGATTAAGAGAGAAAGTGAATGTTGTGTGAGAGAGAAAAGGAAGAAGTCAACAGTAGAAAGAGAAAGAAGCTCAGCTGAGTGCACAGGGAGGTGGTGGAAAGAAGCTAGGGATAGACTTGGGTGCATAGAAAGAAAGAATATCAGCCAGGCATGGTGGCTTACGCTTGTAATCCCAGCATTTTGGGAGGCCAAGTGGGTGGATCACGAGGTCAGAAGATCGAGACCACCCTGACCAACATGGTGAAACCCCATCTCTACTAAAAATACAAAAAATTAACTGGGCATGGTGACGCACACCTGTAATCCCAGCTACTCGGGAGGCTGAGGCAGGAGAATCGCTTGAACCCGGAAGGCAGAGGTTGCAGTGAGCTGAGATCGTGCCATTGCACTCCAGCCTGGCAACAGCAAGATTCTGTCTCAAAAAAAAAAAAAGAAAGAAAAAGAAAGAGTGTCGCCTGGATTTTTGCAAAAGCCTCCTAAACAGCCTCTCTGCATCGACCCTTGCCTGTTCTCCTCAGTGGATTCTCAACACAAAAAAAATCCTTAAAAAATAAGTCAGATCGTCCCCGTCCCCCTCCCCCTCCCTCTCCCTCGTCTCCGTCTCCGTCTCCCTCTCCCCACGGTCTCCCTCTCATGCGGAGCCGAAGCTGGACTGTACTGCTGCCATCTCGGCTCACTGCAACCTCCCTGCCTGATTCTCCTGCCTCAGCCTGCCGAGTGCCTGCGATTGCAGGCACGCGCCGCCACGCCTGACTGGTTTTGGTGGAGACGGGGTTTCGCTGTGTTGGCCGGGCGGGTCTCCAGCCCCTAACCGCGAGTGATCCGCCAACCTCGGCCTCCCGAGGTGCCGGGATTGCAGACGGAGTCTCGTTCACTCAGTGCTCAATGGTGCCCAGGCTGGAGTGCAGTGGCGTGATCTCGGCTCACTACAACCTCCACCTCCCAGCCGCCTGCCTTGGCCTCCCAAAGTGCCGAGATTGCAGCCTCTGCCCGGCCGCCACCCCGTCTGGGAAGTGAGGAGTGTCTCTGCCTGGCCGCCCATCGTCTGGGATGTGAGGAGCCCCTCTGCCCGGCCGCCCAGTCTGGGAAGTGAGGAGCGTCTCCGCCCGGCCGCCATCCCATCTAGGAAGTGAGGAGCGCCTCTTCCCAGCCGCCATCACATCTAGGAAGTGAGGAGCGTCTCTGCCCGGCCGCCCATCGTCTGAGATGTGGGGAGCACCTCTGCCCCACCGCCCCATCTGGGATGTGAGGAGCGCTTCTGCCCGGCCGAGACCCCGTCTGGGAGGTGAGGAGCGTCTCTGCCCGGCCGCCCCGTCTGAGAAGTGAGGAGACCCTCTGCCTGGCAACCACCCCGTCTGAGAAGTGAGGAGCCCCTCCGCCCGGCAGCTGCCCCGTCTGAGAAGTGAGGAGCCTCTCCGCCCAGCAGCCACCCCATCTGGGAAGTGAGGAGCATCTCCGCCCGGCAGCCACCCCGTCCGGGAGGGAGGTGAGGGGGGGTCAGCCCCCCGCCCGGCCAGCCGCCCCATCCGGGAGGGAGGTGGGGGGTCAGCCCCCCGCCCGGCCAGCCGTGCCATCCGGGAGGGAGGTGGGGGGGTCAGCCCCCCGCCCGGCCAGCCGCCCGGTCCGGGAGGTGAGGGGCGCCTCTGCCCGGCCGCCCCTACTGGGAAGTGAGGAGCCCCTCTGCCCGGCCAGCCGCCCCGTCCGGGAGGGAGGTGGGGGGGTCAGCCCTCCGCCCGGCCAGCCGCCCCGTCTGGGAGGTGAGGGGCGCCTCTGCCCGGCCGCCCCTACTGGGAAGAGAGGAGCCCCTCTGCCCGGCCAGCCGCCCCGTCCGGGAGGGAGGTGGGGGGGTCGGCCCCCCGCCCGGCCAGCCGCCCCGTCCGGGAGGGAGGTGGGGGTGTCGGCCCCCCGCCCGGCCAGCCGCCCCGTCCGGGAGGGAGGTGGGGGGGGTCAGCCCCCCTGCCCGGCCAGCCGCCCCATCCGGGAGGTGAGGGGCGCCTCTGCCCGGCCACCCCTACTGGGAAGTGAGGAGCCCCTCTGCCCGGCCAGCCGCCCCGTCCGCGAGGGAGGTGGGGGGGTCAGCCCCCCGCCCGGCCAGCCGCCCCGTCCGGGAGGGAGGTGGGGGGGGTCAGCCCCCCTGCCCGGCCAGCCGCCCCGTCCGGGAGGGAGGTGGGGGGGGTCAGCCCCCCTGCCCGGCCAGCCGCCCCGTCCGGGAGGTGAGGGGCGCCTCTGCCCGGCCGCCCCTACTGGGAAGTGAGGAGCCCCTCTGCCCGGCCAGCTGCCCCGTCCGCGAGGGAGGTGGGGGGGTCAGCCCCCCGCCCGGCCAGCCGCCCCGTCCGGGAGGGAGGTGGGGGGGTCAGCCCCCCTGCCCGGCCAGCCGCCCCGTCCGGGAGGTGAGGGGCGCCTCTGCCCGGCCGCCCCTACTGGGAAGTGAGGAGCCCCTCTGCCTGGCCAGCCGCCCCGTCCGGGAGGGAGGTGGGGGGTCAGCCCCCCGACCGGCCAGCCGCCCCATCCGGGAGGGAGGTGGGGGGGGTCAGCCCCCCGCCCGGCCAGCCGCCCCGCCCAGGAGGTGAGGGGCGCCTCTGCCCGGCCGCCCCTACTGGGAAGTGAGGAGCCCCTCTGCCCGGCCACCACCCCGTCTGGGAGGTGTGCCCAACAGCTCATTGAGAACGGGCCAGGATGACAATGGCGGCTTTGTGGAATAGAAAGGCGGGAAAGGTGGGGAAAAGATTGAGAAATCGGATGGTTGCCGTGTCTGTGTAGAAAGAAGTAGACATGGGAGACTTTTCATTTTGTTCTGCACTAAGAAAAATTCCTCTGCCTTGGGATCCTGTTGATCTGTGACCTTACCCCCAACCCTGTGCTCTCTGAAACATGTGCTGTGTCCACTCAGGGTTAAATGGATTAAGGGCGGTGCAAGATGTGCTTTGTTAAACAGATGCTTGAAGGCAGCATGCTCGTTAAGAGTCATCACCAATCCCTAATCTCAAGTAATCAGGGACACAAACACTGCGGAAGGCCGCAGGGTCCTCTGCCTAGGAAAACCAGAGACCTTTGTTCACTTGTTTATCTGCTGACCTTCCCTCCACTATTGTCCCATGACCCTGCCAAATCCCCCTCTGTGAGAAACACCCAAGAATTATCAATAAAAAAATAAATTAAAAAAAAAAAAATAAATAAGTCAGATCAAGTCACTGCTCAAAATCCTGCAAAGGCTCCCCATTCACACAGAATAGGAAAGCCACAGTCCTGACAATGGCCTTCAAGGCTCTATGTGATCTGCCGCTCCTGTGGATCTCAGGTCACCCTCTTCATGCTGGCCACATGGCTCTTTGCTGTGCCTTGATCCCCTCCTTCCCCGACAGCCCCACTGCTACCTCAGGACCTTTGCACAGCTGGCCCCTCAGCCTGGAATGTCCTCTGCTACTACCTCACCTTTTTCAAGTTCGTGCTCAAATGTGTCCTGAATGTGACCTACTCTGACCAGCCTATTTAAAATCGGTAACTCGCCCAGGCACAGTGGCTCAACGCCTATAATCCCAGCACTTTGGGAGGCCGAGGTGGCCGGATCACCTGAGGTCAGCAGTTCAAGACCAGCCTGGCCAACGTGGTGAAACCCCGTCTCTACTAAAAACACAAAAATTAGCTGGGCGTGGTGGTGTACACCTGTAGTCCCAGTTACTTAGGAGGCTGAGGTAGGAGAATCAATTGAACCTGGGCAGCGGAGCTTGCAGTGAGCCGAGATAGAGCCACTGCACTCCAGCCTGGGAGACAGGGCGAGACTCTGTCTCCAAAATAAATAAATAAATAATTGATAACTCACGGCGGGGCACAGTGGCTCACGCCTGTAATCCCAGCACTTTGGGAGGCCAAAGTGGGCAGATCACTTGAGGTGATCCTCCCGTCTCAGCTTCCCAAAGCGCTGGGATTACAGGCGTGAGCCAGTGCACTTGGCTCCAAACTTGTTTGACTTTTTATTTTCCCAGTAGCATCGCTCACTTTATAACTATATTTACTTTGTGTCGGTAACTGCCCCCCCGCTACCACACCCTACTCTTCCTTGTCTGTTTTCTGCACTGGTGTATTTTAAGTGCCTAGGACAGCACCTGGCATATTGTAGGTGCTCAGTATTTCTTGAATGAATGAAGAATGAAAGGGGCCAGAAGCAATGGCTCACGCTGTAATCCCAGCATTTGGGAGGCTGAGGCAGGTGGACCACTTGAGGTCCGGAGTTCGAGACCAGCCTGGCCAACATGGTGAAACCCTGTCTGTACCAAAAATACAAAAATTAGCCGGGCATGGTGGTGCACGCCTGCAGTCTCAGCTACTTGGGAGGTTGAGGCAGGAGAATTGCTTAAACCCAGGAGGCAGAGGTTGCAGTGAGCAGAGATCACGCCACTGCACTCCAGACTGGGTGACAGAACGAGACTCTGCTTCAAAAAAAAAAAAAGAAAAAGAAGAAGGAGAAGGAGAAGGAGAGGGAGAGGGAGAGGGAGAGGGAGAGGGAGAGGGAGAGGGAGAGGGAGAGGGAGAGGGAGAGGGAGAGGGAGAGGGAGAGGGAGAGGGAGAGGGAGAGGGAGAGGGAGAGGGAGAAGAAGAAGAGGAAGAGAAAGAAGAAGAAGAAGAGCCACAGAAAGGAGATGAGGAGCTGGCTGTATTGGGTCTGCCAGGTAGAGCTTGTAGGGCGGTGGTGGGGGAGGCTGGCTGGGTGCTTGAAATCAGCTTCTTGCGTGAAACTTGAGCTGGTAAGAGGCTTGAAGCTGTAGGTGTTCATGACAGACCGTCCCAGGGCAATTATCGTAGGGTGCTTGGTGCCCAGAAAGTCAAGGGACAGAAGCATGGCCGCTACTCACTACCAGGGCTAGAGAAGTCGCCATCAGGCCCCACGCCTGGCTTTCCTGATGACCCTTTCTTCTGAGTCCACTTGGCCCCGGAGGCAGTTGGGATCCAGGTCCAGTCACAGAGGTCATTTGGAATGTCAAAGCTGCATGTTTGCATCATACAGACTGAGAGGAAAGAAAGAAGGGAAGATATAATGTTTTCTTCTTTTTTAGAGACAGGGTCTCTGTCACCCAGGCTAGAGTACAGTGGTGTGATCATAGCTCACTGCGGCCTCGAACTCCTGGACTCAAGCGGTCCTCCCACCTCAACCTCTCAAGTAGCTAGGACTACAGGTGTGCGCCACCATGCCGAGCTAATTTTTAAAAAGTTCTTGGCACGGTGACTTAACTCCTGTAATCCCAGCATTTTGGGAGGCTGAGGTGAGTGGATCACCTGAGGTCAGGAGTTCTAGAACAGCCTTGCCAACACAATGAAACCCCGGCTCTACTAAACATACAAAAATTAGCCAGGCATGGTGGTGGGCACCTGTAATCCCAGCTACTTGGGAGACTGAGGCAGGAGAATCATTTGAACCCAAGAGGCAGAAGTTGCAGTGAGCCGAGATCGTGCCACTACACTCCAGCCTGGGTGACAAGAGTGAAATTCCGTCTCAAATAAATAAATAAATAAATAAATAAATTCTTTTGTAGAGATGGGGGTCTCCTTATGTTGCCCAGGCTGATCTCAAACTCCTGGCCTCACACCATCCTCCCACCTTGGCCTCCCAAGGTGCTGGGATTACAGGCCTGAGCCACTGTGCTGGGCCGAGACCTCTCTTTAGGCACGGCTGCTTCCAGAGTCAAAGCCCTAATAGCTCTACCTGGCAGACCCAATACAGCCAGCTCCTCATCTCCTTTCTCATTCTTCTTTTTTTTTTTTTGAGACGGAGTCTCACTCCATCGCCAAGGCTGGAGTGCAGTGGCACGATCTCGGCTCACTGCAAGCTCCACCTCCCAGGTTCATGCCATTCTCCTGCCTCAGCCTCCCAAGTAGCTGGGACTACAGGCGCCCGCCACCGCGCCCGGCTAATTTTTTGTATTTTTAGTAGAGACGGGGCTTCACCGTGTTAACCAGAAAGGTCTCTATCTCTTGACCTCGTGATCCGCCCGCCTCGGCCTCCCAAAGTGCTGGGATTACAGGCATGAGCCACCGCGCCCGCCCTGGATCCTCTTCTTGTTGTGCAAGGACGGAGAGAAAAGGGTCCGAGGGCAGGCGGGAGGAGGGACAGGGACTCACCGCGATTACAGGAGCCCCGGCGGATAGAGAGGGCATCCAGGGCGATGTCCAGGTAGGCAGTGCTACCCCGTGTTCCCTCAAACATCAGCTGCAAGAGGATAAGGGGACCCCAACCCCATGAGCCCCTCAGCCAGGCCTCCTGGCTCCTAGTTTTCTTCCTGAATTCAGATGGCTTGGCCCCCACAATCCCTTTTTGCCACACCCCCACCCTCAGGCTCTCCAACACCCAGACTCCCCCCCGAGGTCCCACAATTTGTCCCCGGCCTTACCCGGGTGGGCAGGGTGAACCCTGCGGGCACAGTGACGGTGGTGAGCATCCAGGAGGGTCTCTGGGTGTTCCAGTGTTTCCAGAGCACATCGGGGCGGCGGCCCTCTTCACCCGAGAGCAGCAGCAGCCTGAGCTGGGCGCCCCAAGACAGCCCGAACATGTGGTGGGCAAAGTGCACACAGAGGGGGCCTTGCTCCCATAGGTCGGGGCTGAGCAGGCGGGCCACTCCCCCACGGTGGAAGCTGTTCGATTCCATATGCAGATAGCTGCCCTCTGGGGGAGGCAGAGCCCAAGACACTGAGGCCCAGCCACCTCTGAGGGCTGCCCCCACCCATCCCCTTCTCAGAGCCCAGGCATCCAGGTCTGGCTGCCTCCCTTCTCTCTCCATCTAGCCACTCCCGCCTCCCAGCCACCTCCCTGCTCATGGTCCCCTGGAAACCATAGCCCCTCACCTCCGTTAGGGTACCCCCCGGGGGCCCCGGTGGAGCCGGTGGGAGAGGGCCCACTGGCTCGAACCCAGTCTTCATCGTCTGCGGACACTTGGGACCAGTCACAGAGGGGTTTGGCGTCATCCTCAAAATCACACTGGGTGAGGACATCTAGGAAGAATGGGTCACAGTGAGGTTTCAGAGAGGGCAGGGGCAGGGCCCAGAGCCACACAGGGAGAGGGAAGTAGCAAGATTGCTACACTTAGAGAAAGCTGCCATGAAATCAGCCGGGTGTGGTGGCGCACACCTGTAGTCCCAGCTACTGGGGAGGCTGAGGCAAGAGAATCGCTTGAACCCAGGAGGCGGACTTTGCAGTGAGCCAAGATCGCGCCACTGCACTCCAGCCTGAGGGACAGAGGGAGACTCCGTCTCAAAGAAAAGAAAAAGAAAGCTGTTGCAAAGCCTTGGGGTCCAGAGCAGAAATTGCTCGTCTGTTTTTTGTGGAGATGGAGTCTTACTATGTTGCCCAGGCTGCTCTCAAACTCCTGGCCTCAAGCCATCCTCCCACCTTGGCCTCCCTAAGTGTTGGGATGACAGGTGTGAGCCACAGCACCCGGCCCAGAGCAGAGATTTGAAAGAGAGAATCTTTTAGGAGAAATTCGGGGCTGGGAGAGTGGACAGAATGACAAGGTCCGGGGTCATGAACTGAGGTTGGAGGGCTGGACTTGGCCTGGCAGGACACATTTTGTAGTCCTGGCTGATGCCCGGAGGGGACTGGAGGTGGCTGCTCCTGCTAGGAACTCAGGAACTGGCATTCTGGTGGCAGAATGTGGGTTCGGAGGAGGGAGGAGAAATCTTAGCACTCCTGGTTTCCAACTCACAGTTGTCCCTAGAGCTGCGAACAACCAGCTTCTGGTCCGGAGGCTTCTCTTTCCTTGGGGGTCGTTTGAAGAAAGCAAAAATGCAACTCGTGTCATTATCAAGAATTATAAGATTCAGTGACTGTGAGCTTTCTGAGTGGTCACGTAAGGATGATCAGTGTTTATGCAGTGAATGTGTCTGACTTGACTTTTTTTCTTTTTTTCTTTTCTTTTTTTTTTTTTCCGGCACCCAGGCTAGAGTGCAGTGATACAATCACAGCTCACTGCAGCCTCAAACCTCTGGGCTCCAGCAATCCTCCCACCTCAACCTCCCCAGTAGCTGGGACTACAGGAGCATGCCACCACGCCCAGCTAATTTATTTTTATTTTTTATAGAGATGGGGTCTTTCTATGTTGCACAGGCTGGTCATGACCTCCTGGCCTTATGCAATCCTCCCACTTTGGCCTCCCAAAGTGCTGGGATTACCGGTGGGAGCCACTGTGCTCAGCCCTCTGTTTTTTGTTGTTGTTGAAGTTCTACTTGTTCAAATTCTCCCAAACACACTGCAGGACACCAAGACATCCATCATTTCTTTTTTTTTTTCTTTTGAGATGGAGTTTTGCTCTTGTTGCCCAGGCTGGAGTGCAATGGTGCAATTTCCGCTCACTGCAGTCTCCGCCTCCCGGGTTCAAGTGACTCTCCTGCCTCAGCCTCCCAAGTAGCTGGGATTACAGGCATGCACCACCATGCCTGGCTAATTTTATATTTTTAGTAGAGACAGGGTTTCACCATGTTGGTCAGGCTGGTCTCAACACCTGACCTCAGGTGATCCGCCCGCCTCGGCCTCCCAAAGTGCTGGGATTACAGGGGTGAGCCGCCGCGCTTGGCCTGTCATCCGTCATTTCTTTGCTGCCTCGTACTTAAGTCTCTCTCATCAGCTGGGTCCACCCTGGGTCTTGTCCGTTTCCTGAGGGCCTGACCCCTCAATCCTTCTCTCCTAGGCTTAGATCTGTCTTCCAGCTCTGCACCTCCTCCGTCCCTTCTCACATTGTAGCCCTGTCCCGCTCCCAGAACCCGCCCCTTAATTCCTGTTCAGCAGTCAAGGTCAACCCATTTCCATCCCACCGGGTTTCCCCCTTCCTCTCAAGGTCTTTTTTTTTGTTTTTTTTTTTTTGAGACGGAGTCTCGCTCTGTCATCCAGGCTGGAGTGCAATGGCATGATCTCAGCTCACTGCAAACTCCGCCTCCCAGGTTCAAGCGATTCTCCTGCCTCAGCCTCCTGGGTAGCTGGGACTACAGGTGCACACCACCACGCCTGGCTAATTTTTTGTATTTTTAGTAGAGACGAGGTTTCACCATGTTGGCCAGGATGGTCTCGATCTCCTGACCTCGTGATCTGCCCACCTCAGCCTCCCAAAGTGCTGGGATTACAGGCGTGAGCCACCGTGCCTGGCCTCTCTCCAGATCTTTTGTAGTTAGCCTGCTCGCCCCCTCCAGCTCTGTCCTTCCATATTCCTTACAGCCACCCTCAGCTGACCCTGGTTTATCATTACCCCCTGGGCCCAGCTTACCTGAAAAGGGCAGCCCCCACCAGAAGCAGCAGAGTCCAGACTGGAGGAACCATGAGGACCCTAAGTGGTTGCTCCCAGGGGAGAGGGGAAGGGCACAGTTGGGAGCCTGGACTCCTTTTATTCCCCCCTGGCCTCCTTAGCTTGGCATCCTTCCAAGGATGCCATGAAGAATGAACAGAGAAACACAGAAAAGCTCTGGGAAATTAAAATTATGAGAGTTGAAAGTTACCATCCAGTAGAAGCATCGTAGATTGAAATCGAGGGAAATAAACTAGAGAGAAGAGAAAAAAAAAGAGAAAGAAACAAAAAGGAAACAGGTTTGGAGGATCAATCCAGGAAGTCTAACCTCAAACGAAAGGAGTTCAAAAAGAGAGAACAAAGGAAAAGAAATTATTATTTTAAAAAGAAAAACGCACAAGAAAATATCCAGAACTGAAATATACAAGTCTCTAGATTAAAAAGGTGTCCAGGGTGATGAAAGCATAGAGACCCATGGAAGCACTGGACTTCAGACTATCAGGGGTGAAGAGAAGATCTGAAACACTTTCAGATAGAAAATAACAAGTCATATACCAAGGATCAGAAATCAACATGGCATCCAGCTTTTCAATAGCAACCATGGAGTCTAAGAGCCAGTGGAACATTGTCTGCAGAATTCCAACAGAAAACCATTTCAAACCTAAAATTCTATAACTGGCAACAGTGGCAACTGGAGAGTTAGGTGAAGGAAGGACTGCAAACGGCTGGACGTGGTGGCTCACACCTGTAATCCCAGCATTTGGGAGGCCAAGGCGGGTGGATCACTTGAGGTCAGGAGTTCGAGACCAGCCTGGCCAACATGGCAAAACCCCATCTCTACTAAAAATACAAAAAATTAGCTAGGGGTGGTGGCACATGCTCATAATCCCAGCTACTCAGGAGGCTGAGGCGCAAGAATCACTTGAACTTGGTAGGCGGAGGTTGTAGTGAGCCGAGATCGCGAGACTCCAAGTCAAAAAAAAAAGAAAAAAAGGACTGCAAATGCCTACTGGCAAATCACGGAGAAAGATAAGTCACAGAGGAAGAGATACAAACAGGCAGCAAACATTTGAAAAGCTGTTCTGCTTCACTAGTAATAAGGGAAATGCTAATCAAAACTATGACTCTTATATTGACCAAAAAAAAATTTTTTTTTCTTTTTTTTGAGACAGGGCCTCGTTCTGTCACCCAGGCTGGAGCGCAGCAGCATGACTTGGCTCATTACAGCCTCAAACCCCCGGGGTCAGGTGATCTTCCCATCTTAGCCTCTGGAGTAGCTGGGACTACCAGTGCATGCCACCAAGCCCAGCTAATTTTTGTATATTTTGCAGAAATGGGGTTTTGCCATGTCTCCCGGGCTGGTCTTAAACTCCTGGGCTCAAGCAGTCTGCCTGCCTTGGCCTTCCAAAGTGCTGGAATTACAGGCATGAGCCACTGTGCCCAGCCGACAAAAATTTGAAAGATTGGTAGTACGGAGTATTGGACAGGATGCAGGTAGATACGAACTCAGTGATGATAAGACTGTAGGTTGGTGGCCAGGTGCAGTGGCTCATGCTGGTAATCCCAAGTGCTTTTTGGAGGCCGAGATGGTAGGACCGCTTGAGGCTAGAGACCAGCCTGGGCAAAACAGTGAGACCCTGTCTCTACAAAAAATTTAAAAATTAACCAAGCATGGCAGTATGTGCCTGTAGGTCCCAGCTGGTTGTGAGGTTGAGGCGGGAGGACTTACGCGTTCAAGGCTGCAGTGAGCTATGATCAAGCCACTGTACTCCAGCCAGAGCAACAGAGCGAGACCCTGTCTCAAAACAAAACAAAAAAAGAATGTTGGTGAAAACTTTTTTTTTTTTTTTGAGACAGCGTCTCACTCTGTTGCCCAGGCTGGAGTGCAGTGGTGCCGTCACAGCTTACTGCAGTCTCAACCTCCCAGGCTCAAGCAGTTCTCCCACCTCAGCCTCCCGGGGTGTCTGGGATTACAGGCACAAGCCACCATGCCTAGCTAATTTCTGTTTGTTTTTTTTGCTTGCTTGTATTGTAGAGATAGGGTCTCACTATGTTGCCCAGGCTGGTCTCAAACTCCTGGGCTCCAGTGATCCGCTTGCCTCAGCCTCCCAAAGTGCTGAGATTACAAACATGAGCCACTGTGCCCAGCCGGTGAAAACTTCTTAGAAGGCATTTGTTTTTTGGTTTGTTTGTTTGTTTTGGGGGAGGAGTCAACCCAGCCTAGAGAGCAATGGCACAATCTCAGCTCACTGCAAACCTCCACCTCCCGAGTTCAAGCAATTCTCTTGCCTCAGCCTCCCAAGTAGCTGGGATTAACAGGCATGTGCCATCACACCCGGCTAATTTTGTATTTTTAGTGGAGATGGGGTTCCATCATGTTGGTCAGGCTGGTCTCGAACTTCTGACCTCAGGTGATCCACCCACCTTGGCCTCCCATAGTGTTGGGATTACAGGTGTGAGCCACAGTGCCTGGCCAGAAAACTTCTTAGAAGGCATTTGACAATGACTGTTGAACTTTCAAATGTGCATATCTTTGACCTAACATTTCTAGGAAACTTGCTACAGAAATACATGCACTTTGCACAAATTTGCGGATACCCAAAGATATTAATTGCAACATTGTTTACAATAGGAAAAGTTATGATAAATATTTATCAGTAGGTATGTAATTGGATCATATTAAGAAATGGCCGGAGGCCGGGCACGGTGGCTCATGCCTGTAATCCCAGCACTTTGGGAAGCCGAGGTTGACAGATCACTTGAGGTCAGGAGTTCAAGACTAGCCTAACTAACATGGTGAAACTCCATCTCTACTAAATACAAAAAATTAGTTGGGCATGGTGGTGCATGCCTGTACTCCCAGCTACTCGGGAGGCTGAGGCAGGAGAATTGCTTGAACCTGGGAGGCAGAGGTTGCAGTGAGCCAAGATCGCGCCATTGCACTCCAGCCTGGGCAACAAGAGCAAAAATCTGTCTCAAAAAGAAAAGAAAAGAAAAGAAAAGAAAAGAAAAGAAAAGAAAAGAAAAGAAATGGCCGGGCGCGGTGGCTTGTGCCTGTAATCCCAGAACTTTGGGAGGCCAAGGTAGGAGGATTGCTTGAGCCCAGGAGTTCGAGACCAGCTTGGGCAACATAGCGAGAACCCACCCTCTACACAAAAAATACAAAAATTATCTAAGCATGGTGGTGCACACCTGTAGTTCCAGTTACAAAGAAGGCTGAGGCGGGAGGGTCGCCTGAGCCCAGGAGTTCAAGGCTGCAGTGAGCTATGATTGTACCATTGCACTCCAGCCTGGGCAACACAAGGAGACTCTGTTTCTAAAAAGAAATAAATAAAAGAAAAAGAAAGCCCTTTTGCAATCCCCAGGACCGCTTCTGCCCAAATGAGGCTGAAGAGCCTCGCCATGGAATGCCAACAGAGCTCAGGCAGGGATCACATCTGAGGACTGAGAGCACCCCCCTGCCTGTTTATGTCAGACCTGGGGATATCAATGGTGTCCATCCCAAGCCCTTGTCCACCCTTCCTCCATACCAGGTTAGCAGAGGAATTAACAGAGGGGCCAGGGCCAGGAAATGGTTAACCCAGGGAAGAGGAGCAGAAGACATTGATCATAGCCACTCCCTGTTGGGCAATAAGTCCCCTGGTAGCTGCTTTAGCTGACCTCCCTTTGGGACCACAGAGCTGGGGGTCACAGCTCCCAATCCGTCTGGAAGTGGGGGTGGGGGGCTCACGGCAGGACAGGAAAGTGGGGGAGGACCCTTGGGCCCTGTATTTTAGGGAGCCAGGAACCAGCAACGCCCCAGAGACTGGCAACCTTGACAAGACTGGCAGCTGTGGGAACAGGTGTGAGAGACCTTGGGCTGTGGAAAAGCCCTTGAGAGAACTGGAGCCCAGTCCTAAATTTGCTGTGTGTCTTTGGGAACTTTTCTCACCCTCTCTGTGTCTTAGTTCCTTCCTCTGTAAGATTGGGGAGGAGGCTCAATCAGTACAGCCAAGATTTTTTTAAAGCCAGAAATCTATGATGTTGGCTGGGTGCAGTGGCTCACACCTATAATCCCAACACTTTGGGAGGCCAAGGTGGGCAGATCACCTGAGGCCAGGAGTTCAAGATCAGCCTGGCCAACATGGTGAAACCCCGTATGTACTAAAAATACAAAATTAGCTGGGCATGGTGGTGCGCACCTGTAGTCCCAGCTACTCAGGAGGCTGAGGCAGGAGAATCTCTTGAACCCAGGAGGGGTAGGTTGCAGTGAGCCGAGATCGCACCACTGCACTCCAGCCTGGGTGACAGAGTGAGACTCTGTCTCAAAAAATAATAATAATAATAATAATAAAAGAAAGAAATTTATGTGTGGCAGTCACTTTTTTTTTTGAGACAGTGTCTTGCTCTATCACCCAGGTTAGAGTTCAGTGGCTCAATCATAGCTCACTACAACCTCAGCCTCCCAAGTAGTTGGAACTACAGTCTATTTTTTAGTAGCCCAGCAAATTTTTTATAGAAACAGGGATCTCACTATGTTGACTAGGCTGGTCTCAAACTACCAGCCTCAAGTGATCCTCTCACCTTGGCCTCCCACAGTGCTGGTATTACAAGTGTACATCACCGCGCCCGGTCACGTAATTTTTTTTTTATCTTGTTTTGCCCTTGTTGCCCAGGCTGGAGTGCAATGGTACGATCTTGGCTCACTGCAACCTCCGCCTCCCAGGTTCAAGCAATTCTCCTGCCTCAACCTTCCAACTAGCTGGGATTACAGGCATGCACCACCACACCCAGCTAATTTTTTATTTTTAGTAGAGACGGGATTTCACCATGTTGGTCAGGCTGGTCTCGAACTCCTGACCTCAGGTGATCCGCCCACCTTGGCCCCCCAAAGTGTTGGGATTACAGGCGTGAACCACTGGCCATTTTTAATAATCAATTTTCTTAAATAAAGAAGGGAGTTTAGAGACATTTGGCCATGACTCCCATAAATTGAGAAACTATACTATCGTCTATTTATTTGTTGCCAACAATCCTTCACAATGCCACAGTTTTATGATGGAATTTTAGTAGAATTAACTTTCACCATCTTCAAATAATATTATTAGCCTTCAGCTTAGATTCCAGTGTCTAAAAGACCCTGTTTAGCTAATGCAACTCCAGCAACAAACCCTACTGTGGTAAGATCACCTACTGAACTACAGTTCAGTAGTTCCAGCAGAACCCTAGGTGACTGGCCAGGCACAGTGGCTCACGCCTGTAATCCCAGCACTTTGGGAGGTTGAGGCAGGTGGATCACCTGAGGTCGGGGTTCGAGACCAGCCTGACCAACACGGAGAAACCCTGTCTGTACTAAAAATACAAAATTAACCAGGTGTGGTGGCACATGCCTGTAATCCCAGCTACTCAGGAGGCTGAGGCAGGAGAATCATTTGAACCCGGGAGGCAAAGTTTGCAGTGAGCTGAGATCGCGCCATTGCACTCCAGCCTGGGCAACAAGAGCGAAACCCCATCTCAAAGAAAAAAAAAAAGAATCCTAGGTGACCTGTGAACTAGGGACAGGTCTTTGTTCAGCCTGATGCTTGGGCCCAGAGGGAGGATTTGAGTCAGTGAGTACCCAAGAGCGAGAGGCTGCAGTTAAGATGGAGAGCTGGGGCTGCAGGAGGTGGCTGAGTTGGCTCCTAGCGCAGTACTCAGAGCAGGGAGTTGGGAAGAAGGGAAGTTGGTAGGTACTTTCTGCCTATGCAGGGAAGAAGCAGGATCCCAAGGCAGGGGATTGAATGGGAAGGAGTCGGTCGTGGAAGATGGACACGCCTTGCTGACCACAGCTGTCTCATTCACTCCATCTCTTCTCTTTCCTCTCCCTGGTGATCCTGGGTCAGAGAGAAAAGGGACTCTCTCTCTCTCTCTTTTTTTTTTCTTTTTGAGACGGAGTCTCGCTCTTGTTGCTCAAGATGGAGTGCAGTGACTCGATCTCTCAGCTCACTGCAACCTCTGCCTCCCAGGTTCAAGCAATCCTCGTGCCTCTGCCTCCCAAGTAGCTGGGATTACAGGCATGCACCACCACACCTGGCTAATGTTTGTAATTTTAGTAGAGATGGGGTTTCACCATGTTGGCCAGGCTGGTCTCAAATTCCTGACCTCAAGTGATCCACCCACCTTGGCCTCCCAAAGTGCAGGGATTACAGACTTGAGCTACCACACCCGGACTTTTTTTTTTTCTCTCTTTTGAGCCAGGGTCTTGCTCTGTCACCCTGGCTGGAGTGCAGCGCTGCAATCATAGCTCAATGCAGTCTCAAATCCCTGGGTTCAAGTGATCCCTCCTGCTTCTGCTGGGCCTACAGGTGCACACCATCATGCCCCACTGCTTTAAAATTTTTTTTAGAGACAGGGTCTCCCTATGTTTCTGGGGCCAGTCTGGAACTCTTGTGCTCAAGCCCTCCTCCTGCCTCAGTCTCCCAAAGTGCTGGGATTACTAGTATGAGCCACTTCGTCCAGCCCCATCTCCGTGTTTTATGACCTGGGCAAGGCCCATAATCTCTTTGGGCCTCAGTTTCCTCCTCTGCAAAATGGGGACCCTCCATCATCCCTGCCTTCCTCTTGGCGTTAGGAGAGCAAATGAAAAGCATGCCAGGAAATCACATGCTTTTCATGTAAATAGCCAAGCTCTCTACAAACAGAAGGCATCATCTTTAAACAATTATGTAACCCCTTGACTCAGAACTAGGCTTTGCTGGCTCCTGTCCCCACCAGAAAGTCAAAAGTGTTGGCTCTGTCACTTTCCAGCAGAACTTAGTTCCCCATCTGACAAATGGGGATGATACTCATTGTATTCCTGCTTCGTGGAGTTCGGGTGAGAATCGCAGCATGCAGATGCCACAGATTGAATGTGTTGTTAATTATAACCATGATCACAGTTCAGAGGAAAGTTCCTTTCCTGGCCTGCACTCGAAGAACCTCTGAAATCTGGCAACACCCTCCTTGGGAATCTGCCTCTCAGCACAGACTCTGGGCCTCGCTTAGTTCTTCTAAATCCTGTGGTTCTTCCCTTCCCCGGCCTCTTGGCATTGCACAGCTTAGCACTCAGTCCCATACCAAAATGACTACGTCTGAATTAATGTGCGTCAAGGCCAGGTGCAGTGGCTCATGCATGTAATCCCAGCATTTTGGGAGACTGATGAGTGGATCACCTGAGATCAGGAGTTCGAGACCAGGCTGGCCAACATGGAGAAACCCCATCTCTACCAAAAAACAAAACAAAAACAAACAAACAAAAAAACACAAACACACACACACAAACTAGCCGGGTGTGGTGGCATGTGCCTGTAATCCCAGCTACTCGGGAGGCTGAGGCACAAGAATTGCTTGAACCCAGGAGGTGGAGGTTGCAGTGAGCTGAGATTGTGCCACTGCCCTCCAGCCTGGGTGACACAACAAGACCCTGTCTCAAAAAATAAATAAATAAAATAAAATGAATTAATGTGTGCCTTTTTTTGCCCCCAGGAGGCTGCCCACTGGCCACTGGGCTATGAGTGTCATTTCATGTCTCCTAGCACTTAGTGCAAAGGCTTGGTTCACAGTAGCCATTCTATAAACTTGGAATAAATGTTTTAAATGTTTCTAACGTACTTGCCTCTCACATCCATCCCAGGAGTGGTCAGACAGTTCAGGTTTGATAACTACTCTTTTTGTGGGGGAGGGGATGGGATCTTGCTCTGTCACCCAGGCTAGAATGCAGTGGTGTGATCACAGCTCACTGCAGCCTCAACCTCCCAGGCTTGAGTGATTCTCCCACCTCAGCCTCCTGAGTAGCTGGCACTACAGCTGCATGCCACCACATCCAGCTAATGTTTAAATTTTTTTGTAGAGATGGGGGTCTCACTATGTTGCCCAGGGTGGTCTCAAACTCCTGAGCTCAAGGGATCCTCCCACCTCAGCCTCCCAAAGTGCTGGGATTACAGGCGTGAGCCACAACATCTGGTTGAAAATTACTATTTTTTTATTATATTTTAGAAACTGAAAGCAGTGAGAAGTCTGAAGACAGTTGTGGAATAAGATCAGTGACCCTGAATCCTGCAGACGGAGAGGAGGGAGGCAAAAGCGGGTTGCTCATTGATGAGATGTTTGAGCCTTAGACTACAAATCAGGCTAAGAGGTGGACAGCCTTTGGGATTAGGAGTCCTAAATCCTGTGCTCAGGTTCTAGCTCAGTCTCTTATTAGCCAGATTCCTTCGGCTTAAGAACAAGCCTCTTAGCTCCGATGTCAGCAGCCTAAGAGGGAGATTTCTCCTTTACTGACTCACAGCATTCCTGGTGCAAGAATCAAATGCCATCTGTGGAAACCACAATATAAATGTGTATTGAAATGTACAAGGTCACAGCCGGGCGCGGTGGCTCACGCCTGTAAACCCAACACTTTGGGAGGCCGAGGTGGGCGGATCCTCTGAGCTCAGGAGTTTGAGACCAGCCTGGTCGACCTGGTGAAACTCCATCTCTACTAAAAATACAAAAAATTAGCCAGGTGTGTTAGCAGGCGTCTGTAGTCCCAGCTACTCGGGAGGCTGAGGCAGGAGAATCGCTTGAACCCGGGAGGCGGAGGTTGCAGTGAGCCGAGATCGCGCCACTGCACTCCAGCCTGAGTGACAGAGTGAGACTCCATTGAAAAAAAAGAAAAGAAAAGAAAAGAAAAGAAATGTACAAGGTCAGAGCCCTAAGGATCTATCGCTTGTAGGTTTCTCTAGCAGTTCCTAGTAAGACCTGAAGAGGGCACTGTAGCCCACGAGCCGGTTAGAACAGAGGGAAAATTCTCTTGGGTCCTCCCCTTTGGCGACTCCTCGCATCCCAGCTCCACACCTACCGCCCCGCTCCCTACACACCTGTCAAGTACCCTCCAACCTCCAAAACCTTCCCGTAATTTTTCCTGCTGCGGATTGCAAAACATTCTCTCCCGTTTGCATATGTGCAGGGGAACACAGGCTGACTTCTCTACAGTTGATGATACAAGCAGAAAGACCGGCCCTCACATATGGGATAACAACCAGGATCGGGGTCCCATACAGTTGTTTTTGTTTGTTTGTTTTTGTTTTGTTTTTGAGACAGAGTTTCGCTCTTGTCGCCCAGGCTGGAGTCCAGTGGCACGACCTCGGCTCACTGCAACCTCCGCCTCCCAGGTTCAGTGATTCTCCTGCCTCAGCCTCCAGAATAGCTGGGATTACAGGAGCCCACCACCACACCCGGCTAATTTTTTGTATTTTTAGTAGACATGGGGTTTCACCACGTTGGCCAGGCTGGTCTCAAACACCTGACCTCAGATGATCCACCCACCTCAGCCTCCCAAAGTGCTGGGATTACAGGCATGAGCCACCGTGCCTGGCCTCCCATACAGTTTTATGACAGCTTTTGCTGTCTGCACAGGTCCCTCCTCAGTGGTCCTTTCCCGCTGAAGCATTATTTTTGAGAAGGAATCTGAAGTTGTGGTCAGAGTAAAGGGGAAAATGAGAAGTAGAAATCAAGAGTGGAAGTAGAGTTCATTTGTTCCATGTCCCCCACCCCAGGGGAGTAAAGGAGCAGGTAGGGATTAGGTAGAAGGAATAAACCAGGCGCAATGGCTCACACCTATAATCCCAGCACTTTGGGAGGCTAAGGAGGGAGGATCACTTGAACCCAGAGTTTGAGACCAGCCTGGGCAACATAGCAAGACCCCATCTCTAAAAAAAATAAGATAAAAATAATTTAAAAATTAGCAGGGCATGGCGATGCATGCCTTTAGTCACATCTACTCATGAGGCTGGGACTAGAGGATTGCTTGAGCCCAGGAGTTTGAGGCTGCAGTGACCCATGATTGCACCACTGCACTCCAGCCTGGGCAACAGAGCAAGACACTGTCACTAAAAACAAACAAACAAACAAAATCACAAATATATAAATGGACCACCTAGAGTGGCCCTTGTCCCCGAGCAGATGCTGTTTATAGAGGTGGCTCCAACCGCACCTGTGTGTACCGCCCCTTTTGTGAATTTCAGAGGCGAGTATTCATGGTGACAGTCCCCAGGTGAGTAAAGGAGGCAGCTGGACTTAGCGAGGATGTGCATTGAGGCGGAAGGCTGATGCTGGGAGTGTGGCATCAGCCGAAGAGACCAAAGAAGAGGCAGAAATTAACAAGGGCCAGTGACCAGGGTTGGCAGCTGTTACCAGCCCCCAAAACTCCCAAAAGGACCCGTCCTCTGGCCTCCCTCTCCTTGATGACAATCTCAGCGCACTGCAGCCTTGCCCTGGGCAGGGTTGGCAGCTGCCTTACTGCGGTGAGGCCTTGAATGGAGCCACCTTATTGACCAGCGTAGGCAGAGCTTGTGGCCTCAGGCCCGGTAGGGTCGAGAGGTCAGACAGGCTGTGTGAGACAGCACGTAGGGCCCAGCCCCCTCCACCCCTCGTTTCCCGGACCTGGACCTGCTGCACTGCTGCCAGGAGTGGGACAGAGCCAGGGGATTTGGAGGTTCCCAGAAAACAGAAAAGCCAAGAGTCATATTGGTGGTTTCAGTTCTTGTCAATGAGGTTGAAGAATACACAAAACTTGGACCCCATGAGAGCCAGAGGCCAGCCCCCATCCTGTCTTCATGGTTCCCACCACCCCGGTGTCAAGGGGGCTCTTGCCACCAAGGGAGTGCCCATGCCCGTGAGACCTGGAGAAGTCACAGCTTGCCACCTAAGTTATCCAGGTCATCCTGTCCCTGATGGTAGGTGCGAAAACAGGTAAATCGCCTCCAAAGCGTGTCCTGGCATCAAATTTTGCAGGGTGCCGAGTGAGCTCAGGCGTCTTCCCAGCATGGCTCTGTCCCTGAGTTTAAAGCTGCTCTCTGAATGCTTCCTGCTCTGGGCCCTCAAGTTGGCCCTGTGACATCCTTAGATCTCAGAGTTGCTCTCTGGACAGTTCCTCTGGCCCCTGAGATGTCATTGCTGGCACTGGAGTGTCCATGGGACAGGCTGGCGCTGAGCTGAGAGCCCCTCGACGGGGTTCAGGAGTGGCGGGGGAGGGTGTGGCACAAGCAATGTTGGTGAGGGAGGTGGTGGATATGCCCAGGTGGACACACCTGGTCATCTGTCCCCTGTCCTGCAGGCCTCCCCTGTGTACAGCTTCAGCTTTCCCCGGAGGAAATTGGAGTAGACTCGGAAGAGTTTGCGGAAAGTGTCAGCAGTGATTGTTCGGAGTGGAGCAGCTGAGGCCGCATCTGGAGGGGAGATGGCTTCCTTCTGCCAAGGAGAAAACAGGAGGTCGCTGCAGTGCCACAGAAAGGGAAGGAATACGGACAGTTCCTGTACTCCTTAGCAAGACCCTTCTCCCCTTCTTACAGAAAGGGCAAGCAGAAGTGTCCGCTCCTACTCACCTGGGCTCCCAGAGCCCGAAGCAGAGTGGTGAGGCTGCGAAGGCCACTGACGGCTTTATCCACATGCAGCTGCAGGGGCTCCCACGGCTGGGAAGAGTTGACCAACAGGGCCTGGCCCCGCAGGACAGCTTCCGACAGCAGGGCCAGGCCCTGCCAGACTTCTACGGCCTGCTGCCCGACCTACAGGGAGTGGACTCTGGGAGTCAGCTGACCCATGTCACCCTCTCCCTCCTGCCCCTCAGCAGCCCCAAGCACCAAGCTGAGCAAACAGAAGGTATGCAATAAGACTTGTTGAATGAATGAATGAATGAATGAGTGAGTGAGTGAGTGAGTGAATGAATAATGAATGTATTCCATACAGCCCTCATTATTTTTCTTTTTTCTTTTCTTTTTTGAGACAGGGCCTCACTCTGTCACTGAGGCTGGAGTGCAGTGGTGTGATCACAGCTCACTGCAGCCTCAAATTCCTGGGCTCAAGCGATCCTCCCGCCTCAGCCTTCCAAATATCTGGGACTACCACCATGCACCACCTCACCTGACTAATTTTTTTAAATGTTTGTAGAGATGGGGGATCTCACTATGCTGCCTAGGTTGGTCTGAAACTCCAGGGCTCAAGCAATTCTCCCATCTCGGCCATCTCAGCCTGGGATTATAGACGTGAGCCTCTGCGCCCAGGCAGCCTCATCTCTGCTGCTCCATTTTACCTTTCCCTCGATCATTCTCCCTTTCATCCAAAATCAGGCTCGCAAATGAGATTCTCCAAAAGAAAGGAAAAAAAAAAAAAAAGGAACTCACCTCCATCCTCTTCCAGGCATAGAAATTAACTTTGGTGTCTGGGACAGTGATATTCTCATTCAAGCTGCAGTGTTCAGCACAGCCCGTCTGAAATGCACACAGCCCGGGGAGTCAAGGGTCCCTGAAGGCTCTGGCCCTGGCCCACAGGCCGTAGGATCTGCTGGCTTTGCTCCTTGCCTAGTTTCCAGGTATGGTTTGGGGCCACCAGACTTATTCTTATGTAGGGGGGCAGTGTCTAGCTTCCCAACTCCACCCCAAACCAAGTGCCAGGTTCCTGGATCTGGGAGGAGTTCCCTGAAGCCCTGAGCGTGAGTTCTGTGGAATGTGCTGGGGAAGGGGTCTCACCGTGATATTCTCGGCCTCCTTGGCCTCCAAGAGGTACCTCTCCAGGACTCGGCTGTCACAGATGAGGCGTGGTGGGGCGCCCAGGACTGGGAGGCCCAGAGGGAGCGACAGCAGGGACAGGAGAAGCCACAGCCAGGCAGGACATTCTAGAACAGATAGCCAGGCTGAGAGTCAGGCGGGGAGGGAGAAGGGTGGCTGTGGAAGGACAGCTTCCTTCATCCCCACGTCTCTGCCCCAGCTCGTCCTTCCTGTCCCCAACCATGCAAGCACTCAGGTGCTGCCTCCCTGGCCTTCATTCAATCCTGCTGCCGTGTGCACACCCCACCCCCAGCTACCAGCATCCACTTCTCCGGCCAAACTTCAATCCTGGTGTGACAGAGGCTTCCCCTCTGGCAGATAAGTGGTGGCTCCAGCGCCCAGGTTATCAGCTTATCAGCTTCCTCTCCACTGGCACAGCAGAACCCCCAAACCTTCTTCCCCTCAACCCCCAAACTGTGTCCCCTTCACAGGTCAGGTTTTTGCCATCCCCAAGGACTCCCCCAAGTCCCCGCTGGCACGTGGAGGCTGCCCCACCCCCCTCCCCCTTCCGGGGTCCTTGACAAGTCGCCGGTCCTTGAACCCAGCCACCTCCTGGCCAATAGCCGGGGCGCTAAATCCCCGCTCAAACAGGGACCCGGGCGGGCGGGAGCGCCCAGCCCGCGAGTACTCACCGTGCACCCCCATCTCCGCGCCTGGCCGGGGTCCCTCAGCGACCTGGGGCGCGCCGGGTGACCACACCGGGGGCCCTCATCCCGGGAAGCTCGGCGGTGCAGGGCCAGCCCCACGGGCCTGGAGGAGAGGGCGGCTGTCCAGGGGGCGCGGTGTCGGAGCAGAGCGGGCGCGGTGGCCCCGGTCCGGCTCCGGGAGGACAGCGCGGTGCGGCGCAGCGCAGCGAGCGGCCGGGGTGGCCCAGGGACTCTGCGGCTCTGGCCGGGGGTCGGGGCTGTTATCTGCATGTGTGCGTGCGCGGGTGGGGGTGGGGGAGAGGCTGTGTGCGTGAGGGGTCGCCAGGGGTAGGGGCCACCCGGGGTCAGAGCAGGGGCAGGACGCCTGGGTTGAGGCTCGCCGGGGCGTGAGCGGGGCTGCTGCAGACGTGCGTGTGGGTCATGGGGGCTGCTCCCGGGCCCTGGGTCGCGGGAGGGGAGTGCAGCCGGTTGCGCACCCTTGGGACTGGCGGAGCGTGCTATCTGGGAAAGGCTGGGCTCCCGGACACCTCCCCTGGGGGGCATCCCGGTCTTGGGCGGAGACTCAGAGATGCCTGGGTTGCTGAGTTCCGCAAAGTAGCTGGGTCTGGAAGCCCAGAAGCTTTAGGGAGGGGCAAATGAGTGGTCTCCCTTCCCACAATCCCAGGACATGTTCTAGAAACAATGTTGACCATGTTGAGGAATTTGATGGGGGCAAATAGGGCAAGAAATTTGGGGTTCTTCCTCCCCACCTCACTCCTCACCGTCTAGTACTCTGCAAACCCAGACACTTAACTTTTTTTTTTTTTTCTGGAGATGTAGCCTCCCTATGTTGCCCAGGCAGTGCAGTGGTGCCATCTCCCGTTCACTACAACCTCTGCCTCCTGGGTTCAAGCAATTCTCCTGCTTCAGCCTCTGGAGCAGCTGGGACTACAGGCACACCTTTACACCCGGCTATGTTTTGTATTTTTAGTAGAGATGGGGTGTTGCCATATTGCCCATACCGGTCTTGAACTCCTGACCTCAGGTGATCCACCCTCCTCGGCCTCTCAAAGTGCTGGGATTGCAGGCGTGAGCCACCGCACCCAGCCCCCACCCCAGACACTTAACTTTTAGTGCACAGAGCACACAGTCCATTGTGCAGGACACACATGCACCTTGACATCTGTTTATTTGACCTGTGGTGTAGGTTAGCTAGGCTGCATTGCTGAGTTCTTAAGAACACTGAAATACAGCTAACACCAAGAGTGATGGGGGCTGGGATTTACAGCTAAGGTTTTATGGCTTCTGGAAACCCTGAGCCAGAGGAGTGAGATTCCCAGAGCAGGAGACCAAGACTAGCTGGTCTCTCACACCTTAGAAAGTGGCCTCGTCCTTGAGCCCTCAATGTCCTCATCTGTCAAATGGGTGTGGTGAAACTACCAGCCTATCCCATTCAGGTTTCATAAAAGACAGGAAAGGTCCAGGCGCCGCAGCTGACACCTATAATCCCAGCACTTTGGGAGACCAAGGCAGGAAGATCCTTTGAGCCCAGGAGTTCGAGACCAGCCCGGACAACATGGCAAGACCTTGTCTCTAAAATAAATAAATAAATAAAAAATAATTAGTCAGGTGTGGTGGCTCACGCCTGTAGTCCCAAATATGCAGGAGGCTAAGGCAGGAGGATCACCTGAGCCCAGGAGTTCGAGGCCGTAGTGAGCCATGATCGTGCCACTGCACTGCAGCCTGGGCGACAGAGTGAGAGCCTGTCTCAAAAACAAAAAAAGACTGGAATGTGTAGATCTGAGCTGTAAGAGTTAGCCGGGAGAAATCAAGAAAGATTTGAGGGAGGAGGTGACAATGACCTCAGCCTTGAAGGGGGGTAGGACATCAATGGGAAGAGGTATGAGGTGGGTGGGGGATTGTCGATTCAGCAAAGTGAATGGAGAGTCAGGTGAGTATTGCGGGATCTGGCCAGCAGCCCGCAATGCAACAGGGCTCTCTCTTTGTTCCCAGGCGGATCAGCAGGTTGAGAAATAATAGACACACACAAGATAGTGAAAGCTGGTCCGGGGGGTCACCGCCTTCTGGTCCCGTGGTGTCAACAATGCACCAGATGTACCATCATTTATTATTAAGTTTAGTGAGGGCGGGGGTAGGTTAGTGAGGGATTTAGGGTCATTTGATTATGAGGTGAGATGGTCACATGGGGATGAATTAATTCTTTAACATAACATTTATATGTAGAAGTACAGTACATTTGTATGCAGAAGTACAGTATACAGAGATAAGAATTTACAATATAGTGTGTGCATCAGTAATTTCTAACAGAGCCTTAAAACAGAAACACAATCTTTCCATAACCTATGATTAGCAAGATACTAATCAGCAGTAACAATTGCAACAAAAGCTGGTTACAGACAATCCATGGAAACAGGACATGAAGCTAGACAACCAGTTAGACCAGAAATTCTCAGAAGGGAGTATGCCTTAACCCTAAAGAGGCCTAGAAGAGCCATGGCAAGATGAGGGCGTTTATAGCCCTATCTTATCCATATGGACAGGTGCCCCCCGCCCCCATGCGTCCGTTTATAGGCTCTCCACAAGGGTCGCATTCCATTCCCAGAGCTATGAACATCTGCTTTTCTGGGATAGAAATCTTGGTGATGTGAAACCTCCCTGACTGCAGGTCCGTTCATAGGCTCTCCGCAGGCGGAAGCACATCACAGGCTGTTGGCTCATTCTGGCAGTCCAACCTGGCATTGTTTGTACACAATCCTGCATGCAATTTTGTATTTACAATAATCAGGAGCATTTCATCTTTTATTCCGTAGCAGTAGTTTCAGGGGGTCTCCCTACAGGTGAGCAGAAGGGAAGATGGAGAAGAGAGAGGTGGAAGATGAGGCCAGGGTGCTGCTTAGGGAGGAGTCAGGCTGTCTATGGCCTTGAATGCCTCTCTGAAGAATTTGGATTTTGTTTGGAAAGAGTGGGAAACATTCACTCATTCATTCAAAAGATATTTATGGATTTCCTACCTACCCCTGGCCAAGGACCTGGGGATAGAGCAGTGAATGATACAGCCAGGAATGCCTGCCCTGGTGGAGCTGATGTTCTAGTGGGGTTGCCAATGATGAACACAAAAATGGGTACAAGACAGAGGATTTTGGCTGGGTGAGGTGGCTCATGCCTGTAATCCCAGCACTTCGGGAGGCCAAGGCAAGAGGATCACTTGAGCCCAGGAGTTGGCTTGACCAGCCTGGGCAACATGGTGAAACCCCATCTTTACAAAAAAATACAAAAATTAGCTGGGCATGATGGCATGTGCCTATAGTCCCAGCTACTTGGGAGGCTGAGGTGGGAGGATCACTTCAGCCCAGGAAGTTGAGGCTGCAGTGAGCTGTGGTTTTGCTACTGCACTCCACCCTGGGCAACAGAATGAGACCCTGTCTCAAAAAAAAAAAAAAAAAAGAAAGAAAAGAAAAGAAAAGATAGAGGATTTCAAATAGCCAGAACTAAGGAGAAAAGGCACAGGCAGGGTTATCTAAAATAAGGTAGTCAGAGACACTAGGCTGAGAAACTGACTTGAATAAAGACCTGTTGGGGGTGAGGGACCATGAGGGTGTGGTGAGGTGAAGAGCTTGATGGGAGGGGGATTTGGGCCAAGTGTAGTGGCTCACACCTGTAATCCCAACATTTTGGGAGGCTGAGGCAGGAGGATTGCTTGAGGCCAGGAGTTTGAGACCAGCCTGGGCAACATAGTGAGATCCCATGTCTATAATTTTTATTTTTGTTTAGCTAGCTGGGCATGGTGGTGCACATCTGTAGTCCCAGCTACTCAGGAGGCTGAGGTCAGAGGATCTCTTGAGCCCGGGAGGTTGAGGCTGCAGTGAGCTATGATCACGCCACTGCACTCTAGACTGGGCAACAAAGGGAGACCCTGTCTCAAAAAAAAAAAAGAAAAAATGAGTGGTTTGGCAAGATGGTTGGGTGGGGGTCAGGAGACAGAGGCTGGTATGCTTCTGGCTGGCCTAATTCCCTCAGACCCTGCTCCCCTGCATCCTCTGCTCACCTTGAGCCTTCCCAAAACTGCTGTCCAGGCTCCCCCAGCCCCACTCGGCTCCTGGTTCTGATCCCTTCCAGAGTCCTGGGACGTGCACCATCACACTCACATCCACACATGGCCGCACGTGCGTTCTGTCTTGGCTGCTCCCCTTCCCCAGCCTCTGCTCTCCCAGGACCCTGACTCCTGCGTCAATGCCCTGACCTAACCATGGAGAGGGGGCCGGAGACAGATGGGTGGGGTGGACACAGCTGGAGGAGGAGGAGCCTTTTGGGCTGTGGGACCTGCCCCTCCCCTCACACAGCTTCTCGGGGGTCCCTGCATCCTTGTCTGCAGTTGAAGAGGAGTGAGAGATGGGCCAGGGGCACCAGCCTCTAAATGCTGTAGCCTGCTGGATAGGAGTAGTGACTGCCTTGTCCCCTGGGGCTTCTGGAGAGAGAGCTGTGATTGCAGCTTGGGAGGGAGGAGAGGATCTTGGTCCACCCCATACCCAATCCGAAGCCATAGTAATTCTCTTTTTGAGATGGAGTCTCACTCTATTGCCCAGGCTGGAGTGCAGTGGTGCCATTATCTCAGCTCACTGCAACCTCCACCTCCCGGGTTCAAGCAATTCTCCTGCCTCAGCCTCCCGAGTAGCTGGAATTACAGGCATGTGCCACCACGCCCGGTAATTTTTGTATTTTCAGTAGAGATGGGGTTTCGCCATGTTGGCCAGGCTGGTCTCGAACTCCCAACCTCAAGTGATCCGCCCGCCTCGGCCTCCCAAAGTGCTGGGATTACAGGCGTGAGCCACCACACCCGGCTTGAAGCCATAGTAATTCTGCTAAGAGGGGAGAGGCTGGTTTGGAGCCCAGAGCCTCTTGGATACTGAGCAATGCAGGGTCCATTCATCTGTCCTTGAGGAACAGGAAGAAAACAAGAAGCTCCATGGGGCTCCCCGACCAATGCCCACCATCCCCCTGCCCAGTGCCCCCCACCCCCGTCATCTGCCTGCTCTTCATCTTCTAGCAGATGCTGACCCACAGGCCCAGGACCACTGCAGAGCATCTCCTCATTGACCCCTCCAGTTAATCCCTAACCCTGCTGCTCAATTAACTTTCCCACTGAACAGCCTCATTTGTGCTAATTCCCTGAGCAGGAACCTGTCACGGCTTCCTATTGCCTCAGAACTGAGACCCTCCAAGGTCTACCATTCACTTCATGTTCCAGGCTGTTCTCCCGCTTTGCTCACTCCCACTCCCTCCACCACAGGAGATGGTTTGTGCCTTCCTGCCCTTGGCTCATCCTGGATTACCCTCCCACACCATCTCCTCGTTTTCTTTAAAGCCCAAATCTGTGCATCGCCTCCTCCATGAAGCCTTTCTTGATCTCCCAGCAGGAAATCGTCTCCTTCCCTGGCACTGCCGTCATTTATGTACATGTCTTAGGCATCTCACTGGCAGGACCGCCATGGACAGCCGTCAAAGATGAGCACTGCCCAACTCCCAGGGGCATCCATAGAGACTCTGAAGGGAATGGTACCGTCTGGAGTCACGTAGTGCAGGTGCCCTAGTCATCGAAGAGAGCGAAGGGCTGCGTATGGAAGTTCTGATGCATTTTTCTGTCTACCAAGCGTCCAGCATGTCCCTTTTCTGTGGTAACCACCCAAGTGTGGATTGCATTATGTGGTCCCTCCACTACATGCTCAGAGAAGAACCCAACCTAGAGGGGGCACTGAGCCATCCCCCGGTCAACCCAGCTCCCTGGGATCCTGGGGCGTGTGAAGCTTCCATGCACTTCCTGAGCAGGCAGCCACTGAGGCAGGGTTTGAAAAGGGCCAGTTGTGACAGGAGGATGGCGGGTGTGGAGGCAGGCTCTGCTCCACGGATTCCTCCTGGCAGTGGATTCAGATTGGAAATCCAAGCAGAAGCAAATTTACAGCCCCCCGAGCTGTCCCAGACCCCCAGGCAGCACGGAGCCCCAGCTGCCTGGAGTCGGACTTGGGAAGGGGGGCCTCCTGGCTTCTCTTTCCCTCCTCATTTCCAAGCAGTGGCTTCTCAGCTCAGCTCGAGTTCAGCCAGAGGCCCAGAAGACCTTCTGTGCTGGGAGGGGAGGTGGCTGGGGACCTTGTTGGGTGGCCTTTGGGGAACTGTGAAGGAAGCAAGAATGCTGGAGGGCCAGGCACGGTAGCTCACGCCTGGAATCCCAGCACTTTAGGAGGCTAAGGAGGGAGGATCCCTTGAGCCCAGGAGTTTGAGACCAGTCTGGGCAACATAGGGAGACCCTGTCTCTACAGAAAATTTGTTAGGCATGCTGGCACATGCCTGTAGTCCCAGCTACTCGGGAGGCTGAGGTTGGAGGATTGCTTGAGCCCAGGAGTTGGAAGCTGCAGTTAGCTATGATCGCACCACTGCACTCCAGCCTGGGCGAAAGAACAACACCCTTTCTTAAAAAAAAAAAAAGATGCTGAAGAAGGGATTCCTGCTGGAGAACCAAAGGAAAATCCTTTGCCAAAGTCCTCAAAGGAAAATCCTTTACCGCACCTGGCCTACCAAAGTTTTATGAAGCCTATTCCTGACTGATCCTTTGTTCTCTAAGTAAGGTGATCAAGGAGTTAGTTATCAAACTGATGAGGGGCCGGGTGAGGTGGCTCACACCTATAATTTCAGCACTTTGGAAAGCTAAGGTGATCATTTGAGGCCAGGAGTTCAAGACCAGCCGGGGCAACACAGTGAGACCCTGGCTCTATAAAAAATAAAGAAGTTATTTTTTATAGAGTTATATTTTTTATATAAAAAATAAAGAAGTTAGCCAGGCATGGCGGCACATGCCTGGTGTCACAGCTACTTGGGAGGCTGAGGAAGGATGATCATTTGAACCTAGGAGGTCGAGGTTGCAGTGAGCTATGATCATGCCACTGCACTCGAGCCTGGGGAACTGAGCAAGACCCATCTCTAAATAAGTAAAAATAAAACTGATGAGATACCTCAAGAAGTTATTTTATTGCCCGTTCCACTAACTAATAAATATCTGATGAATGAATGGGTCAGTGGATACATGGATGATGCAGAGGAGAATGGCTTGCTGTCTCCTCTATAACAAGCCTCTGCTCCCTTAAGAAAAGGCAACCGTCTTGTCACTTGAAGAATGCAAACAGAGGGTGGACTTTCGCCTTCACAGGACCTGCTAGATTCCTTCCAACTCAGTCTATTAGTCTTGTTTGCTATTAGACAAATATACTTCCCTGAAAAGGGAAAAATTATTTGCTGGTTGATGAACTAAGACACGAGCAGAAGAGCTCACTTAGGCCGGGCACGGTGGCTCACGCCTGTAATCCCAGCACTTTGGGGGCTGAGACGGGCGGATCACGAGGTCAGGAGTTCAAGACCAGCCTGGCCAATATGGTGAAACCCCATCTCTGCTAAAAATACAAAAATTAGCTGGGCATGGTGGCGCACACCTATAGTCCCAGCTACTCAGGAGGCTGAGGCAGAAGAATCACTTGAACTCGAGAGGCGGAGGTTGCGGTGAGCCAAGATTGTGCCACTGGACTCCAGCCTGGGCGACAGAGCCAGACTCTGTCTCAAAAAAAAAAAAAAAGCAACTTTTATGATGAACTTTTGCTCATTACAAAAACAATACGTGACCAAAATTAGAAAACAGCGCTAAACTCAAACACATAAACTGAAAAACACCCATAATGTCATTAGGGTCTTGGGACCTTAAGTGGCCATTTTCACAGGCTTCCTTCTGGTAGGATGACCTTTGCCTCATCCCAAATCTCTGTGCAATTGGACATCTGTTTCCTAAGGAACTACAATTGACACGTTCTCGTCCAACCTCTCTAGTGGTTTGAGGGTTTGTGAAACACCATTTTTCCCTCAACTCCTGACCAAGCACCAGAAACTCACCTGGGACAAAGTGCTGGGCTTCTCTAGCAGGATCATCAGCCTGATCAAACCACTTAATATTTCAAGGTCCCGTCCCCTTCCCTGCTATGCGAGCCACAACTGAGTCTGGCTCAGTTGTTAGTTTCTACTAATAACTCAGACTTGAGAATTAAACGCACACAAAATTGCCTTCCTTCACTTCTCCCCATTCCTATTAAGAAGCCTAAAACCATTTCTTAGCAAAATGGCTTCATACTAAACAATACTAGCTCTTGGCCGGGCGCAGTGGCTCACGCCTGTAATCTCAGAACTTTGGGAGGCTGAGGCAGGCGGATCACCTGAGGTCACGAGTTCGAGACCAGCCTGGCAAACACGGAGAAACCCTGCCTCTACTAAAAATACAAAAAGTAGCCGGGCTTGGTGGAACGTGCCTGTAATCCCAGCTACTCAGGAGGCTGAGGCAGGAGAATCAGTTGAATCCAGGAGGCGGAGGTTGCAGTGAGCTGAGATCACGCCATTGCATTCCAGCCTGGGCAACAAGAGCACAACTCCGTCTCAAAACAAACAGATAAACAAACAAAGAAAACAATAGTAGCTCTTTTTTTTTTTTTTTTGCCTGTAGTCCTAACTACCTGGGAGGCTGAGGCAGGATTGCTTGAGCCTAGAAGTTTGAGGTTGCAGTGAGCTATGATTGTACCATTGCACTCCAGCCTAGGCTACAGAGTGAGACCCTGTCTCTAAAATAAATAAATAAATAAATAAAATGTAAAAAGGAGGGCAGGGCATTGCATTTGCACACACCTTCTGCCTCCATCTCCTCACCCCTCTCCCGTTTTTCAAGCTTTTTTCTTTTTGAGACTGAGTCTCCCTCTGTCACCCAGGCTGGAGTGCAATGGCACAATCTTGGTGCACTGCAACCTCCACCTCCCGGGTTCAAGCAGTTCTCCTGCCTCAGCCTCCTGAGTAGCTGGGATTACAGGCGCCTGCCACCACGCCCAGCTAATTTTGTATTTTCAGTAGAGACGGGGTTTCACCATGTTGGCCAGGCTGGTCTTGAACTCCTAACCTCAGGTGATCTGCCTGCCTGGGCCTCCCAAAGTGCTGGGATTACAAAGAGACGTGGCTCACTGTTTCTGGCCTCCCAAGCTTTGATGGAAGTCACTTTGGAGAGCCAGTAGAGGGAGGAGAACAGAGGCTGGAGCTAGCCTCCCTACGGTCGGGCCTGCAGGCAGGGTTCCCTGCCCCACCTGCCCTGCATGGACTCTAGTAGATGCAGGAGCCTGGTTCACGCCCCCCCACACACAAAAGAGTGAGCCCCAGGCCCCACTCTTCCTTCAGTGGCAATGTGGAGGTCTGTTTCTGCAGAACTGCCACTGAGGGAAGCCCCACTGGCAAGCAGTGAGAAAACATGGAGTAGAAACAACAAACAAATAGGCTGCAGGAGGGAACTGCCAAAACAAACCAGATGGGAAAGGCTGCCTGCCACCACCTCTGCTGGGCTCAGGCCCGGAGCACATACGTGCAGGGAGACACAGCTCCATCCAGCTTCCTGCCGGCTCCCCGCTCGGCTACTGGGGGGCTCCCGGGCAAGGAAGCCTTGCAGTCAGGCTGATGGAAAGGATGTGGCCTGATAGAAATGTCCGCAGCCAGCCAGGTACGGTGGCTCACGCCTGTTATCCCAGCACTTTGGGAGGCCGTAGGCGGGCAGATCACGAGGTCAGGAGATCGAGACCATCCTGGCCAACATGGTGAAACCCCGTCTTTACTAAAAATACAAAAATTAGCTGGGTGTGGTGGTGCGCACCTGTAATCCCAGCTACTCAGCTACTTGGGAGGCTGAGGCAGGAGAATCGCTTGAACCAGGGAGTCGGAGGTTGCAGTGAGCGAAGATCACGCCACTGCACTCCAGCCTGGCGATAGAGACTCTGTCTCAAAAAAAAAAAAAAAAAAAAGAAATGTCTGCAGCCTTGTCTCCCAGTACCTCTTGCTTTCTAGCCACCTCGAGTCCCTCCAGTCCCAGAACGTAGCTGCCTATTCATTAATCCCCTCCCTGCCCACTGTTTTTTGAGACAGGTTCTTGCTGTTTCACAAGCCCTCAGTCACGGCTTACTGCAGCCTCAACCTCTTGGGCTCAAGCAATCCTCCCACCTCAGCCTCCTGAGTAGCTGGACCACAGGTGCACACCGCCAAGCCCAGTTAATTTTTAAATTTTTGATAGAGACAAAGTCTTACTCTATTGCCCAGGCTGGTCTCAAACTCCTGAGCTCTAGCAATTTTCTCTCTTCGGCCTTCCAAAGTGCTGGGATTACAGGCATGGCCACCATTCCCAGCCAAATCCACCCATCTCCCCGCCCCACTGTGATCTCTCTGCCAAATATGCCATCTCCCTTCTTTTCTGCCTGGCAAACTCCTATACATCCTTCAACACCCAGATCAAAGGTGAGTGAAACCATTTTGGGTCCCACCAGGAAGTTATTAGCCCTTTCCATCTCCACATTTCCTTATCATTGCTACTCTTATGTCTCACACATCTTACTCATTCACAAAAAATTATGTGTCCACCTTCCCAATTAGATGGCGAGCTCCTTGAACATAGGGACCATTTCATACGCAGATGCCAGAGGAAGGGATTTTGATGAATTAGAAGACTGATCTTCAGACCTCCAAACCAAACTACCTTCCTTGAATTAGAGTGAAATTCTGTTCCTAACCTGTAAATCAGAGGCTCTTAAACTCTTATGACCTCAAACGGTAAAAAACACAATGTACATCCTATTATAGTACATATATATATATATATATATATACACACATGCCTAACTGAAAAATTTGCTGGCCAGGCCTAGTGGCTCACACCTGTAATCCCGGCATTTTGGGAGGCTGAGGTGGGTGGATCACCTGAGGTCAGGAGTTTGAAATCAGCCTGGACAACATGGCGAAACCCCATCTCTACTAAAAATACAAAAATTAGCCAGGCGTGGTGGCACACGCCTATAATTCCAGCTACTCAGGAGGCTGAGACAGGAGAATCGCTTGAACCTGGGAGGCAGAGGTTGCAGTGAGCCAAGATTGTGCTACTGAACTCCAGCCTAGGAGATAGAGACTCTGCCTCAAAAAAAACAAAAACATCTGCAATAAAAACACCACCATTTAAGTTGCACTTTTTTTAAAACTTGGGTTCTTTTTTCTTTTTCTTTTCTTTTTTTAGACAAGGTCTTGCTCTGTCGCCCAGGCTGGAGTGCACTGGCGTGATCTCAGCTCACTGCAACCTCCCCCTCCTGGGCTCAGGTCATCCTCCCACCTCAGCCTCCCAAGTAGCTGGGACCACAGTTTTGTGCCACCATGCCCAGATAACTTTTTATATTTTTTGTAGAGATGGGATTTCGCCATGTTGCCTAGGCTGGTCTCGAACTCCTGCGCTCAAGAGACTGACCTGCCTCGGCCTCCCAAAGTGCTGGGATTATAGGCGTGAGCCACCACACCCAGCCTTATTTTTTTTGTTGTTGTTTTTGTTTTTTGAGACGGACTCGCTCTGTCGCCCAGGCTGGAGTGCAGTGGCACAATCTCGGCTCTCTGCAACCTCCGCCTCCCTGGTTCAAGCGATTCTCCTGCCTCAGCCTCTAGAGTAGCTGGAACTACAGGCATGTGCCACCACGCCTGGCTAATTTTTTGTATTTTTAGTAGAGACAGGGTTTCACCATGTTAGCCAGGATGGTCTTGATCTCTGGACCTCGTGATCTGCCCGCCTCAGCCTCCCAAAGTGCTGGGATTACAGGCGTGAGCCACCGCGCCTGGCTTTTTCTTTTTTTAAGAAGCTGTGACCCACAAATGGGTCACAACCCGCTTTGATAAACATTGCTTTAGTTGACTTTAGTTTGATAAATATGAAAAATCAGGTCATCCCACAAATATCCAAACAGAAAGTATTACCTGTGTGCCCAGTAATTATTTGGAGTGAGGGGTTCCTTCGCCACTGGAGCAGCCCAGTGAGAAGGGTCTGAAGGCCGGGCGCAGTGGCTCATGCCTGTAATCCCAGCACTTTGGGTGGCCAAGGCAGGCAGAACGCTTCAGGTCAGAAGTTTGAGACCAGCCTGGCTGACATGGTGAAACCCCTTCTCTACTAAAAATACAAAAAATTGCAGGGCATGGTGATGGATGCCTATAGTCCCGGCTACTCAGGAGGCTGAGGCAGAAGAATCCCTTGAACCCAGGAGGCAGAGGTTGCAGTGAGCTGAGATCGCACCACTGCACTCCAGCCTGGATGACAGAGTGAAGCTGTCTCAAAAAAAAAAAAAAAAAAAAAAAAGGGTCTGAAGGGCTCTGCACCTGAAAGCCCGGGTATCATCTAGGTAGGCCCTGCAGGTCCAGGAATTAAATGAAGCCACTTGTCAGTCCCTACCATGGAGCCTGACACTAAGAAGGTCCTGAAGTCTTAGTTTGCTTCCTTTTTTTTTTTTTTTTTTTTTTTGAGATACGGTCTTGCTGTGTCAGCAAGGCTGGAGGAGTGTAGTGCGGTGATCACAGCTCACTGCAGCCTTGAACTCCTGGGCTCAAGCGATCCTCCTGCCTCAGCTAACGAGGTAGCTGGGATTATAGGTGCAAACCACTACACCCATCTAGTTTTCAAAAATTTTTTGCATTTGGGAGGCCAAGGCGGGCAGATCACTTGAGGTCAGGAGTTCGAGAACAGCCTGGCCAACATGGTGTTTCCACTAAAAAAATACAAAAATAATTAGCTGGGCGTGGTGGCACTCACCTGTAATTCCAGCTACTGGGGAGGATGAAGCAGGAGAATCACTTGAACCCAGGAGCCGAACGTTGCAGTGAGCCAAGATGGCACCACTGTACTCCAGCCTGGGTGACAGAGCAAGACTTCATCTCAGAAAAAAAAAAAAAGTGGTTTTTTTGCATAGACTAGGTCTCAGTATGTCATCTAGATTGGAGTGCAGGTGGCATGATCATAACTCACTGCACCTTCAAACTCCCAGGCTCAAGCACTCTTTCCGCCTCAGCCTCCGCCAGTAGCTCAGACTACAGGCTGGAGCCACTGCACCCAACTAGAAGACGAAAATCTTTAAAACAAACATTGGGGCTGGGCACGGTGGCTCACGCCTGTAATCCTAGCACTTTGGGAGGCCGAGATGGGTGGATCACAAGGTCAGGAGATCGAGAACATCCCTGCTAACACGCTGAAACCCTGTCTCTACTAAAAATACAAAAAAATTAGCCAGGGTGTGGTGGCAGGCACCTGTAGTCCCAGCTACTCAGGAGGCTGAGGCAGGAGAATGGCGTGAACTCAGGAGGTGGAGCTTGCAGTGAGCCAAGATTGCACCACTGCACTCCAGCCTGGGTGACAGAGTGAGACTCTGTCTCAAAAAACAAACAAACAAACAAACATTGGGATGACTGGGTTTCTGCACTGTACTGTTTTGTTACACTGCTCATAGCATAATCTATGCTCTCTATAGAGGCAAGAAACACTTGGGTTCCCCTTTCACCTAGATACCTGTAGCGTTTCCTACCATCCCTATTCAGGCACACACAGAATTTACACAGGAAAGAATCAGTGGCAGTGGGATGGCAGGACACTAGTGCAACAGGATTTTTTATTTATATGGCAATAGTTACAGACCGCATACACACACTCAGGAAGGCCCACTAACTGGGCCCACCAAGAGACAATTACCCCCACCCTCAATGCAGAGTCCTTTGGGCTTCCAGGGAACAGGCCTTTTCTTACATGGCTCTGGTCCGAGGTCCAGTACTCAGCATGCGAAGAGCCATATCACGGAGGGGATAAGTGGAGGAGTGTCTTTTCAATTACTTGGGTGTGACCCTGAAGACTCGGATGTGGATGGCTGAGTTGTTGCGGATCCGAGTCAGTGGCTCCCGTGTGTCGGTCTCTGGCTCCAGCTCATCAACAAGCTCCACGGTGGAGGTATTGGCAGCCACCTGCAAGGACCCGAAGCTGCCCGCCTGCAGCTGCAGCGCGATGTTGATGGCGCGGTTGATGGCCAGGCCCAAGCCGTGAATGTAGATCTCAGAGCACGCGTTCTGACCCCGGGCCCCTCCGTCCAGCAGCTTCTGGCAGCGGGCCAGCTGGGCCTTAAAGTCCGTCTTCATGTTGACATAAATGTCATTGGGTCTCCGGGGCAGGCGGCTGGGAAGCCTTTTCCTAAGGGTGTATTCCACTGGATCCAGTTCAGCCTCCACAGCACCGCGGGGCTCTCGGTTTTCTGCCATGCTGTGTGCCCTGGCGTGGGAAAGGGACGCGATCAGAGGGCTCAGAGGGACCTCGAAGCCTTTCCTACCCCTTTTCCTGTACAAAGGGTGCACCTGGCCGGGCAGTGGCTCACGCCTGTAACCTCAGCACTTTGGAAGGTCGAGGCGGGAGGATCACTGGAGCCCGGGTGTTTGAGATCAGCCTGGGCAACATAGCAAGACCCTGTCTTAAGAAAAATTTTTTTAATTACCCGGGCCGAGGGGGGAGGATCGCTTGAGATCGGGAGTTCGAGGCTACAGTGAGCCGTGATCGCGCCCGCCACTGCACTCTAGCTTGGGAAACAGAGCAAGCCTCTGTCTCAAACAAAAACAAAAACAAAAATAAAGGGTGCACCCGAGAAGGGACACACTCGATGTCCCTGTTTCCTTCCGGCCCCTCGTCCTCTCCCACTCACCTCCAGATCCCGCGTCTCCCCACCCCCCGTTCCGATTCATTCATCGCGTCGCCCTCAAACTCGCGCCCCTCCGCCGCCCCTCCCGTGCTTACTCTCTTCGTTCCACAGGGCCCTCCAGGCGCGCGAGGCCCGCTCCCCGCCAGGCCACTCAAGGGTTCGCCGGCCAGCCCAAGTAACCGCGACCCCAGGTCCCAGAGAAAGAAGGATGTGGGTGCAAGCAGCCAGCCAGCTCGTGGGCGCCCTGCCCGCGCCGGGGTCCTGAACGGGCTGCGGAGTGCGCACGCGCGCCCGTACCCCGCGAGCTATGAATCGCCTTCCCGGCTTCCGTTCGCCCCGCCCCTTCCCTGAGCGCAAGGGCGACTGCGCGAGGCGTTTGAGAAACGCGAGACTTCCGGGCGTGACGGGATCTACACGTGTACGCCTCGGGAACTGGCGGGCGGCCGAGGGCGGGAACCAGGTCCGAGCCGGGGAGGAGCTAGAAAGGGCCGGGTCGGCGTCTCTAGGCCTGGCGGAGTTCCCGGCCGGCGGAGGGGTAGCGTAGGGAAGACACCTGGAGGGGAGGCTGTTCTAGGGGCAGGGTTCTTCCCCATGGGAGCAGGGAAGGGGCCGAGTTCAGGAGACCGCGGTCGCCAAGGGGCCTGAACTCCGCGTCCGTCGCAGCTCCTCTGGTCAGAAGAGGCCTGGGCAGGGCTGGCAGAACTGACCCCCTAGTCTAATGTCCCTGTGGCCCGAGGACCGAGGGGGAACTGAGGGACATAGCCGGTCCCCACCTCGCTGGAGGACAGCGTCCCGGGACTCCCCTGCAGTTCACGGGAAGCTGTCCGCCTCCTGTCTGTGCTGGGGACCCACGCTGTGAGCCCTAAGCCCAGGCTTCACGGGTCCCCAAGGAACGCTGACCCACCCACGCCCCTCAACCATCTCCCACCAGCTCTGCAGCAGGCGACCCCGGATCAGGGACTTGCCGCCCCCTGGCGGGCAAGGTGGGGAGGACGCGCGCCGGATTCGTGGCTCTCAGGCCAGTGGAGTGGGGGCTCTGCCCAGATGGGCATAGTTTCTGCAGAGTTCCCTTCTGAAATGAGTAGGACCTGCTGCACTGGGGACCTTGAACTACTCTGTTTGCCCAGCATTCAAATGGGGATGTTCACAACAGCTCCACCATATTGCACATGCATTTTATTGAATGGCTAGCTGTATAGCTTCTGTCTACAAACTTGCATGCATTTATTTTTGAGACAGGGTCTCTGTGGCCCAGGCTGGACTGCAGTGGTGTGATCTCAGCTCACTACAACCTCTGCCTACCGGGTTCAAACGATTCTTGTGCCTCAGCCTCTTGAGTAGCTGGAATTACAGGCGCACGCCACCGCACCCGGCCAGTTTATTTCATTTTTTTGAGACAGGGCCTTACTCTGTCACCCAGGCTGGAGTGCAGTGGCGTTAACACGGCTCACTGCAGCCCTGAACTCCTGGGCTCAAGCAATTCTCCCGCCCCAGCCACCTGAACAGCTTGGACTACGGGCATGCACTAGCATATAAAGTTGTATTTTAGAAGTTAATCCTTGGTATTGAAATTTTCGATATGTTGGCCGGGCGCGGTGGCTCACGCCTGTAATCCCAGCACTTTGGGAGGCTGAGACGAGCGGATCACGAGGTCAGGAGATCGAGACCATCCTGGCTAACACGGTGAAACCCCGCCTCTACTAAAAATACAAAAAATTAGCCGGGCATGGTGGCAGGCGCCTGTAGTCCCAGCTACTCGGGAGGCTGAGGCAGGAGAATGGCGTGAACCCACGAGGCGGAGCTTGCAGAGAGCCAAGATCGCGCCACTGCACTCCAGCCTGGGGGACAGAGCCAGACTCCATCTCAAAAAAAAAAAAAAAGAAATTTTCGAAATGTTCACATAATTGTTGGGAGCGATTCATTCCTCCTCACATGATGTGCCTCCTCTCTCCCATATCCTGTTAATTGTAGCAGTTGCGGGCATTTGCGATGACAGGATATACGGATGGTGCCACACTTGACCTTGAGTACTGGAATGCTCTGAGGTCAAGCATATGCCACAGTGCTTGAGACTGTGGGCATCACCTGTAGTGTCTTTTTCTCCAACTCCTGTCTCCTTGGTCCTAGGGAGGTCTGGCTCTAATTGCTAGTTTCCAGAGATTCATTCCTTTTTTTTTTTTTGAGACGGAGTCTCGCTCCGTTGCCCAGGCTGGAGTGCAGAGGCACGATCTCAGCTTACCGCAACCTCTGCCTCTGAGGTTAAAGCGATTCTCCTGCCTCAGCCTCCTGAGTAGCTGGGATTACAGGTGTGCACCACCACGCCCGGCTAATTTTTGTATTTTCAGTAGAGATGGGGTTTCACCATGTTGGCCAGGCTGGTCTCAAACTCCTGATCTCAAGTGATCCTCCTACCTTGGCCTCCTAAAGTGCTGGGATGACAGGCTTGAGCTATTGTGCCCAGCCTCATTTTTAAGCTTTGGATCACAGGAAGAAGCAACAAGAAACTATACCCAACTCAAAACATTTTAGGAGAATCATAAAATTGGTCCATTTAGAAGGTAGAGTTGGGTCCATTAAGTTATTGTTGCAAGAGGTTGCATATTCAATGATCAGTTATATAAAATAATGTTCTCGTTAGTATGCTTTTCATAATCTGTTTTATCATACATGTAACATTCAAACTGACAAATACACTGACTTGGGAATAAAGGATATGAAAACACTGGTTTAAAAAAAATGGGGATGCTAATTCCTTTCTTGCAGTTGAGTTGTGAAACCCAAGGTAATGTTGTAAACTGTAAACCTACACAGGTGAGTTGGCATATTTATGTCTCCCAGGCCCTTCTCAGTTCCCTAGGATGGAGTCTGACCCCATTTGATCAAAGGTTGAAGAGAGTTCAGATTCTAGAGAAATTTGCTCCCAGCACCCCATTTCAATCCCATAGTTCTTTCCTTTACTTCAGATTCTTTCATTAACCACAAGATTGGGATTGAATTGGAAGATCCAACATATTATAGTAAAGATACCAATTCTCTTCAAATTAATCTATAGGGGCCAAGCATGGTGGCTCACGCCTTTAATCCCAGCACTTTGGAGGCCAAGGTGGGCAGATCACTTGAGGTCAGGATTTCAAGACCAGCCTGGCCAACATGGTGAAACCCCGTCTCTGCTAAAAATACAAAATTAGCCGGGTGTGGTGGCACGTGCCTGGTACTAATCCCAGCTACTCAGGAGACTGAGGCAGGAGAATAGGTGGAACCCAGGAGGCAGAGGTTGCAGTGAGCTAAGATCACACCACTGCATTCCAGCCTAGGCAACAGAGCGAACTCCGTCTCAAACAACAACAACAAAAACCCAAATTGATCTATAGGCGTAATGCAATTCCTACAAAAATCCCAGCAGTTTTTTTGTATTAAATATAGATGTTTATTCTAAACTTTATATGGAAAGGCAAAAGAAGTAGAATAGTTAAAACCACTTTGAAAAAGTTGTTGGAATCACACTACCTGATTTTAAGACTTACTATATAAATAAAGTTATCAAGAAAGTATGGTTTCCCCAGTGGGATAGACACAAAAATCAATAAGATGGAATTGAGAGCTCAGAAATAGATTCACACAAGTGCAGCCAACTATCTCTCTTTAAAAAATAATTTTTTGTTTGTTTATAAGACAGTGTCTCACTTTGTCACCCAGGCTTGGAGTGCAGTGGCACAATCTTGGCTCACTGCAGCCTCAACCTCATGGGCTCAAGTCATCTTCCCGCCTCAGCCTCCCAAGTAGTTGGGACTATCAGCACGCGCCACCATACCCGGCTAATTTTGTTTTATTTTTTGTAGAGACGAGGTCTTACTACGTTGACCAGGCTGATCTCGAACTCCTAGACTCAAGCAATCCTCCTGCCTCAGCTCCCTCAAAGTGCTGAGATTACAGGCGTGAGCCACTGCCAAACAACTTGTTTTTGACAAAGGTATAAAAGCGTTTCAATGGGGAAAGGATGATCCTTTCAAGTGGTGGTGAAACAATTGGACAAATAGGCAAAGAAATGAGCCTCAGCCCTATGCAAAAAGTTAATACAAAATGGATAGTAGATTTAGGAAAAAACTTCATGGTGTAGGGTCAGGTGAAGAGTTTTGTTTTTTTGTTTGTTTGTTTTTTTGAGATGGAGTCTCACTCTGTCGCCCAAGCTGGAGTGCAGTGGCGCGATCTCGGCTCACTTCAACCTCTGCCTCCCGGGTTTAAGAGATTCTCCTGCCTTAGCCTCCTGAGTAGCTGGGATTACAGGCACATGCCACCATGCCCAGCTAAAGGCGAAGAGTTCTTAGACATGACTCCAAAAGCACAATCCATAAAAGAAAAACAATTGGGCTGGGCACGGTGGCTTATGCCTGTAATCCCAGCACTTTGGGAAGCTGAGGTGGGTGGATCACCTGAGGTTAGGAGTTCAAGACCAGCCTGGCCAACATGGTGAAACCCCGTCTCTACTAAAAATACAAAAAATTAGCCGGGCGTGGTGGCATGCGCCTGTTATCCCAGCTACTCAGGAGGCTGAGGCAGGAGAATCGCTTGAATCCGGGAGGCGGAGGTTGCAGTGAGCTGAGATTGCGCCATTGCACTCCAGCTTGGGCACCAAGAGTAAAACTCCGTCTCAAAAAAAAAAAATGATAAATTGGACTTCATCAAAATGTTTAAACATTTGCTGTGTGAAAGATCACATTAATAAGATGAAAAGAGTAGCCACAGACTGGAAGAAAATATTTGCAAATCATATATCCAACAAAGGACTTGTTTCCAGCATATATAAAGCACTCTCTAAGCTCGAGAGGTAGAAACCGAACAACCCAATTAGAAAATGGGCAAATCCAGCCTGGGCAACATGGTGAGATCCTGTCTCTACAAAAAATTTAAAAATTAGCCAGGCCTGGTGGTCTGTGCCTACAGTCCTAGCTACTCAGGAGGCTGGGGTAGGAGGATTGCTTGAGCCCAGGAGGACAGCACTGCAATGAACTGTGATCATACCACTGCACTCCAGCCTGGGTGACAAAGTGAGGGTCTGAGAAAGAAAGAGAGAGGAAGGAAAGGAAGAAAAAGGGAAGGAAGGAAGGAAGAGAGGAGAGAAAGAGAGAAAGAAAAAACAGAAAAAAGGAAGGAAGGAGGGAGGGAAGGAAGGAAGCAAGCAAGCAAGCAAGCGGTGGCTCTTGCCTGTAATCCCAGCACTTTGGGAAGCTGAGGTGGGTGGATCACCTGAAGTTGGGAGTTTGAGACCAGCCTGGCCAACACGGTGAAACCCCGTCTCCACTAAAAATACAAAAATTAGCTGGGCGTGGTGGCGGGCGCCTGTTAATCCCATCTACTCGGGAAGCTGAGACTTGAAAATCGCTTAAACTTGGAAGGCAGAGGTTGCAGTGAGCCAGGATCACACTATTGTACTCCAGCCTGGGCGACAGAGCAAGACTGTCTCAAAAAAAAAAAAAAAAGAAAAGAAAAAGAAAATGGGCAAATCTTAAACGGACATTTCAGTGAAAGAGAGTATAAGAATGGTAAATAAGCACATCATAAGATGTTCAATATCACTAGCCATTAAGGAAATACACATGAAAACCATGACGAGCTACCAATAACACGTATTGAAATGGCTGAAATACAAAATACGAACAATACCAAGTGTGGATGAGAATGCAGGGAAACTGGATCTCTCATACATACACTGCTTGTGGAAGTGGAAAATCGTACAGCCATCCTAGAAAACAGTTTGGCAGTTCCTTCTAAAATTAAACGTACACTTACCAAATGACCCAGCAAGAACATTTCTTGGCATTTAAAAATCTGTACATGAACATCCATAGCATTTTTTTTTTCTTTTTTTTTTTTTGAGATGGAGTCTTAATCTGTCACTCAGGCTGGAGTGCACTGGTGCAATCTCAGCTCACTGCAACTGCTGCCTCCCAGATTTAAGCAATTCTCCTGCCTCAGCCTCCCGAGTAGCTGGGATTACACATGCATGCCACCACGCTCAGCTACATTTTTTTGTATTTTTAGTAGAGACGGGGTTTCACTATCTTGGCCAGGCTGGTCTTGAACTTCTGACCTGTGATCCACCTGCCTCAGCCTCCCAAAGTGCTAGAATTACAGGCGTGAGCCACCGTGCCCAGCCCGTCCATAGCATTTTTATTTGTAATAGCCCAACGGGAAGCAACCCAGATGGCTTTCTTTTCATATTAATTTATTATGTAGAGATGGGGGTCTCCCTATGTTGCCCAGGCTGGTCTTGACCTCCTGTACTTAAGCAATCCTCCTGCCTCACCCTCCCAAAGCGCTGGGATTGCAGGTATGAGCCACCGACCTCCGGATAACTTTTGATCAGTGCATGGTAAACAATCTATGGCACATCCATCCCATGGAATATTACACAGCTATAAGGGATGGATCAAGGTGACCTGTTAGGCTGCGAACATACCAGTTATATTACATAATACTGTGCTGAACTGCTCATATTGTAGTGTGCAAGACAAGGTGAGCATGATCGCATGACCTGTGCTGAGGGGACATGAATAGGATTGGGTGGATCCCCAAGGAGAGACAGCCAATATCATCTTGAGGGATCCAAGGTTTTCCAAGAGGAAGTAATGATTAGGCAGAGACAGGAATGTTTAGCAGTAGGTCCTATATCCTGTTCCCTTTTTTTTGAGACAGGGTCTGGCTCTGCCACCCAGGCTGGAGTGCAGTGGCTTGATCTCCACTTACTGCAACCTCCGCCTCCCTGGCTTAAGCAATCCTCCCACCTCAGCCTCCTGAGTAGCTGGGACTACATGTGTGCACTGCCACGCCCGGATAATTTTTGTATTTTTTGTAGAGATGGGGTTTTGTCATGTTGTGCAGGCTGCTCTTGAACTCCTGGGCTCAAGCGATCCTCCCGCCTCAGCCTTTCCCAAAGTGCTGGGATTACAGATGTGAGCCACTGTGCCCGACCCATATCCTGTTCCAATACGGAGGTCTGAGCCCTGGGAGGATGGGGAGAAGAGGAGGAACCAGTAAAATCTGAGAAATAGCAGCTAGTGAGGTGGGAGGAAAACCAACAGAATATAGCATCCAGAAAGCCAGGTGAAGATGGTATTTCTGGAGGGAGTGACCGTCTATGTCACTGGCTGGTAACAGGTCATGTAAGATAATGGACCAGTAGATTTCACAATGTGGAAGTCATTGGTGACTTACAACGCAGTTACGTTTGGTTGAGCAAAGAACTTAGCGCAGGGCCAAAAGTAATTCTGAATGCAGTAAATTAATTTTAACGCCCATTATGTCTGATAATTAACAATAAGCACAGTTTATGAGCTATCACTCCATTACTCAGGTCATGTGTCTTTCCATGGTACCTAAAATATGTTTTGCAAACTCTGATATCCACATAAATATCAAGGCTCGCAATTTAGGTGGATGAAGACAAGCTCTGTAATAAACCGATTTGACAATAAACTGATCTGACAACAAGACAGTCCTTATCTCCTTGCATGCATTTCTTTTTTTTTTGAGACGGGGTCTCGCCCTGTCTCTCAGGCTGGAGTGCAGTGGCCCAATCTCAGCTCACTGCAACCTCCACCTCCAAGGTTCAAGTGATTCTCCTGCCTCAGCCTCCCGAGTAGCTGGGATTACAGGCGCCTGCCACCACGCAGGCTAATTTTTGTATTTTTAGTAGAGACGGGGGTTTCACCATGTTGGCCAGGCTGGTCTTGAACTCCTGAGCTCATGATCCACCTGCCTCGGTCTCCCAAAGTGCTGGGATTACAGGCGTGAGCCACCGCATCCAGCCCTCTCCTTACATTTCATCAAAGGAAAACACTGAAGAGGAATCTGCCATTAAAAAAAAAAAAGTGGGGGCGGGGCGGGCGTGGTGGCTCATGCCTGTAATTCCAGCACTTTAAGAGGCCAAGGCAGGTGGATCACGAGGTCAGGGGATCGAGACCATCCTGGCTAACACGGTGAAACCCCGTCTCTACTAGAAATACAAAAAATTGGCCAGGCGTGGTGGTGGGTGCCTGTAGTCCCAGCTACTCGGGAGGCTGAGGCAGAAGAATGGCATGAACCCGGGAGGCGGAGCTTGCAGTGAGCCAAGATCGTGCCACTGCACTACAGCCTGGGCATCAGAGGGAGACTCCGTTTCAAAGAAAAGAAAGAAAGAAAAAGGGCCAGGAACGGTGGTTCACGCCTGTAATCTCAGCACTTTGGAAGGCTGAGGCAGGCAGATCACCTGAGGTCAGGAGTTTGAGATCAGCCTGACCAACATGGCAAAACCCATCTCTACTAAAAATACAAGACGCTTGAACCCGGAGGAGCGGAGGTTGCACCACTGCACTCCAGCCTGAGCAACACAGCAAGACTCTGTCTCAAAAAAAAAAAAAAAAAAAAGAAAAGAAAAAGAAAAGAAAGGCAGAGGCTGGCTGTTTGGTCTGCGTGAGACCACTCTTTCATCTCCATTAACCTTCCAAACAAATCTCTTTGTTTAGTTAAAAAGTTTGCAAATTTAGAACACAGACCAAGACATTTTACAGAGCAGCACCTGAACAAACAAAAACACATTAGCTCCAAATGATTTCTTTATTTTGAGATGGAGTTTCGCTCTTGTTGCCCAGGCTGGAGTCCAATGGCGTGATCTCTGCTCACCGCAACCTCCGCCTCCTAGGTTCAAGCGATTCTCCTGCCTCAGCCTCCCTAGTAGCTGAGATTACAGGTACGTGCCACCACGCCTGGCTAATTTTGTATTTTTAGTAGAGACGGGGTTTCTCCATGTTGGTCAGGCTGGTCTTGAACTCCCAACCTCAGGTGATCCACCTGCCTCAGCCTCCCAAAGTGCTGGGATTACAGGTGTGAGCCACCATGCCCGGCCAATTAGGTCCAAGTGATTTCTTTGTAATTTTTAAATTCTTCATGGGAGACTCACAGTTCTTTTTTGTTTTTTATTATATTTTTTCACTTTTCTCTCTTTTTGAGTCAAGAACTCATTTTGTTGCCCAGGCTTCTGGGCTCAAGGAAGGACAAGGTTTATTAGCAGCATGAGAACTGACTAATACAATCACGGTGGAAGACCAGAGGGGTCTCCCTGGATCTCCTGGACACCAATGTGTGACTTTGGACAAGTAATCCCCACCAACTGTAAAGTGTGAACACTGATGCTGAAGTCAGCAGAAATTAAAGCCTATAAACTCCCTCTTTGAGAAAGGAAGCTAGCTGGCAGGGCACGGTGGCTCACGCCTGTAATCCCAACACTTTGGGAGGCCAAGGCGGGAGGATCACTTGAGGCCAGGAATTTGAGACCAGCCTGGCCAAAACGGTGAAACTCCATCTCTACCAAAAATACAAAAATTAGCTGGGCATGGTGGCGCCTGTCTGTAGTCTCAGCTACTCAGGAGACTAAGGTGGGAGGATCACTTGAACCCAGGAGGTGGAGGTTGCAGTGAGCTGAGATCACGCCACTGTACTCCAGCCTGGGCGACAGAGCGAAACTCCGTCTCGAAAAAAATTAAAATATTAAATAAAATATAAAAACAGACAGCAGGACAGGCACAGTGGCTCATGCCTGTAATCCCAACACTTTGGGAGGCCAATATGGAAGGACTGCTTGAGCCCAGGAGTTCGAGAACAGCCCAGGCAACATAGTGATACTTCAGTCTGTACAAAAATTTAAAAGTAAAAAATAATAGCTGGGCCAGGCACAGTAGCTCGTGCCTGTAATCCCAGCACTTTTGGAGGCTGAGGCAGGTAGATCACCTGAGTTCAGGAGTTCGAGACCAGCCTGGCCAACATGGTGAAACCCTGTCTCTACTAAAAATACAAAAATTAGCCAGGCATGGTAGCACACACCTGTAATCCCAGCTACTTGGGAGGCTGAGGCACGAGAACTGCTTGAACCTGGGGTCGGAGGTTGCAGTGAGCTGAGATCACGCCACTGCACTCCAGCCTGGGCAACAGGGTGAGACTCTTTCTCAAAAAAAAAATAAATAATAAATAATACCCGGGTATGGTGGTGTGCCACTCCCTGCAATCCCAGCTACTCGGGAGGCTGAGGAGGGAGGATCACTTAAGCCTAGGAGGTCGATGCTGCAGTGAGCTGATTGTGCCACTGCACTCCAGGCTGGGCAGCAGAGCAAGACCCTGTCTCTTAAATAAATAAAATAGTTAAAAAAGGAAAACAGACAGGAAAACTCCAAGTGCAGAGAAGCCTAGTGGTACTTGGTGGGGGAAACAAAAGTTGTTCCAGGTATAATAGTTCCTGAAGTCAACACTCTATCATGGCAAGACACCAGGCACTCAAATTCCAAGTCATGAACTTACCTTTTCCTTGTTTTGAGGATTACATTGTGTTGGGCGACAGCTCTTTTAGGCTTCTGGGAAGTAAGGTATACATTCTGGAGTAACTTCCAAAGAAAAAGGTGAAAGCATACGCGGAACTTTTGAGCCTTGAAAAAGTTCAGCGAGTCATTCTTGAAAAGTCCTTTTTTTAAACAAAGGGGGTTTCAGTCACCTCACATTTGCATAGCAGTTTCTCTCTTGTCAAAGCCTTTCACATTCACTTATTTTAATTCTTACAGCACTCAAGGAAGAGTGTGGAGTTGGGGGTCGGGGGTTGGGTGCAGAGCAGTGTTAACATCCTTCTGTAAGAGAAACGGAGGCTTTTGAGAGGCCAGGCGTGGCGGCTCATGCCTGTCATCCCGGCACCTTGGAAGGAGGATCCATTTGGGTCCAGGAGTTCCCGGCACTTTGGAAGGAGGATCATTTGGGTCCAGGAGTTCAAGACCAGCCTGGGCAACATGGGGGAAACCCTGTCTCTACAAAAAAAAAAAAAAAAAAAAAAAAAAAGCTGGGCGTGGTGGTGTGCCCTGGTAGTCCTAGCTACTCAGGGTGCTTGAGGCAGGAGGATTGCTTGAGCCCAGGAGGCGCAGGATGCAGTTAACCGTGATCGCGCCACTGCACTCCAGCCTGGGCGACAGAGCAAGACTCTGTCTTGGAAAACAAACAAACAACAAATACAATAAATTAAAAAAATTAGTTGGGTGTGGTGGCACACAGCTGTAGTCCCAGCTACTCAAGAGGCTGTGGCAGGAGGATCCCTTGAGACCAGGAGTTCAAGACCAGCCTGGGCAATGTTATGAGACACGCCACCCGCCCAGTCTTTACAGAGAATAAAAAAGTTATCTGGGTGTGATGGTGCACACCTATAGTCCCAACAATTCAGGAGGCTGAGATGGGAGGATCGCTTGAGACACGGGAGTTGGAGGCTGCCGTAAGCCGAGATCGGGCTAGTACACTGCAGCTGGGGCAACAGAGTGAGACCCTGCTTCAAAAAAATAAATAAATAGGGGCCGGGCGCGGTGGCTCACGCCTGTAATCCCAGCACTTTGGGAGGGCGAGACAGGCGGATCACTTGAGTGGTCAGGAGTTCTAGACCAGCCTGGCCAACAAAAATAAGCCAAACGTGGTGGTGTGTGCTTGTAATCTCAGCTACTCGGGAGGCCAAGGCATGAGAATCACTTGAATCCGGGAGGCGGAGGCTGCAGTGAGCCGAGATCGCGCCACTGGACTGCAACCTGGGGGACAGAGCAACACTCTGTCTCAATAATTAAATAAATAATTAAAAAAATAAAGAGGCTCCTGAGAGTCAACTTATTTGCCTGAGCCACTTATTTCACACATCCCAGGACGCCTGATGAAGGGTTCTGGATTTTATTGTCTCCTGTCATCCAGGCGGGCTTCCTGGAGGAAACCGGACCGCCAGGGAGGCCGCGGCCTCGGTCCCAGAGGTCGCGCGTCGCGGGGCCGGGGGAGGTGGGGGAGAGGAGGCCGCTCTGGGGCCGATCCCGCCCGCAGCTGGGGGCCCCCGTCACGTGACCAGCCGGGCGCCCAGGTCACGTGTCGGGGCGGGGAGGGGGGGGGCTGTCGGGGGCGACGGGCGTCCGGGCAGTGGCGCGCGCGGCACGCGAGCAGCGCACGAGGAGAGGTGGCGCGGGCCGGAGCCGCGGAGGGAGGCGGCGGCGGCGGCGGCGGCGGCGGCGGCGGCGGCGGCGGCGGCGGCGGCGGCGGCGGCGGCGGCGGCGGTGGAAGGGGCGGCCCCGCGGCCCCGCGTCCGCGTCACGTGGTGCGAGGCGGGCAGCCATCTTGCTACAAACACAAACACAGAGGAGCGGCCGCCGCGGGAGCGCCAGCGCCCCCTCCCCCGCTGCTAGCCGCCGTCGCCGTCCCCGGCCCCCGCCCGCCGCGCGCCGCCCACGCCCCGGGACCGGACCCTCGCGCCGCCCGCGGTAAGCGCCCAGTGGCCCCGCGGCCCCCGGCCCGCAGCCCAGCCCCGGGGCAGGCCCGCCCCCGACGCCGCGGCGGCCGCGCCGAGCCCGCGAGCTAGAGAAGCGCCGGAGCCAGCGCGCGGGCCGCCAGCGAGGACCCTCCCCCGTCTCCTCCCCGAGGCCGCCGCAGCCCGGTGCGTCCTCCCGCTCTCCCGCCCGCTCCGGCCCATCCCCGCCGCCGGGACCCTCCCCCAGAGCCGGCCAGCCTCGGGGAGGCCCCGGGAGGCCGGCGCCCGGCTTAGGGGGCGACCGCTCGCCCCCCTCGCACCTGGCGCCCCTCCCTGAAGGGCACGCCGTCCTCCCGGGCCGGCGCGCTGCCTTCCACCCCCGCGCTCCTAACGGTCGCCCCCGGGCCCCTGCCAAGCCCTGCCCTGGGCCGCCTGGGGGCCCCCGACCCTAGCGTCCTAGGGTGGCCGGGCCCCGCGCTTCCCGGAGTTCTCCCCAGCGCGCCTTTGGGTTCCCCTCGGAACGAGCTGGGCCTTGCGGTTCCCCAGGTCCAAGCGTTCCACGACTTTGGCCAACATGGAAGCCTTGCCCTCCACCCAGGCACCTCGCCTGGGTCCTCCTCACCTCTGTTTCCTTTCGCTCCGGCGATCTTAGTGCTGGGTCATTGGGGTCTCCTTCTTCCCAGTTGCTCGGCCGCGGGAAATACCTTCCTTAGCAGAGACTGCTTGTCCTCCCCGTCCCAGGCCAGGCCCTTCTCAGCTCATGCCCCTCCGTGCAGCAGCTCCCTGGCCACAGCTCTCACACTTTGCCTTAAAAAAAAAAAAAAACAAAAAAATTTCCGAGTAACTTTTTAAAAGCCCCTCGTCTCTCTTCTCTGTTATACAGTCATTACTCGCATTCCCGGTCAGACTCCAGGTCTGTTGCATCCTAGTGCTAGGAACTAGGAGATGCTACATAAAGACTTGTTAGCTGGATTGGATTTTTTTTTTCCAGCCACCCAAGCCTTACTTCCCTCCTGCCTCTCAAAGTGTCGTTCTGGAAGATCGTCAGCTTTCCCACCCTCTTGTGCACTGCCTCTTCGAGTCTATATAGAAGTTTCAATTTAGAACCCCGCCAACCCCTCGCCTTTGGCATGGAAACACCATCGGTGGTACCAGTAAGGGTCTCTCCTTTGCTGCCGACATGGGGGATTTGGGGTTCTTTCTCCTTCCCATCTTTCCTGTGCCCTTTGCAGACCTAGGCTAGCCACCCTCCACCAGGCTAGCCAGCTCCAATCTGATTTTCTTAGATTGTAGGTCTTGGTCCCCCAGCGGTCTGTCGTGCCATTGGGAAGGATTTGAGGGTAGACCTGGCCTTGGTGTCCCTGCCATTGCCTGGGGACCAGGGGCCCTGAGGGTCCCACGTGGTGGTTAGTCAAGTGGACCATGTGCTTAAACTTCTGGACTAGCTTTTTCTGCTGTTGGACACATCAGTCTTGTGTTCGTGATCTGATGCGTTAGCCCTAACTTTTACATCTGCTATTGGAATTTGGGAATTAAAGAAAAATAGCCCACTTTAGAGGAGAGAAGATGAGAGGAGGAGGCTAGATGAAGGATGTTGAAAGTCTAACAAATGTAAAATGGCTTCAAACTCACAGAATAATGCTTGCGAGTTTGGGATGGTTACTGCTACCGTGCGCACCTCCAGTCTTGCATAGTGTCAAGGATGTCGGGGCACGCTGTCGGAGCAGCTTCCTCCTTCTTTTCCCTGGCTGGAGCCCAAGGCTGGGCAAGTGGGCAAAAGGGATCACAGGAGGTAAAGAGTGAAAATCCTTTGAAAACTGTTAACTTGTAGACAATTGCCAAGCGGTGGTGTGATTTGCTGGGATGGCTCAGAGAGGAGAGAGCTGGGATAACCGACCAGCCGCGAAGAATGCGGGTTTGCATCTCTTTTTTAAGCCTCAGCGTCCTCACCCTACCACGCTTGGAGAATCTCCATCCTGAGAAAGGGCCAGGTCCCCTCCAGCAGGCCTGGGGCTGGGCGGTTGTTCCAGTGTTGAGGAATTGGGGACTGTGCTTCTGTTTAAGTGGCTCTGTTCTGTGCCAAGGCACAGTGCTCTGTGTTGGAGCTAATTTTAGGGGTGATGGAGTGAGGAGATAATGTTCTTAGCTGAATGTGCACTGGGACCGCCTGTTCTCTGTCTTTTCTTTCTCTCTTGAGTTCTGAGCCCCAGAGAGCAGGCTCCCTTTCCCGCGCGCCCTGGCGCCTACTGGAGCACCCGGGCCCAGCGTGTCCTCGCCCCTTGTCTCCGGCAGGGGGCAGTCTTTCAAAAGCATTGATTCAGATGCTGGGGGAGTGAGGGTAGACAGGCCCGAGAAAGAGAAGGGGTGGGGAAGGGGCGAGGAGCCGAAGTAGGCCGAGGCTTGAGGGCAGGGCCAGGGCGGGGGACAGGCTGGAAGGGGCCTGTGAGAAGGAGACCCTGAGCTGAGAAAGCTCAGCCGGGTAAGCTGAGACGGGCAGGTGGCAGTACCCCAGCCCCCGCCACCTCCTGCTCTTACCTTCATTGGACAGGGATCAGATACCTGGCCCTGAGAGCTTGCAATAGACAAACTTAGGCAGTTTTTCTTAAAAAAAAAAAATCTATTCTTTTCTCAAAGATTTTCTCCTGGCAGGATTTCAGATTTCCCTCGTGGGACAGTGTAATTAGGGAATGATGTCCCTGCTGTTCAGAGAGGAGAATGACCCAGCGTGCACACACCTGCCTTCCCTTGCCTTCCCCTTGGCCCAGTAGACCCCCAAGGGCTGTGCCCATGCTCGTGGCGCAGAGGAGGGTGTCTCAGCACTGGCGCACTTGGTATCTGGAGTCACATAGCTCTTGGCTGTGGGGCTGCCCTGTGCACCCCCTGCCCAGTGGTGACAACCCAGAATGTCTCTAGACTTGGCCAAGAGCCCCCTGAGGAGCAGAGGTGCCCCCAGTCCAGAACCTGTTGGAGGGTGGGAGCCCCATGGTGGCCTGCAGGTGTGCCACTAGTTCCTTTAGTCCAAGGAAGGGGCCAGGCACCATCAGCTTCCGGCACCAGACCCTGCTGTGGGGGTGCCTAGAGAGTTAACCTCACTCTCCTGGTTTCTTCCCAAGAAGGCGGGTGGCATGGGCTTTTTCCTGCTCTGGGCCTGCTCTCTCCCCTGTCTTGGTGTCGCTGTCCTCAGTCTGCATGAACCATTCCCCCTTTGTGTGCCCCTTGCAGCCAAGACACAGCCAGGATGGGTGACTTGAGCCGGAGGCACCTAGGAGAGCTGCCCTTGCTGCGCCTGGCAGGGGGCAGTGTGAGGCCATCGCTTTAAATTTTTTTTTTTTTTTTTTTTTGAGACAGAGTCTTGCTCTGTTGCCCAGGCTGGAGTGCAGGGGCGCAATCTCAGCTCACTGCAACCTCCGCCTCCTGGGTTCAAGCGATTCTCCTGCCTCAGCCTCCCGAGTAGCTGGGATTAGAGGCACCTACCACCAGGACTGGCTAATTTTTGTATTTTTAGTAGAGACAGGGTTTTGCCACGTTGGCCAGGCTGGTCTCAAACTCCTGACCTCAGGTGATCTGGCTGCCTTGGCCTCCCAAAGTGCTGGGATTACAGGCATGAACCACCACGCCTGGCCACTTTTTCTTTTTTAAAAAATGTTTAGAATTGTTTCTGTAGAGTCGTGGTCTTGTTCTGTTACTCAGGCTGGTCTCGGACTCCTCTCTTCAAGCCTCCCACAGTGCTGGGATTATAGGCATAAGCCATTGTGCTGGCCAGGTGGTCCCTTTTCTGTTCTACTCTCTCCCACCCTCATGCCTCCAGGATGAGCTTCTGGCCTTCTAGAAGGAATGAACTGGAGGAGGCCCAAAATGGCCTCTCCTGAGGCTGATTTGAAGGAATGTGGGGTGTTTTTCTTGGAGTGGGGAAAACTTAGGTATGCGGTGGTTATCTCCAGATACCTTTTGTTCCCTAAAGCTTTTTTAAAAAAATGATTATTGTGGTAAAATATACAACAAAATTTGGAGACTTTAACTGTCTCTAATTGTGCCATTCTGTGTTACTAAGTACACTCACATTGGTGTGCGGCCATGACCACCAGCGGCCCCAGGATCCCCTCCTCAGTTGAGGCTCTGGACCCTTCAGCAACAGCTCCCTGTCCCCTCAGCCCCTGGTGGCTGCCCTTCTACCTTCCTCCCTCAATGAGTGACTGCTCTAGAGACCTCATGAAAGAGAAGTAAGGGGTAGCTCTCCTTTTTTGGCTGGTGTGTTTCTCTTAGCGTGATGTCCTCAAGGCTCATCCAGTCCCCAGATTGCTCTAGGTGGCCACCTGCAGTCAGTGACAGGCTGGTGGCTTTTCATGTCATGGAACACACCACCACTGGAGCATCCAGCCGAGGCAGAGGAAGGAGAGGTCCCAGGGGAGGCCAGCCTGGCCTTGGGTTGCCTCTGAGCCCGGTGTTTCCCCCTGGAGTGCCTGGACTCTGAGCAGGCCTCGGCTTGTCATGGGCTGCTGGCTCAGCTGGGGCTGATGGCCTTTCCTCCTCAGCACCCTGGTTGAACCCGCTTCCTCTTCTTTCCCAGACTGTGGCGTCCTGGAGTTGATGGGAGCTGCAGCACCAAGCCGGGCCAGCCTCCCTCCCAGCCAGTGACAACACCGCAGCACCTGGACCCCGCCCACCCGCTTGAGTCCTCTGCCTGGGGCCCCAGGGATGCGCCTCCTCCTGAAAGTCCCCTCCATCCTCCCTTAGAGGAACAGGCTGCCGCCGCGCCCCCATCAGCCTCCATTGCCCTGACCTTATTTCCACCTGATGGTGCCAGAGGCTGCTTCCCAGCTGGTATCCTGAGATCCTCGTTCCCTTGGTGGCTTGGTTGTTTAAGCCTCCATTATTGATTGGGGGCGGTGGTCTGGGTGTGATTCCTGTGGGGGAAACCAGCCCGAGGTGCCTTGGCTCAGGCTTGCCTGCCTGGAGTCCTTGTCGTGTACCCGTCTGTGGCCCTAGAGTCACCTCCTGCTCCTTTTCACTGGGTTTCTCCCCAGACCAAGCCCCTGGATTTGAGCTTCTGAGCAGCCAACTGATTTTTTTCATGAGGGAAAGAATTTTGCTCCTAGATTTATTTCTAATCCTTTTCTCCGTAACTGACCTTTTCTCTGTAAGCTATTTGTGGCTCTAGTGGGTTTTTGTTTGCTTGCTTGTTTTTGTTTTATCTTTGCCCTGAACGTCCATCCTGGCCTCGGCTGCCTCCCTCCCCGAGTTCTTCACTACACCTCCTGTCTCAGCCTCCCAGAGAGGGTGGCGAGGGTGCTGATGCCCAGAGACACCATCCGGCGAATGGACCTCTCCTGTCATGCGGGGCAGGGCAGGGCTGCCGGCAGAGCCATGTCCTGAACCCTCCCTCCTCCCCCCTGCTCTCCTTAAGGGTCTTTCCCAGATGTGAAGGTCCCTCCCAGGCTCTACTGAGGTCAGACCAATTCCCAGTGGCTTGGGTACCCTCGTTCACTCCAGCACCAGCCCCTGCCCTCCTTCTTCCCGGGCCAGGC